>NC_000016.10:50320075-50623106 GCF_000001405.40 Homo sapiens
AGATAGAGGCATCCCAAAGAACAGTAAATGTACACATGCAAAGAAAACAAAACAAAAAAACTGTCCCTGGGATTCACATCAGCATTACTCTATAGTGGCATCACCACTGTACTCAAGAAGTTTTTTCTTTGAAGCATCCCGTGACTCTCCTCTTATGGGAGGCAAAACATACCAAGATGCATTTCTCTGTATGAGGGACCCAAGAGACAGATCATGTTCGGAGGGGGTCTGGTGCTCAAACGTTCATTCTGGGCTTCCTGGAGTTCCCTGAGCAATCTGGTGGTCTCATCAAGTTTCTTCTGGAATATTTCAGCTTCTGTGTGGTAAGAAAACAGACACACTTCTGTTTGATCTTGTGCAGTAAACCGAATCCTAGGCTCTAGGGCTTTGCTAATTATTGGTTAGCCTTCTCCCTTCAAAAGAGTAATCCGCTTGAAATGACATCAACACGCCATACCCATTCATTTAACTTGGTAAGCCAAGATCTTCCTGTGGTGAATGGCTATGTTAATCTGTACTTATGAGACATGAAATCTTGACTGCCTACATCATGCAGTGTTTCAATCAAACCCTCTGGAGACACTTACCTTCAGAGTCAAAAACTTCAACTGGAACGCCAAAATTTGTTACTGCTTTCAGCGCTATGAGCCTGTCTTGAGTACTGGAGTCCAAACGCCCTGGTGGCTCTACTTCTGTAATCTGCTTCAAAAGGAAAAACAGGCAATTACTGGCGCTTGCTAAGCCACAGCAGTGTTAACTAGAAATTACTCAGATGGCATGTATTTACAGGCAAAGTTATTCTACCTATTTACTATGGAGTCCTAATTTTGATGCTTACAGAAAATGAATTTCCAGAACACCCTTTTAAAATGCTATTCCCAAATCTTGGCAAAAACAGGTATTCAATAAATCCATACTTCTGTGAAATGTAATGATGTATCTTATACAATTTATATCATTTGTTTAGTATGGCAACTATTCTAAAGATGAAGTAATGAGAGCCTTGTTGTTGCTTAAACTGTGAAGAGCTTTTGGTGATGACAATGCCTTGTGTTTTCGAGATTCAAAGACTATTTCATATTTCAGTCCATCTAGTCCGTATACTTGCATTCCTATTGATACACTTCCCGGGTCTTCTCCAGGCCTCCAAACTAGGCTGTCAGTATTGCATGAGAGAAACAAAATCTTAAAAAGGATGGAGTTGGCCTGGCGCAGTGGCTCATGCCTGTAATCCCAGGACTTCGGGAGGCCGAGGTGGGCGGATCACCTGACATTAGGAGTTTGAAACCAGCCTGGCCAACATAGTGAAACCCTGTCTCTACTAAAAATACAAAAAAAAAATTTAGCTGGGCATGGTGGCATGCACCTGTAATCACAGCTACTCGGGAGGCAGAGGCAAGAGAACTGCTTGAACCCAGGAGGCGGAGGTTGTAGTGAGCCGAGATTGTGCCACTGCACTCCAGCCTGGGCAACAGAGCGGGACTCCATCTCAAAAAAAAAAAAAAAAAAAAAAAAAAAAAGATGGAGTTTTTATTTTCAGAATCATTAAGACTCAGGGGTTTCCATAACCTCAACATTACTTTTTAGGAATAGATCAACCCAGATATTAAGCAATCAAAAGCTAATGGTTCCATTTATACTATGGTATGGCTCTCCAACTCTAACTCCATTGATCCACCTGATTTCTCTACCTACATATGGGCTAAAAACTTGTGGGGGAGAAACTGTATAATTGTGCAACTTGGCACTGATATGCATTTATGGTTTGCCATTTCAGCTAGGCCCTCACAACTCTACTCACTAACCTTTTTCCTTCTTACCCAATGGGCCTTCCCATTCTCAAGACTTCTCTTACTCCCCTTATTTTCCATTTAAATATTTCTTGTAAAGTGTAAAATAAAATCACCTCCATTTCTTTTGCTGTGTCAAGTGTCCTAGTATGGCCTTCATCTTCAGGCAATGACTATAAGGATGAAGAAAAACAGCTTTTTAGGAAAACACATGAAGGCGAATATCAAGGAAAAGAGAAAACTGTCAGGAGTTTCTTGGCAAGAGAAAATGAATACAAATATGGACTACTGGAATATAATTTTTCAGGCCAAAATGACTAAATATAATTATTAGCATTTTGAGAGGATTCTGTGAGCTGGGGTACTTATTACTGGTGATGTTATTTCCATGCCTGATCAAAAGCTATATACATGTTTAAGAAGGTATTTGGTAAATAACTTATAAATATGTAAATAAATGGTATCTGTTTTTATCAGAAAAATCCCTGACGAGAAGACAGGAAGGAGTTCTAGGGATTACTGTGCATGAACACAGCAATATTCTCAGATAGCAGAGGATTACTGTAAAATAATCAAATGCTACAGAGAATGTGAAAGCTTCCCAATCTTGCTCTTCAGAGCTAATGCACCCAGGAACAAGAGACAAATATATCATGGACATCAATCAATGATGTCATCTTTCTTTGAAAGGTTGTGAGTTATTTAACCAATTCCCAATTTCTAAAAATTATAAACAATGTAACCTTATATGTAACTTTTGTATTTTTTCTAGAATAAATTCTGAGAAGAGGAACTGCTATATTGAAGGACAAAGACACTTGACATTTTGAAACACATTGCCATATTCACCAAATGAAAAATATTCAATTTTCGTTAGACTATTAATTCATTCAGATTAATTGATGAGGATATGGTAAAAAAATATGTATTTTTTAAATTGATGTAAAATTTCATTTTTTAGGTCATGTGATGAAAGCAGTCCAAGTGCGGATATTTTACAGCAGTCATCGTTGGGCCTGACCGAGGCACTAACCTCAGCTCTGCTGACAGGTCACCCAGCAACCATATGTGCAGTTGTGAGCAGGGTACCAGGCACTACAGTCACAGTCACCATTAAGAGTTAGACCTCCAAAAGACACAGGGTTCCTCTAACTATTGTGACAGGAACGTTCTGGAGATCAACTCTCTTCTGTATCAGTAGGAACATTTTCTGGTTCTAATCCTTAAGCCAAAACTCTGAATGATTCCAGATTACCAACTATCTCCAACTGAACTAGAGATAGCTTACAAATGTTAATAAAATAGCAATGAGGAAGCTTTTTACTTTTTAACTTGAGGTTCCTCCCGATGTGCTATTACTGCACGAGGAAAAGCCATTCCCTATCATTTTAGCCAACTTAGTTTCAGGCCAGTGAGCAAAACTTTCCTTTTTTGTTAGAGGACACAATGCCCACTGACTTCTGAGTTGTAAACCCCATTTTTGAGTCCTACATTCCCAAGATGAGGAGATAAGGATAACGCTCAGGCCCTCACAGATCCTGGTAGCTAAATTACTCCTTTCCGTTTATTGTCCACCCGTGGCCTCCAGCCGGGCTGGGCTGTCTTTCAGGGCCACAGAGTTCAGCTGTCATACTTGTTAATCCCATGGTTTCATTATACTGAATGACTAATGCTTGAGAGTCGATAATAAATTACCCTGTTTTCATTAGCAGTGTTCTTACCATCTCCATCTCTTGTAGGGTCCTGGAATGCCCTCCTTTTGTTAAAACATCCAGTAAACTATCTGCCATGACATACGGATAATCTTGGCACGTGGCCAAAAACTCATGGATGCTGCAAGAGACAGTTAGGAAAGTCTCACATAAATCACCTCCACTGGCTTTATCCTCCCATCAGAGCCAACTGTTTCCACTAGATGTCCTCGGTTATACATCATGACATCAAATTTCTGCCTAGACACAACATGGTATCTACATATTAATTAGCAATAACATTATCATGAGATAATATGAAGAACACAGTAAAAATAAAACGTTCCAAAGAAAAATGAAACCTCAGTGACGGGTGCAGGCTCAGTCCCTGGATCTTCTGCTCCCCGCCCCCTCACTTCCTGTCTGCAGTGATCACCTTCACCTCAGGACTTTCATATGGGATCAAAAAACTCTCAAAAGTTACACCTCCAGTTTGGACCACACCCTTTGGTGCTCCACATGGAAGTCTAACAGACATCTCAAGCTTAAAATATCCAAAATTGAAATGCTAGATCTTCCCCCCAAGTAATGTTCCAAAGCTTCCCCCTTCTCGGTAAATAGCAACTGCAGTCTTCCAGGCTCAGTGTGCAAACCCTGGAGTAAGCCTCGGCATCTCTCTCTCACATCCCACTTCAATCAGTAAAGAAATCCTACTGGCTGATGACTGAGCCCTTCCCAGAACCTCACCTGCTACTCCCCCGGTCCATTTCTCATCTCCCTACTTCTGCCCTTGCCTCTCTACAGTCTATTCTCCAAGAGTAGCCAGGGTGATCCTTTAAACATCATAATCTGGACCGGGTCACTCTTCTGCTCGCAATCCACCAGTAACTTCCATCTCACTGAGAATGAAATTCCAAGTGCTTATAAAGACCCACTCTCATCAACGCCCTCCCTGGCCATGTGCCTGCACTCTTCTGCTTCTTCCTGCTGTTCTCAAGTATGTTGGGAAGGCTCCCACTCAGGCCCTCTGCACAGCTCCTGCACTGCCTGGAACGTTCTTTCAGGTAGCAGCCTTGCTTGCTTCCTCACCTCCTTCAGTTTTTGCTCAACTTTCCCTTTTGTACCAGACTTATCTGACCGATTTAAAAGTGCATCCCTCTCGTAGCCCCAGCACTACTCTCTCCTTCTCTGCTGCTTTACCTTTCTCCAAAGCACTTGTCATCATTTGACAGGAGGGCATGGGCCTTTGCCAGTGTTGTTCCCCTGTGCAATCCCTATTTGTGGAATGCATAGATGCATGATCCAGAAAGAATTCATTCAGGCTGGTGAGGTCTAAAAGATTAAATGGCTTGATCTGAAACCACAGTCAACTTCGGACTTAAGGACCTCTACCTTGTAAAAACAACAACAACCAAACCACACTTACTAATGTAAAAGTGAACAGATTCCCTCTTTGTGAGAAAAGCAGGGGACTGGTGAATCTACAGGGTTAATTTCTTATATGTAATGAAAATTAGCAAGGTACTACTGCTAAGAAGGAATAATATCCAGTAAACTACTGCCATAACCCAAGCTCAGTGTCCCATCCTGAGCCAGAATCCTGCTAAGTCAGGATGGATCTCATTATGTTGATGGGATCCAAACTGCTCAGCATCCTAAACAGGAACACAGAGATGATCTTCCCACAGAAACATGCAATAAAGAATGGTTGAGTTTAACTGCAATGGTCTACCTGGCATGTGATTGGTCAAAAAGGCTTTTATGTGGGCTGCCTATGGAATAGAGCCATCCTATCCTGCCTCCTTTCTTGGGGAAAATGCACTGTAGGTTCCCAAACTGATCAAGTTTGGACCATAACTCACTGACACACAACATGTTATAAGACAGCAGATGGCACATCAACGTTTTGAAGTAACAAGTTCCTACACTTTAGTACTGGCTGAGGTACAGTCTCTTTAAAAATATATTTTTTAAAAATTAAAATACTGCAGATGCTACTATCAGGGAGACATGCTCTCTCTCTCCACTAAAGGATAATAGTAACTATGAATCCATTATTGTCAGCTTAAAAAAAAATTACTGAGCACATTTTTTTTTACTACTCGGCCAGCTTTGTCAGTCTATCCACAAATCATGTATGTACTTTAATGTTTTTAAACAAATGTAATCAGAATATTAACTGGAAACTCACCTGAAATCACTTGGAAGATCAGAGTCTTCCCCATAGGTTGAATAGATTAAATCAGAATCATCCTTGCTGATATTTGCAAATGTGGAGTCATAATGCGGTGCATAAGAACTGTAGGGCCCATAATTCAAATATAACACTGTTGAAAAAATCAAATACTGTAACACTATTCTTTAACTTGCATGTCAATCTATTTTGTTTTACCAAAAGATTATTTATTCTCTCCTAACTTTACTACTTCATTGGCTGGTTTGCAAATCTAAGATATTTTCTCTCAAACAGGTACTTGTAAAGTTACAACTCAAGTGAATTCTTCCCTACAAGGGAGAGGGAGAGGAACAAGAAAGAACAAAATTCATTTTGAATACTAATACCCAATTTTCCAGTCTCTTCTGAAGTTAATAAAATAGCTAATTAATGTTGCAAAAATACCACCAAGATACTGGTGCCCACCTAGTGAATAAAGCATAATCGTGCTTCCTTTCCCTAATATCCCAAAACAGAGAAGAGAAAAAATGACTCCTATGCAGGAGCCTCACCTGGAGTGACTTTGTTCCTTTTATCCTCTTTGAACCCCTGCAAAGTATTCACTCCAGACTGAAGTCTTCCAGTTGTCATTCCCAGTCTCACAGGGCAGTAGCCTGGCTCTACAACATAAAACAGAGCACAGTGAAGGAGGCCTACATGGCCATGACCCACGGGGCCCTCTGCCGAGTGACTCCGCACAAACCACTGCATGTCATCTGCATGACCGTGAAGGAGGCTGGGAAGCGCTTACTACATCCACTTTTATAAGAAAATCAAAGCTCAGAAAGGCAGAACTATAGCCAGGACCAAAACTCAGACCTGTTCATTACACTCTCCTGCTTCCTGGAATTCTTTATAATCATGTACACTTCACTTAAAAAATTAATTTTTATTAAAAACAAAAGCCACAAAAACTTTTAAAAGCTGGGACTTTTAATGTTAAGATGAAAGTTAACCAGTACAAAGGTTAGTAAAAGACTGAGGGAAAACACCTGCATTAAAGACAAAAGGGCTACTAACACATGAAGGATAAATGAGTATCTATGAAAGGCATACTTTTAGTGCAACGAGAACAGGCATTAGCCAGGAATGAATCCCTGTGATGAAGCTGGGAATACGTGACATAGAGAAATGTCACGTATGGGCACCTGAGGGGACTGCAAAAGATGCTGGCAGGAGAAGATGTGGTCTCCCACAGTATCTAACAGAGGGACATCTGCTCTCCTGAAGAAGAGTCTGAGTTTGTGTCACATGATCAGCCTTCAACGGAGGCTACTGCCATCAGTGACCAGTGTGGTGAAGGCACTGTTAAGCAACTGAACATCTAAATCAGATCTTCTCTCCTCAGCCAACAGTCTGGAATTTGGTTTCCTAATAGGTACGGGTACCAGACAATGAAGCTGAGAAGATGAACAGGGGTGTCTTCTACCTTAAACCATGAAAGTGGCCTACAGAGGGAGCTGTGCACACGGGGAGCCAAGTCAGCTTTGGCCACATTTGATTAGGTCTCAGAAACTGGAAACCCAGGAAACCAGAGCAAGGACAGAGACCACACTCGGCTTCACAGAAAGCAGCAGATCTTAAGGTGTCACCTACATCAGTTAGCTGCATCTCCTAACACCAAATGTTCACCACAGCTATAGTAGAAAGAGCAATGTTCTCAATCCTGTGGCATTCTTTGACCTATGATCATATAAAATTCTACTTGTCTGCATCAAAGTAGAAACTGAGTTTTGTTTTGAAAACAGCACTAGCTCCTTTTCTTCTATTACTGTTCTCCTCCTTTAGAGAACATTCATAGTCCCCTTCTTTCCATCTTCAAATGCTCTTCCCTGCTTCAAGGTTTTCACAACTGCTGTTCTCTCATCCCTTACTCAACCTAAACATCATCTCCTTAAGGATGCCTTCCCTGACCCCCAAACACTAGGTTGGTATCTTCTATTATGATCATAGCTGTTCTTTTCCTTTGTAGTATTTATTCATTATAGACACACACCTGCATAGTACTGATTAAGGACAGACTTCTCTTTATGTGAGTCCTCTTCCCCCGACTCCATAGAACAAGGAAAAGGGACTCCTCTCTCTCTGTTTTGTTCTCTACTACACAGCTAGCTCCTAAGACAGCACCCTGCTCACAGCAAACAATAAACATCAGAGACTGTTTCCTTAAGGGTAAAAATTCTGTCATTATTCATTTTCGTATTTCCAATTACTTCTTTCATTATGACAGTATGAAAATAAATTTGTTGAATAAATTAACATTCTCACATTTGCATATCTCAATACATGATTCTCTCCTCAGACCAGTGACAAAAAGTTCTAATTGTGACATCGAATTTCAAAATATAACCTATATGATTTCCATTAAAACATCATTTGAGAAAACAAAAATATGACTGAGGTTCTAAAGATTCCCAATCTTTACAAACTTTCTACTGACTATAGTGAAAGATACGATGTCACTAAGCATACACCTTCCATTATTATTAAGGCACTATGTGGCATATACATTCATTTTATTCCCTGAAATAAACAGTTAAATTTATAATATCATATTCTGTGTGTATGAGATACCTCTAAACTGAGTGTCTATACTAAAGTCTCTTAAAACCAGGGCTAGGAATTACTATCTAAAAGTTATGGCTTTGTTAATGGCGGGTTTAAAATATTTCAGGGACTTTGAATTTTAAGGAAAACTTGATATACTGTACCTATTTCAAGATGAAGTGAAAGTTAGGCTAGCTGTTACCATGAAATACATGATGTCTAGCTAGATCCTTTGTGCATAATGACACAGACTGATCAATATTCAAGCTTGTTGCTTTAAAATGTTAACCCAGGTTACTGTTCTCTGCCAAATAGCATCAAGTTCATGCACAGTTTTACTCTGATCCTACCTCCTACAATGGGATCCACAGGATGGAGAAGTCCCAACGTCGTTGTTCCATCTGGTTTTCTTCTTTCAAATTCGCACTGCAATGACCCAAAGTATTCAGATGGAATGAAGTGTTTTATACAAACAGGCTGAGTATCCTTTATCCGAAATGCTTGATACCAGAGTGTTGTGGATTGCAGATTTTCCCAGATTTTGGAATATTTACATATACATAATGAGATATCTTAGGGATGGAACATAAAATTCATTTATGTTTCATATACACTTTACAGATACAGCCAGAAAATAATTTTATACAATAAATAATTTTGTGCACCCGTCACATGAGGTCAGGTGTGGAAGTTTCCACTTATGTCATCATGTCGGAGCTCAAAAAATTTCAGATTTTGGAGAATTTCAGATTTCGAATTTCTGGATTAGGGATGCTCAGCCTGTACCATATTCATATATGCAGCAAACCACAAAGGCTTATTTTAACCAAACTAATATTACAGGTGGCTAATCATTAAACTCAAGATACTGACTTTCACACAGGGGATGATGGGCTAGAGAAATGGAGGTGAAGAAAATCTCAGAATTCTAAGAGCTCTGTGGGTCCTTAAGGCCACCTAGTCCTCCCCAGTCTATCAAAAAAGGCTACTATGGACCAGGTGAGGGCAGTGGCTTGCTTAAAGGCATGTATACACCTACTTGGCTTTAAAACCAACGTGACAGGGACCCACCATCTCACTGCCACCCAAGACATGGCTTCTGTTCCTAAGTCCCTGTTAAATGTTTCTTTCTGGAAACATTTAAGCTGGAACATGTGGTGAGCTAGTCAGGAGTGGAGGGACCAAGAAATGGGCAAAGGGAAGGAAGCATCCGTGGAGGAAATCCCAGGTGGCAGCCACTTCCTCGTTGAGTGGTATGGCTCATGTTTTAGATGCCTGTGCGTGAGTACAAGGACGCCCTGAAAACACTAGTGTATTTGGAGTGATTGTCGGCTGAGAGCCATCCATCGCACTGTGGTCAGGAAGGGCAGCCGGCAGCCACTGCAGCAAGATGGCCACTTTTGTGGGCTGCTTGTTTGGCAACAGGAGCCCAGCTAGCAGCAGAAGCAAAAGTAAAACAACCTGAGTAGGAATTACAATTAGGAAAAATATTTTTTAAAAAAGAGCTCTATATTCAAATGTCGGCTCAGTTAAAACTGCTATTTGGGCTATACATATACACACATATGTCTACTGTTTTAACGCCGCTGTAATGGCTCTGTAAAATGTCTCAGTCAACTGAGTTCTGTTTGGCTGTCCCCCCTTCCTCTTGCCACCCTCGATACCATATTAGGGACCTAAAGGAATTTCTGGCAGCTTGTGATCTCTTGAGTAAACAGAAAAGGCATCAAAGACTCCTCTTTTTGGGAAGAATCTCTGTTTTTCCTCACAGAATACCAAGAGTTGTAAGCAGACAGATTCCTCTCAGATCTAAAACTCTGCTCTTTTCTGTATTGTATTACCTGATCTCTTCAGCTTTCTGGGGACCCAGGATTCAGTGATTTGGGGTGATCTAAAACCTGCCTTCCAGTAAGTATTAGGCCCTAAAAACTGCATGCTTTCTTGGCCCTGTTCCTTAAAGGGCTCCCTCTTGAAACCAGTAATCTAATAAGGAAACAAGTTAAGTTGAAAAGAGGACACTTTTTTTTTTTTTTTTTTTTTGAGACAGAGTCTCGCTCTGTTGCCCAGGCTAGAGTGCAGAGGTGCAATCTTGGCTCACTGCAACCTCCTTCTGGCAATCAACTTGTTTTCAGGTAATGGTGTTTAGGTATAGCTTCTGTGCCTCTGAGATGTAAATTTTCTACCTTGTTTCGTCTACTTTGTTATGACTTTGGAAATGACTGATAGTCTAAGAGGGGGAGAGAAAGTGAAAACTGGCAAATGAAGAATCTTATAAATCTACAAGATCTGCTTCTGTGTGTTTGTATGTCTATATATGTGTCATGTGTATGTGATGTATCACTACCAAAATATACGAAAGAGCTCTAATCAACTGACCAAAGAAAAGTAAGTGCTTAAATCAATTATTTTATTTAAAAAAAACAGAATTTCGCTCAAATGCCCTTTAGTTCACACAACTTTAGTAATCCTTGGTAAATAAAACTAGTTTCAAAATTCTCTTCAGTAATTTTAAATCTTAAAGTCATGTTATATTAAGTAATCTTAGGGTTTTCACTTGAAATTAGGGTTACTAAAAGTTAAAATAGTTAATATGTTATTAAAATTACTAGATATAAGAGAAACAATTCTATATACATAGTATATAAAGAAAAATGTATTTTTGGTAAAGATACAATATCAATTTACAAAAATCAGTAGCATTTCTATAAACCAATAATGTTCAAGCTGAGCACCAATTCAAGAATGCAATCCTATTCACAACAGCCACAGAAAAAATAAAATACCTAAGAATATATGTAAAGAGGTGAAAGATCTCTAGAAGAACTAAAAAACACTGCTGAAAGAAATCATATATGACACAAATGGAAAAACATCCCATGCTCATGGAATAATCAATATTGTTAAAACGTCCATACTGTCTAAAGCAATCTACAGATTCAATGCTATTCCTATCAAATTCCCAACATCATTCTTCACAGATTCAGAAAAAACTATTCTAAAATTCACATGGAACCAAAAAGGAGCCTGAAGTGCCAAAGCAATTCTAAGCAAAAAGAACAAAGTCAGAGGCATCACATTACCCAATTTCAAACTATACTACAGGCTGGGCACGGTGGCTCATGTCTGTAATCCTAGCACTTTGGGAGGCTGAGTTGGGTGGATTGCTTGAGTTCAGGAGTTTGAGACCTGCCTGGGCAATATGGTGAAACCTCATTTCTACAAAAAATACAAAAATTAGCCGGACATGGTGTCACGCACCTGTACTTTCAGCCACTTGGAAGGCTGAGGCAGGAGAATTGCTTGAGCTCCCAAGGTGGAGGCTGTAGTGAGCCAAGATTGTGCCACTGCACACTCCAGCCTGGGCGACAGAGTGACACCCTGTCTCAAAATCAAACCAAACCAAACAAAAGCTCCCATAAAACTACAAGGCTACAATAACCAAAACAGCATGATACTGATAAAAATAAACAAAATAACTCACAGACCAATGGAACAGAATAGAGAACCCAGAAATAAAGCCACATACATACAACCGACTGATCTTTGACAAAGTCGACAAAAATAAACAAAGTAGAAAGACCACTCAATAAATGGCGCTAAGAAAACTGGCTAACCATGTGCAGAAGAATGAAACTGAACTCCTATCTCTCACAATATACAAACATTAACTCCAAATGGATTAAACACTTAAATGTACGACCTCAAATTATAAAAATCCTAGAATAAAACCTTGGAAATACTCTTCTGGACATGGGCCTCGGCAAAGAATTTTCTATGTTCTCAAAAGCAAAAGTGACAAAAACAAAAATTCACAAGTGGGACCTAATTAAACTACAGAGCTTCTGAACAGCCAAAGAAACTATCAACAGAGTAAAGAAACATCCCGCAGAACGGGAGAAAATATGTGTGAACTACGCATCCAATAAAGGACTAACTACGCATCCAATAAAGGACTAATACCCAGTATCTATAAGGAACTTAAATCAACAAGAAACAAACAAATAGCCCCATTAAAAACTAGGCAAAGGACATGAACAGACACCACTCAAAAGAAGACATACAAGCAGCCAACAAACATATGAGAAAATGCTCAGCATCACTAATCATTGGAGAAATGCAAATCAAAACCACAATAAGATACCATATTATATCATTACTAAAAACTCAAAAAATAAGAGATGCTGGCAAGGTTGTGGAGAAAAGGGAATGCTCACTGTTGGTGAGAATGTAAATTAGTTCAGCTCCTGTGGAAAGCAGTTTGGAGATTTCCCAAAGAACTAAAAATAGAATTACAATTTGACCCAGCAATCCTAGGTATGTACCAAAGGAAAATAAATCATTTTACTCAAAAGACACATGCATTTGTATGTTTACTGCAGCACTGTGCACAACAAAGACACAGAATCAACCTAGGTGCCCACCAACAAAGGACTAGGTAAAGAAAATGCGGTACACACACACACCATGGAATACTACACAGCCATAAAAAAGAATCAAATCATGTCCCCTGCAACGACATGGATGAAGACGGAGGCCACTATCCTAAACAAATTAATGCAGAAACAGAAAAACAAATATTGCCATGTTCTCACTTAAAAGTAGGAGCTAAATACTGGTGCACACAGACACAAAGATGGGAAGAACAGACACTGGAAATGCTAAAAGGGGGCAGGGAGGGAAGGGGGCAAGGGTTCAGAAACTTCCTACTGGGTACTATGTTCACTATTTGGGTGATGGGTTCAAGAGAAGCTCAAATCTCAGCATCATGCAATATACCCACGTAACAAAATGGTGTATGTACCCCTTGAATCTAAAATTAAATAAAACCAACATGCTAAACAATATGATTTCAAAAGACCAGAATACAAATGTTTTCCTGTAAATTTAAATTCTGTAGTTCATGTTCCAATTTTAGAACATATTATAACTTCATTTTTTAAAAATCCAGTAAAAGAGGGTAAGATTAATCATGTACTTTACAAATGAACACAGATGGTCCTCAACTTACAATGGAGTTACATCCAACACGCCCACTGTAAGTTGAAAATATCATGAGTTGAAAATGCATTTAACACCCTGATAAACCCATTGTAGGGAATTGTCTGTCCATTATTAATTGTTTTTCTGCTAAGTATTATACTGATGAAGAGCTCTATGGCAGATATGGATTAAAAATACGCAAGCAATTTAAAAACTAAAAGTTTCAGATGCCCCAAATCAGTAGGTAGAGAAAAGAAAAGGCAAAGCTCAATCACCTGACTGTTCACAAGCCGCCTGGTCAGCTTTCCTCCAGATTCCTTCACGATGCGGTCAAGCTGCTCCTGCTCTCTCTCTAAATTATTGCTTTTAAACTTATCTTCAAGCATATCTTTGTCTTTCCTGAAAATATACATTAATACTAAGTAAAAAAAAAACAAAGATAAGTAAGATGAAAACATTCAAATGAATTCTAAATATGAATACAACTAAAGTGGAGACATTTGTACTACAGTCACTCATTGAAACTTACTTCCTTGATGACCTGTTAAGGGTCTCTAATTTAAGAACAGAAACAGTAAGGCACACCTAACATGTTATTTCCCTACCTTTTTCTGTCCAGTGTTACTTGTGTTAAACGTTTTTCTGGGAACTTACAAAAAAATTAGTTCTACCTCAAACATTACTTTGAAGGGAGAACAATATACCATTGTTCTTTTAAAGTTTGATTTTTAAAATTTAAAACAAGCACTTAAGTGTGTAAATCTTAGAACAAAGAAAAACTTGTCACTAGTTTACTTTCTTTGCATTATGACAGCAAAAATCCCAAACTGCTAACTACAACCCTCCCCAAAGTTGGCAGTGAGGTGCTGGGCGGTCAGGGCTGGCTCCCAGTAGTGTGAACGGGCAGATGCGGCTGCCGTCAGCTGCACAGGTGGCTGCCTAGGTGGAACAGTGGTTCAGCGTTGCTCCCACCAGCTGACATTGGGTGGAAAACATGGGCACGCTGCAGTGACAGCCCATCTGCTTAAGACGCAGCAGTGCCTGTGCTCCCACTGAACTCCTTGCTCCTTTATGGAAGGAGGTAATGACTATGCATTTTTTCTTAAACAAACAGTTCTATTTAAATAAACTCACTGACCATATCAGTCCCAAAAGACACTTTATAGGTTTTAAAACTACTTCAATAAGAATACACATTAGAACTGCTTTCTGAACTGTGTTTGGACAATCCCATATAGTGCTTCATATGAGAAGAGGGGTATCACACCATCAAAATGGACTTTCATGCCAAAACACCACCACCACCGACACACTAGCACTTGGTCTTCCCAAGTCAGGCCCCGAATAAGTATTTTTCCCCCTTACTAGCTTGAAGAAGACAGTTTGACCTTAACATCCCAAAGATCTTTTACTTTTTATTTTCTTTGCTGGGACTCTTGAAGGCGTGTGCTTCGGCATCTCCAGAGTCCTCTCTCTCTCTCTGCCAGCAGCCTCCGTCCTCCCCACTCTGTGAGGTGTCTGTTCCATCTTTCTGCTTTCGAGTTTTCTGCAAGTCAGCCATGAAGTCTATGCTCTGCTTCAGGCTCTGAATTCTTTCCTAAACATATTCGAAAATATTCTTATTATATGTTTGTCATTAACTTTTAAAGTAATGCATTTTTTTCCCCACAGGAGTTTATACTTATCCTGTCATTAACCAGGGAAGAAAAACAATTAAATGTAATCATATACCAAGAGAGTATTGTATTTGGAAACCATGATAATGCCTACACCTTCAATTCTTAAAATTTAATTTCCAACTTCATAGAAAGCTTTACAACTTTATTGCCCTATCAGAAATTTAACAGAGGAGAAAGTATGAATTAAGACTAAGTATTCTTTGAAGTACTGAATTGGAAGACTAAAATTTAGTTTAATGGTGTGTTAACATTTTGTGTTTAACAGACAGGCTTATCTTTTGACAGTTAAGAACTGTTAGGTGTATCAAAGCCTAGGGCATGTGAGCGTGTGAAGTCCCTCTCTGTTCTGGTAGCCCAGTGTGCTCACGGATGACGCTGGCATTTCACTCTGTGTGAAAACAACAAGCCTTGAGGAGAAGACAGTTGGTGGCACAGTTCCTTCCTCAGAGTGCAGAATGGTTTCGCTAACCAAAGAAGTCTTGTTTCTATTCTGTGAAACATGTGCTTAATTTTTCGCTGCAATGATGTGCTGTGAAATTTTCATTGTAGTTAAGGGCTTGAGGTTTCTCCGTAAATTTTAAGAAGGCATATTTGTTTCTACTGACTACCTTGCCTGTACTCTGAAAGTTATCACTGGGTAAAATAGAGTGCAACCTCCTTAGGGCTGCACAGCAACAGCAGGGAAGACTTCTGTGGAGTAACATAAACTAAGAACTAGAAAGAACCAGAGGCCATTCAAACAAGAACAACGCAGCCCAGGAACAACAAATGACTCACCTAAGGTCACTAAACCAGCAACTAAGACTAGGCTTGCTGTCACTCATGTTGGGCCTTTCCTCATCACACCATGCTCTATTAGTAGTGCAGATGGTGACATCCTCACCAACACAGTTCTTGCTGTTTTTTACTGGACTTTTAAAGTAATCTTAAAACCATTAAAGCGATCTATTTTATTGTGGACAAATAAAAATATGGGTAGAGGAGAAAATAAAAATCCTCCTAATGTCTCATCCAGAGAAGAACAGTGTTAACAAGTTTATTATTCCAGTACTTTTCCAACCATTACATAACCCAGCAAATTGGAATTATACTGAATATTTAGTAAAAAGCATTTTTTCAGTTAATAAATTATAAGCATTTCCTCTCCAT
Organism: Homo sapiens; assembly: GCF_000001405.40. NCBI lineage: Eukaryota > Metazoa > Chordata > Mammalia > Primates > Hominidae > Homo > Homo sapiens. The sequence continues at coordinate 50,336,127 of NC_000016.10, forward strand.
ATCAATAGATATTTAAAATATTTTAATAACTATTTAATCCCACGTCTACACCATGATTTAATTAATGGCCTATGATTGAACATTTAGATTTCCATGTTTCCACTATTATAAATAAAAGTACCATCAACATCATTATAAATAAATCTCTCTAGGAACCAGTATCTCTTTAGGATAAACTCTTAGAAAGGAAACAAAGTCAAAGGGAATGAATATTTTTGAGACTTTTGATAATTACTGCTTTCCAGAAAAGGTATACCAATTTACATACTAATTTACATTAGTGTTTGAAAGTTTCTCTGAATCCTTGACAAAATCAATAGTATCACTTAAAAAGCTAACCCATTAGAATCGCTTGAACCCGGGAGGCAGAGGTTGCAGTGAGCCGAGATTGCGCCACTGCACTCCAGCCTGGGTGACAGAGTGAGACTCCGTCTCAAAAAAACAAAACAAAAAACAAAAAACACAAACAACAACAAAAAGCAATCTTATTTGATTTTTAAAAACACGTTTTATTTTGCTACATTAAAAATATTAGTGAGTTTAATTATTTCTGTAAGTTCTCAGTAATAATTTTATTTCCACTCTAGAATTTTATAAAGCAGAACTTACATTAAGAATGCTTTGGGGTTTTAAAAAACACGACATGCACAAAATAAATTCAATTAGAGAAAGTTTCTAAACCTTGAAACAAGTCCCAGGAAAGAGTGAAGTTTAATTTTCCTTTGAAAGCAATGTCTTTTTCTTTTTTTGGTAATTAAAATGCCTCCAAGTCAGCACATTATTGATCTTCAATTTTACAATATTAAATGGCTAACAGGGCTGGTTCTTTGCTAATAATATAGCTAACATTTACTTAGTGCTTACCCATGTGCCAGACACAACTCCATGAGGTAAGTACTACTATTATCCCCACTTTACAGGACAGGAAAAAGGCTGACAAAGGTTACCTGGGCTAAAGTCACACAGCTTCCAAAGGGTAGAGCTAGGACTTGAACCTTGATTGGTCTGATTTCAAAGCCACTATGCTACAAATAGTATTGTTTGTACTACTTTGTTTGTACTACAATGCAGCATTTTACTCAAGTATTTATTTAGGAGATAAAAAGTTACTCTTCATCTGTTCATTCTTCTTTTTTTTTTTTTTTTTTTTTGAGACGGAGTTTCCCTCTTGTTGCCCAGGCTGGAGTGCAGTGGCGTGATCTTGGCTCACCACAACCTCCACCTCCCAGGTTCAAGCGATTCTCCTGCCTCAGCCTCCTGAGTAGCTGGAATTACAGGCATGCACCACCACGCCCAACTAATTTTGTATTTTTAGTAGAGACGGAGTTTTTCCATGTTGGTCATGCTGGTCTCAAACTCCTGACCTCAGATGATCCGCCCACCTCAGCCTCCCAAAGTGTTGGGATTACAGGCATGAGCCACTGTTCCTGGCCTCATCTGTTCATTCTTTATAAAAATAACACGTCTACTAATAGTTGTTATTTGAGTGTAACTGAAAAAATGATGAGTGACTACTCTACAATTTTTTCAATGAACATTCAAAAACAGTTATCTTTGAAAAGACACCATTCACGGAAGGGTGTGCTGGGCTCTCTTGGAGCACAAACTATTAGAAGAGTTAACTCAAAAGGTCTAAATTTAAACGTTTAAAAATCACTGTTGTGACGACCCCTCCCCTGTAGGGTGGAGAGAACAGTCAATAGGAAGCTAATAACACAGGATGGGTGGGGCTCCTCAACAGCAAAAGATCTGAAAAAAAGGAAGACAACAGAGAGAAAGAAAGAGGGAGAGAGGGAAGGGAAAGTGAAGAAAATTTTATTTTCTGTGCTTTCAACCATTCCACACGCCAGTAAAATTCAAGAGATAATGGAATCTTTTGCTTGTTGTATTAACTACATTACTTAAGGAAGTGGTAAATCAAAGGTCATTAAAAATTAGGCTCCCACCACCCAATTCAATGTACATATTTTGGAGTGACTAAAGGCTGCATTTGACAAATGCATTTTTACTTCAAATACATTAACAAGAAGCATTTCCATGTCTTTAAACCTGGAATATGGCATGGTTCTAGATTCTGAGAGTCTTCCTGCAAAGAATGGGTAAACATTTCATATTCCTCTTTCCTCTGCGAATGTTGTCAAAGATGGGTAACTGGCTTCCATTAGTTTCCCAAGTCTTTAGGAAAGGGTGGGAACCAAAGTTGTCTAAATATTAGGAGCGCAAGAATAATCAACAATCCAAACATGTTTTTCTTTCTCTAGTTAAGTGAATCCAAGAATCTCTCAGCCAAGCATACAGACACTCAGACATCTGCACACCAAGGCATTTCTTTAAATGTAAAACTGTAATACAGAAAAATGAATCACCATAAAAATCGAAAAACCACATGCAGATGCACGACTCATTTTTATCATCCTTTAACTCCCCTGAATGTGAGCTCAAGCTCTGGACTCTGATTCCTTTCTCCTTCTACCAGTGTCTTATACCCACTCATTTCTTCTTTGCAAAATCCCTGTCCTATCTTGTGGTTCTTTTTCATAGTATCCTCTCTACTCTACCTCTTATCTAGAATCAGAACAGTAATGCTAGAAATCATCTTGGAGACCACAGACTAAACCCTTCTTTAGGGATGAGAACACTGAGTCCCAGGGTAGTTAATGTCTTGCCCAAAGTCCACAAGTTAGTGGAAGAGAGCTAAAATGAAAACTCTCTTCTGCCTGCCTGCCATGGTATGGTATGGTGCCAGGATCACCCTTGATTCGTTCCCTAAAGTAGTCTCTTACATAGGTTTCTCCCACTCAGAGTGGTGAGAAAAACCTCAAAAGATATGGCTTATCTTGCGAGTTATTTTCTCCAGCGGATGCACAGTGATCATCTCAGCTTACCCTTCAAAGCCTTTTATCAACTGTCGTCCTGGGGACACTAGTAATTTTTTGCCACTGTGTATAATATCTCATGTTTACGCTCTTTCCTGCAGTTTGATGATGATGTGTCTGTGCCTACGCACACACTTCTCTGACCTCAAATGACTTACTATGCACTAATTCTTACCCTTTAAGGAAGAGTCTGCTGTTGTGGAGAGGTGGTTTTGAGACAGTTTCAAATTTTCTCTCATTTGTATATAGTCACATGTAGCTTAATGAAGGGACGCGTTCTGAGAAATGTACTGTTAGGCAATTTTGTTGTGTGACCATCAATGAGTACACTCACACAAACCTAGATGGTATAGCCTATCAGACACCTGGCTAAATGATATAGCCTACTGCTCCTAGGCTAGGAACCTATACAGCATGTTACCATACTGAATACTGCAGACAGCTGTAACACAATGCTAAGTATGTGTGCATTTAAATATAACAAAAGTACAGTAAAAATACAGTATTACAATCTTATGGAACCACCACTGTATATGCAGTCTGTATATACAGTATTATGCAGCGCATGACTGTATTTTCTTACTAGAAATTCTGTGCTTCTGACAGGACTGACCAACGTTAGATTCCACCCCTACAAATGCAAACAGAGAGCTTTCCTCTTCAGAGTTCTCACAATTCAGCCAGTCTTATCCTGGAATTCAGGCTGATGTTTCAAGCTGATGTTTTATGTCTTAAGAGATAATTACAAGTGAATGCCAATATTTATTTGTATTGATTCCAAGTAAGAATTTTCCTGTCTTAATTTTCTTCTCTTTATTAAAATTTTTTTCATTTAGTATTTTCTACTTTATTTAATATAATATAACCTGCTAATAAAATAAAATCAATACTGTATTGTATCTGTATTACTATGGCCAACAAACAGCGACACAGATTTTAATAACTATTATTTATGACAAAGAGTTTCCTTTACCTGGCTAAGAATTTTCATTCCTGAGTGCAACAGCTTCTTTGCAGCTTTATAATAAATGGTCTCTGGTTTATTGTAAATCATGGCATTAGTACACATTAGTTTGAAGTTATCCTGCAGAAAGAACATTAAGGGAGAAAATGCATTAATGCAAAACAAACTACCCTGCACCCCCAGGTTGAAAATATACAGGTCCTCTAAAAATTTAAAAAGCAACATCCCTTTCTTTATTTACTAAACAATACTAACAGTAATTTATTAAGTTTTAAGACTCACCAACAAAACAAATACTGCTAAATGTATTTAAATATGCTATATTATTTCCCAAATTCTTAAATATTTTATAGTACCTGTATATAAACTGTAGATCCCAGAATGAAACTTTTAAATGGGTTTCTTCAGTATAATCTTACTGCACATAAAAAAAATGTGAAGAAAATACTTCTATTTCATATGTAATGATTTTAGCTGAGTAGTTCATGTAAATAAAAAAAATATTACTCCTAGCTTTAAAACAAACATCTTAAATTTCCATTTAGGAATTGAACATTTTATTTCAGATCTTGACTGAAAACGGAGCAGTCCTAAATTATCGCAGTATTTCCTGCCAAATTCACATTAACTGAGCAAAAAATGTTAAAACATTTACACTACTTTTATGTGTTTGGATACTATCATAAACTAAACATAATTTGCAGAATGTTGCAAAACCATGCCAATGTGAAATAAACCATACAACCTCAAGGAGTTAAAACATGTAACTGGAGTAGCCAAATTACCAAAACTGTCTTTTTGGCTTAAATTTCCAAGTCCGCTATGTGCTGGAGAACTTGACCCCACTGCATGCTTTCATAGTTAAGTAATTTTTACATCTATAAATGTGCGATTCATTATGCCAAGGCCTTACTAAGTTGAAAGAAAAACCCAAGAAAAGAGAATCTGCCCCCTACAAATTTGTTTAAAAAACAAAAAAAATTCAAATTCCACTATTTAATAGTGATGACAGGTTAGAACACTTAAATAGAACAAAAATAAGTAGACTGAGTTCTATGTACAAGTACGTAAGACTGAGTGAAGGGTCGCAATAAATTTGGTATTAAAGTGGATGAAGTATATGTGGATCTTCAGTTTGGGCCATGACTGTAAATATGCCAGGTCTTGGATCTCTAAGCATCTGATGAAAGCTATGGGACCAGACCTTAAGTACACACACACACACACACACACACACACACACACACACACACAGCTGAACACAAAAGTCTTCATGTAATTTTAGTAGGTTCTTGGTCCCTCTAAAGGCTCATTATGGTATCCAAAGGACCCTAGATTAAAGACCTTTGTTACAGATATTTGGAAAAGCTTCCAGGCCATTAAGAATTACTAGGCTGGGCATAGTGGCTCACCCTTATAATTCTAGCACTTTGGGAGGCCGAGGCAGGTGGACTGCTTGAGCCCAGGAGTTTGAGACTGGTCAGGGCAACATGGTGAAACCCCGTCTCTACTAAAAATACAAAAAAATTAGCTGGGTGTGGTGACACACCCCTGTAGTCCCAGCTACTTGGGAGGCTGAGGCACAACAATTGCTTGAACCCTGAACGTGGAGGTTGCAGTGAGCCAAGATCATGCCACTGCACTCCAGCCTGAGCAACAGAGTGAGACTCGGTCTCAAAAAAAAAAAAAAAAAATTAAATATGTATTTGGGGGGATGGGACGCAAGTGAACGGAGATACTAGATTACTATATATACTCAAACTAAGTGACCATTTGGCCTATAATTGGCCAGATAATGGGCCTATGAACTGGCAAGAGTACTGAATTGTTCTAATGAACACAGGACTGATCTATTAAGCCAATTTGTAGATTCCTTAAATCTTAACATAATGTGCTGGGCTTTACTGAACTGTGGGTGATGGCACTGGTCATTCAAAAAGCTGAGTCTTCCTGCACACTTTTCACACACACACACACACACACACACACACACACACACACATTTTACTTCAACTGCCAAATGAACTGAATAAATATTACTTTAGGCCGTTGAGCTTTCCCTAGAAAAAAGTGGCAACGTAGAAATTCTAAAGAGCTAAGATACCAATTCCTTTCAATTATGATAAACCCTAACCTGCTTAAAAACACTCTGGGGACACACTTCTACTCTTCTTACTGTAAGAGAAAGATCAGAGGAAAATCATGCAGAAAAAAAACAAAAAACAAAAAACTGTGAAATTCTTTCCCATTAAGCAATGGTAAGGTCAGAAATATGCTGAAATAAACGGTTTTAGCCTAATTTTCACCAGATAAAAAGTTGGGAAAAGTTTCTATTTCTCGAAATAAGAGAGAATGTAATTCAGATTCTTTGGAGAAAGTGGAATATTACCTATAAACTCAACAGTAAAGAGCACTAAACACTGATATTCTTCATAAATCTCTGCTTATCAATATGTGGATGAAAAAAGGGACTAAGTAAAGACACTGTCTTTTTTTTTTTTTTTTTTTTTGAGATGGAGTCTCACTCTGTCGCAAGCTCTGCCTCCTGGGTTCACGCCATTCTCCGGCCTCAGCCTCCCGAGTAGCTGGGACTACAGGCATCCGCCACCACACTCAGCCAATTTTTTTGTATTTTCAGTAGAGACGGGGTTTCACTGTGTTACCCAGGATGGTCTTGATCTCCTGACCTTGTGATCCACCTGCCTCGGCCTCCGGAAGTGCTGGGATTACAGGTGTAAGCCACCACACCTGGCCATAAAGACACTATCTTATTTTATTTTTAGGAAAATAACTAATTAGGGTAACCAATTAGGGTCTAACCCTTATAGGTCAGGTGAGCACTACTGTGGTTATGTAAAACAAAGTAGAGGTAAAACAGATATTATCTAAACCAATTAAGTTTGTGGCGGTTGAATACATAGTAAATTTTAATATACATGGTTCCTTTCCCTGGAATCAACACACACCAGGACACTCCCTCAAATGGGAAAAACCTCATCTATAATAGGTATATATATTATAAGTTTTCAGGTCCTTGTAAATTTTCTATACTCTTCTTAAAGCTGAAGAAAATATGCTCAACAAATATAGCCAAAATGAACTCAGAGAGCAATTAACTTTCATCAAATTAGAAAATGTAATTAAACTTCTCTTTAGTATTTCTGGACAAGCCAATTTATTCTTTACTTTAGAGTACATGTGATATGGTTTGGCTCTCTGTCCCCACCCCAATCTCATGTTGAATTGTAATCCCCAATGTTGGGGGAAGGACCTGGTGGGAGGTGATTTGATCATGGAGGCAGATATCCCCCTTGCTGTTCTTGTGATAATGAGTCCTCACAAGATCTGGTTGTTTGAAAGTGTGTAGTGATAGGTTCCAAGGTGGCCGAATAGGAACAGATCCAGTCTACAGCTCCCAGCATGAGTGATGCAGAAGACTGGTGATTTCTGCATTTCCAACTGAGGTACTGGGTTCATCTCACTGGGGCTTGTCGGACAGTGGGTGCAGCCCACAGAGTGTGAGCCGAAGCAGGGCAGGGAATCACCTCACTCAGGAAGCACAAGGGGTTGGGGAATTCCCTTTCCTAGCCAAGGGAAGCTGTGACAGACTGTACCTGGAAAATCAGGACACTCCCACCCTAATACTGTGCTTTTCCAATGGTCTTTGCAAATGGCACACCAGATTATATCCCGCGCATGGCTCAGAGGGTCCCATGCCCACGGAGCCTCACTCACTGTTAGCACAGCAGTCTGAGATTGAACTGCAAGGCAGCAGTGAGGCTGGGGGAGGGGCGCCCACCACTGCTGAGGCTTGAGTAGGTAAACAAAGCCACCGGGAAGCTCGAACTGGGTGGAGCCTACCTCTGGGGGCAGGGCATAGCTGAACAAAAGGCAGCAGAAACTTCTGCAGACTTAAACGTCCCTGTCTGACAGCTTTGAAGAGAGTAGTGGTTCTGCCAGCATGGAGTTTGAGATCTGAGAACGGACAGACTACCTCCTGAAGTGAGTCCCTGACCCCCGAGTAGCCTAACTGGGAGGCACCTCCCTGTAGGGGCCAACTGACACCTCATACAGCTGGGTGCCCCTCTGAGATGAAGCTTCCAGAGGAAGGATCGGGCAGCAACATGTACCATTCTGCAATATTTGCTGTTCTGCAGCCTCTGCTGGTGATACCCAAACAGGGTCTGGAGTAGACCCCCAGCAAACTCCAACAGACCTGCAGCTGAGGGTCCTGACTGTTAGAAGAAAAACTAACAAATAGAAAGGACATCCGCACCAAAACTCCATCTGTATGTCACCATCATCAAAGACCAAAGGTACATAAAACCACAAAGACGGGGAGAAACCAGAGCGGAAAAGCTGAAAATTCTACAAATCAGAGCACCTCTTCTCCTCCAAAGGAACGCAGCTCCTTGCCAGCAACGGAACAAAGCTGGAGGGAGAAAGACTTTGATGAGTTGAGAGAAGAATGCTTCAGACGATCAGTAATAACAAACTTCTCTGAGCTCAAGGAAGATGTTTGAACCCATTGCAAAGAAGCTAAAAACCTTGAAAAAAGATTAGACGAATGGCTAACTACATTAAATAGGGTAGAGAAGACCTTAACTGACCTGATGGAGCTGAAAATCATGGCACGAGGACTACGTGATGCATGCACAAGTTTCAGTAGCCGATTTGATCAAGTGGAAGAAAGGGTATCAATGATTGAAGATCAAATGAATGAAATGAAGCAAAAAGAGAAGTTTAGAGGAAAAGGAGTGAAAAGAAATGAACAAAGCCTCCAAGAAATATTGGACTATGTGAAAAGGCCAAATCTACATCTGATTGGTGTACCTGAAAGTGATGGGGAGAATGGAACCAAGTTGGAAAACACTCTTCAGGATATTATCCAGGAGAACTTCCCCAACCTAGCAAGGCAGGCCAATATTCAAATTCAGGAAATACAGAGAATGCCACAAAGATACTCCTCGAGAAGAGCAACTCCAAGACACATAATTGTCAGATTCACCAAAGTTGAAATGAAGGAAAAAATGTTAAGGGCAGCCAGAGAGAAAGGTCAGGTTACCCACCAAAGGGAAGCCCATCAGACTAACAGCAGATCTCTCAGCAGAAACCCTATAAGCCAGAAGAGAGTGGGAGCCAATATTCAACATTCTTAAAGAAAAGAATTTTCAACCCAGAATTTCATATCCAGCCAAACTAAGCTTCATAAGTGAAGGAGAAATAAAATCTTTTACAGACAAACAAATGCTGACAGATTTTGTCATCACCAGGCCTGTCTTACAAGAGCTTCTGAAGGAAGCACTAAACGTGGAAAGGAATAACCAGTACCAGCCACTGCAAAAACAGGCCAAATTGTAAAGACCATCAAGGCTAGAAAGAAACTGCATCAACTAACGAGCAAAATAACCAGCTAACATCATAATGACAGGATCAAATTCACACATAACAATATTAACCTTAAATGTAAATGGGCTAAATGCTCCAATTAAAAGACACAGACTAGCAAATTGGATAAAGAGTCAAGACCCATCAGTGTGCTGTATTCAGGAAACCCATCTCATGTGCAGAGACACACATAGGCTCAAAATAAAGGGATGGAGGAAGATCTACCAAGCAAATGGAAAACAGAAAAAGGCAGGGGTTGCAATCCTAGTCTCTGATAAAACAGACTTTAAACCAACAAAGATCAAAAGAGACAAAGAAGGCCATTACATAATGGTAAAGGGATCAATTCAACAAGAAGAGCTAACTATCCTAAATATATATGCACCCAATACAGGAGCACCCAGATTCATAAAGCAAGTCCTGAGTTACCTAAAAAGAGACTTAGACTCACACGCAATAATAATGCAAAACTTTAACACCCCACTGTCAACATTAGACAGATCGACGAGACAGAAAGTTAACAAGGATATCCAGGAATTGAACTCAGCTCTGCACCAAGCAGACCTAATAGACATCTACAGAACTCTCCACCCTAAATCAACAGAATATACATTCTTCTCAGCACCACACTGCACTTATTCCAAAATTGACCACACAGTTGGAAGTAAAGCACTCCTCAGTAAATGTAAAAGAACAGAAATTATAACAAACTGTCTCTCAGACCACAGTGCAATCAAACTAGAACTCAGGATTAAGAAACTCACTCAAAACCGCTCAACTACATGGAAACTGAACAACCTGCTCCTGAATGACTACCAGGTACATAACGAAATGAAGGCAGAAATAAAGATGTTCTTTGAAACCAATGAGAACAAACACACAACATACCAGAATCTCTGGGACACATTTAAAGCAGTGTGTAGAGGGAAATTTATAGCACTAAATGCCCACAAGAGAAGGCAGGAAAGATCTAAAATTGATACCCTAACATCACAATTAAAAAAATTAGAGAAGCAAGAGCAAACACATTCAAAACCTAGCAGAAGGCAAGAAATAACTAAGATCAGAGCAGAACTGAAGGAGATAGAGATACAAAAAACCCTTCAAAAAAATCAATGAATCCAGGAACTGGTTTTTTGAAAAGATCAACAAAATTGATAGACCACTAGCAAGACTAAGAAGAAAACAGAGAAGAATCAAATAGATGCAATAAAAAATGATAAAGGGGATATCGCCACTGATCCCACAGAAATAGAAACTACCATCAGAGAATACTATAAACACCTCCATGCAAATAAACTAGAAAATCTAGAAGAAATGGATAAATTCCTGGATACATACACCCTCCCAAGACTAAACCAGGAAGAAGCTGAATCCCTGAATAGACCAATAAGAGGCTCTGAAATTGAGGCAATAGCCTACCAACCAAAAAAAGTCCAAGACTAGATGGATTCACAGCCAAATTCTACCAGAGGTACAAAGAGGAGCTGGTACTATTCCTTCTGAAACTATTCCAATCAATAGAAAAAGAGGGAATCCTCCCTAACTCATTTTATGAGGCCAGCATCATCCTGATACCAAAGCCTGGTAGAGACACAACAAAAAAAGAGAATTTTAGACCAATATCCCTGATGAACATCGATGCAAAAATCCTCAATAAAATACTGGCAAACCAAATCCAGCAGCACATCAAAAAGCTTATCCACCACGATCAAGTTGGCTTCATCCCTGGGAGGCAAGGCTGGTTCAATATATGCAAATCAATAAACGTAATCCAGCATATAAACAGAACCAAAGACAAAAACCACATGATTATCTCAATAGATGCAGAAAAGGCCTTTGACAAAATTCAACAGCCCTTCATGCTAAAACCTCTCAATAAACTAGGTATTGATAGGACATATCTCAAAATAATAAGAGCTATTTATGACAAAACCACAGCCAATATCATACCGAAAGGCAAAAACTGGAAGCATTCCCTTTGAAAACTGGCACAAGACAGGGATGACCTCTCTCACCACTCCTATTTAACATAGTGTTGGAAGTTCTGGCCAGGGCAATCAGGCAGGAGAAAGAAATAAAGGGTATTCAATTAGGAAAAGAGGAAGTCAAATTGTCCCTGTTTGCAGATGACATGATTGTATATTTAGAAAACCCCATCGTCTCAGCCCAAAATCTCCTTAAGCTGATAAGCAACTTCAGCAAAGTCTCAGGATACAAAATCAATGTACAAAAATCACAAGCATTCCTATACACCAATAACAGACAAACAGAGAGCCAAATCATGAGTGAAATCCCATTCACAATTGCTTCAAAGAGAATAAAATAGCTAGGAATCCAACTCACAAGGGATGTGAAGGACCTCTTCAAGGAGAACTATAAACCACTGCTCAATGAAATAAAAGAGGATACAAACAAATGGAAGAACATTCCATGCTCATGGGTAGGAAGAATCAATATCGTGAAAATGGCCATAGTGCCCAAGGTAATTTATAGATTCAATGCCATCCCCATCAAGCTACCAATGACTTTCTTCACAGAATTGGAAAAAACTACTTTAAAGTTCATATGGAACCAAAAAAGAGCCTGCATTGCCAAGTCAATCCTAAGCCAAAAGAACAAAGCTGGAGGCATCACACTACCTGACTTCAAACTATACTACAAGACTACAGTAACCAAAACAGCATGGTACTGGTACCAAAACAGAGACAGAGAACAATGGAACAGAACAGAGCACTCAGAAATAATAACACACATCTACAACCATCTGATCTTTGACAAACCTGACAAAAACAAGAAAGGGAGAAAGAATTCCCTATTTAATAAATGGTGCTGGGAAAACTGGCTAGCCATATGTAGAAAGCTGAAACTGGATCCCTTCCTTACACCTTATACAAAAATTAATTCAAGATGGATTAGAGACTTAAATGTTAGACCTAAAACCATAAAAACCCTAGAAGAAAACCTAGGCTATACCATTCAGGACATAGGCATGGGCAAGGACTTCATGACTAAAACACCAAAAGCAATGGCAACAAAAGCCAAAATTGACAAATGGGATCTCATTAAACTAAAGAGCTTCTGCACAGCAAAAGAAACTACCATCAGAGTGAACAGGCAACCTACAGAATGGGAGAAAATTTTCACAGTCTATCCATCTGACAAAGGGCTAATATCCAGAATCTACAAAGAACTTAAACAAATCTACAAGAAAAAATCAAACAACCCCATCAAAAAGTGGGCAAAGGATATGAACAGACACTTCTCAAAAGAAGACATTCATGCAGAAGACACGTGAAAAATGCTCATCATCACTGGCAGTCGGAGAAATGCAAATCAAAACCACAATGAGATACCATCTCACACCAGTTAGAACGGTGATCATTAAAAAGTCAGGAAACAACAGGTGCTGGAAAGGATGTGGAGAAACAGGAACACTTTTACACTGTTGGTGGGACTGTAAACTAGTTCAACCATGTGGAAGACAGTGTGGCGATTCCTCAAGGATCTAGAACTAGAAATAGCATTTGACCCAGCAATCCCATTACTGGGTATATACCCAAAGGATTATAAATCATGCTGCTATAAAGACACATGCGCACGTATGTTTATTGTGGCACTATTCACAATAGCAAAGACTTGGAACCAACCCAAATGTCCAACGATGATAGACTGGATTAAGAAAATGTGGCACATATACACCATGGAATACTATGCAGCCATAAAAAGGATGAGTTCATGTCCTTTGTAGGGACATGGATGAAGCTGTTTCTGAGCAAACTATGGCAAGGACAGAAAACCAAACACCGCACGTTCTCCCTCATAGGTGGGAATTGAACAATGAGAACACCTGGACACAGGGTGGGGAACATCACACACCGGGGCCTGTTGTGGGGTGGGGGCATGGGGGAGGGGTAGCATTAGGAGATATACCTAATGTAAATGATGAGTTAATGGGTTCAGCGCACCAACATGGCACATGAATATATATGTAACCAACCTGCACGTTGTGCACATGTACCCTAGAACTTAAATTAAAAAAAAAAAAATTAAAAAAATGTAAACCATCTAAAAAAAAAAAAGAAAGTGTGTAGCACTTCCCCCTTCACTCTCTCCTGCTGCCATGTGAAGACGTGCTTGCTTCCCCTTCATGTTCCAGTACGATTGTAAGTTTCCTTGGGTCTCTCCAGCCATGTGTCCTGTACAGCCTGTGGAACTGTGAGTTAATCAAAGCTCTTTTCTTCATAAATTACCCAGTCTCAGGCAGTTCTGTATAGCGGTGTAAGAATGGATTAATACAATATGCATATCTCATATGTCTAGAAATAGAAAAAACCCTCAACTTTCATTAAAATATTCGTTTTACTTGTATTGATCTAAGCTAAAAATTTCACTCTAAGGTTGGAAAAAATATACTGTGGAACACATATCAAACTCAAAATTTCGCTAAAGACAAAAATAATTATGAATGAAAGATATCAGAGGACCTATTTCATCTGGTTTTCCATCACCAAGCTCATAAAGTTTTCTGAAGCAGAAATAAACAAAGATACTGGATCTTAAAATAAACTCAATTCTTTGCAAAATAAAAGGTCAATGAGAAAGATTCTGAATATCAGACATGCAGATTTCTACCAAGATTTTGTGTATATAGGATTGAAGAGTTACCTTTAGTTCTTCTATGGACTGATAGTCATTGTTCTTGATCTTTTCTTTCATGGTACTAAAATCCATTGGGTGTTTAATGATCATGGAGTAGCCAGGAGCAATAAAATCAGTCACAGGAAATGAAAAGAAAGCACTTGGATCTTTTCTGTAAAGATATGCAAAAGACAATGTAATATTTTATTCTATTACAAACAAATCTATTGGTCTAGGAGCAGAAGTCAGAGGAAACCCTTCAGATGCAGAAAGAATTTGTAATATGTTAACATATTTTTAACTGAAAACTGAAGAAATGATTTTAAAGTCTATTAAGTATTTCATAACAAGGAAGTTTTACATACTAGCTGTACCCTCAGGATGGAGATTTCTTTCTTTTAAAATACACAGCCTCATTAACAGCTACACTTATACAGGAAAACATGAAGCAAAATAAACAACCTCAACTAACTGACCAATGTTTTAACCTTTGGGAGATTAGCACTGCATATTTTTAACCAACCAAAGGGGAAAAGGCTAAAATAGTAACTATGAACATACATCTACAATCCTCCATATTAATTTCTAATAGGCTTGCATTTCTGGTCCATGCATGTCTATTTTCTCCATAAATGGATATAACTTCTATCACGTGTATGTGGGGGATGCTAAAAAAACTGACATTAAAAAGGTCCTCTTAAATACCTCCGTATGTGTGCCAAGACAGGACTGGACCAAAAAAACCCCAAAATCAGAAACTCAAATTTGAAAACTAGTGCTTTTCATCACAGATTCACAACACTGGCTGTACACTAGAATCACACAGGAGCTTTAAAAAAATTCCAATGCGGGGAAGAAGCGGGAGGAAGACTCAGCCTAGACCCACTGTACCAGAAGCTCTTGGGGAAGAAGGGTAGGGTCCAGGCAGTGATATTTCCACAGATGAGTATTGGCATTGGGATTTGAATATTTGGCATTTGTATTTCCAGTATTGTCAGGTTGAGAATGAGTGCTTTATATGATTAAATCATTATGCTAATTTTTTTTCCCTCTGGAAATCTGGCACACCAAAAGTTTTCTTACTCCACAGAATAACAGTAAAAATATGGTTTAAAAAATAACAACTTCTTTAAAAACATATTTACCATGTTGCTAGTCCCAGTGGTAGGCACTTGACATATTTTATATCGAATCCTCACAAAAGCCATCAAAGTGGTGGTATCCTCCACTACCGGAGGATACTGAGGCTCAGTGAGGTTGAAATTATCTATCCTGAGTCATGCATTAAATAAAAGAGTAGAAATCTGACTCAGGTCTATGTGAATCTGCCTTTGTTTTTCACAGCAGGATGCCTAAGCAGTGAGACTAAAAAATGACAACAAGCAAAAATACATAGTCAGGACCCATACATCAAAATGTGCGCTGTCCACAGGAGTTACCGTAACGGCAGCATTCACCCCTGGGTGGCCTCCTGCAGCTACCCTTTGGAGGAAATTATCTAACTCCTAGGTCAGTCATTTTAATACAGAGCCCCATCTAGTTTTGACCAAAAATGCTATTATCAAACTTGATCAACTAGATTTTTTATTTTTTAAACCAGGCTTAGCTCCTGGTAAGGATGAAGAATCATCCAATCACTAAAACTAATCAAAACAGTGTGGCTCTGGGTTCTAATTCCCAATGTCTTTAGACTAAGAAATACTTCCTGAAGTGTTTTTTCATTAAGACTTTGTTTCTAATTGACATATAATAATTGCACATATTTAGAGGGTACAGTGTGATGTTTCGACACATATATACTAACATACATATATACAAGGATACTTCGGTGTATCCTTGTATGTATGTATGTATGTATGTATAAGGTGTAATAATCAAATCAAGGTAATTAGCATATTTATCACCCCAAACACTTGTTATTTCTTTGGAATAAGAACATTCAAAATCCTTTCTTTTAGCTATTCTGATGTATATAATAAATGGTTGTGGACTGCTGTCACCTTACTGTGCAACAGAAGACCAGAGCTTATTCCTCCCATCTAACTGTAATTCTGTACCTGCTGACCAACCTCTACCTTTCCCTTGCCTCTGGTAACCACTGTTCTACTCTCTACTTCTATGAATCAACTTTTTAAGATCCCACATGAGTGAGATGATGTCATATTTGTGCCCTCACCATATTTTCTGTCTTCACATCAGATGGGTAATGTGCTGATGTTGTAACAAAGTTTGAGGGCGGTATATCTCACAAAGGAACATGAAAACCCAATCATTACACTTATGAACTACAAAAGGATCGTGCAGTATTTGTTCTTCTGTGTTTGGCTTATTTAACATGATGTCCTCTAGGTTCATCCATGTTGTTACAAATGATAGTATTTCATTCTTTTTAATGGTGGAATAATACTCCATTGTGTATACATACCACATTTTAAAAAATGCATTCATCCATTGATGGGCACTTAGACTGATTCCATCTTGGCTACTATGAATAGCACTGCAATTAACACAAGAGTACAGGTATCTCCTGGACATACTGATTTCATTACCTTTGGATATATACCCAGTAGCTGAATTGCTGGATCATATGGTAGTTCTATTTTTAATTTTTTAAGGAACTTGTTGTCCATAATGGCTATACTAATTTACATTTCCACCAACAGTATATACAATTTCCCTTTCTCTACCACATTCTTGCCAGCTTTGTTTTTTTTTTTTTTTTGTCTTTTGATAACAGGCATTCTAATTGGGGTGAGGTGATTTTGACTTGCATTTCTCTGATTATTAGTGATGGTGAGCATTTTTTCATATACCTGTTGGCCATTTGAATGTCTTCTTTTAATTAAGTCATTTCTTTTAAGGTGACATCATTAACCTACATTCTGGCCTTACGTTGCAAGAAAAACTCTAAGGCAGCCATGACATTTTACAGTCACACCTTGTAAATTGCAATGGAATACCCAATACCTATTCACTCCTTTCGGACAAGTAGTGAAGTAATGAACAAGTTATTTAAATATAAAGACTAGATGTAATTTTTCTCAAACACCAAAAAAGAAGAGAGATCAGTAAGTTCTTTTTTTTTTTTTTTTAGAAAAGATCTCATTCTGTTGCCCAGGCTGGAGTGCAATGGTGCTATCACAGCTCACTGTAGCCTCAACCTCTTGGGCTCAAGTGATCCTTCCACCTCAGTCTCTGGAGCTGGGACTACAGGTGTGTGCAACCACACTAGGATAATTTTTATTTTTTTGTAGAGATGGGGTCTCACTATGTTGCCCAGGCTGGTCTTAAACTCCTGGCCTCAACTGATCCTCCCACCTCAGCCTCCCAAAGTGTTGGGATTACAGGTGTGAGCTACTATACTCGGTTAACTTCTGATCTTAACTGCAAACCTGAACAGGCATTGAATACAGATTACATTAGAGAAAAATTATTTACAATGTGTTCTGGGTTGACTTAAGTTCAATACAATGAAAGAAAGTCCACTGTAAAAATGTATGATCTACAACCATAAACCCTTTGCAAATAATGGAAATATCTTTGAGCTGAAAATTTAAACTCTGAGTAGAGAGATATCAAAATAAATATATTTTATTTATTTATTTATTTATTTTTTGAGACGGAATCTTGCTCTGTTGCCCAGGCTGGAGTGCAGTGGTGCAATCTCGGCTCACTGCAAGCTCCATCTCCTGGGTTCACACCATTCTCCTGCCTCAGCCTCCCAAGTAGCTGGGACTACAGGCGCCCATCACCATGCCTGGCAATTTTTTTTTTTTTTTTTTTAAGTACAGATGGGGTTTCACCATGTTAGCCAGGATGGTCTCAATCTCCTGACCTCGTGATCTGCCCGCCTCGGCCTCCCAAAGTGCTGGGACTACAGGCGTGAGCCACCACACCCGGCCCAAAATAAATATTTTAATAAAGATTGAGTTATTCTTTTCCCTTTTAAGAACTCAACAGTAGCTTAATCTAGGCACTGAAATTTTTAGAACCAATTTCTGCATTTAAAAGAAGGCCATAATTCCTATTTATGGTGTTTTATTTTTTCTCCCATACTTAATAATTGCTAAACATTTGTGGCATGATAAGCATTGTACAAATACATAGAAGGTATTTCCATCTATTAGCAAAGTGGAAATATCTGTATTGTTTATTCCTGGCTTAAAGTTTTAACATCAGAAATTACTTTAGAGACAGAAATTTGTCATTAAAAGTATTATGTAACACCCTTCAAGTTGCCAGGGAAACAAACCAAATAAAGAATATCTAAAAGTTAGCCTAGCCTCTTGGAGTACTTCTGCTGCCAGGCAAAATATTTATCATTCACTTTAAAATCACGTATGTTTGGAGTTAGGCACAAATGTGGTTTGGATCCTACACATCTACCATTTTAATTTCTATGTTATAAAAATATTGGAAAAACATTTACCTCTGCAATTGTCTCATCAGTTGATTCAAAGCTTCTTGAAGGGGTGTCTGTTCTACTTCTAAAGCAAAGAAGAAGGGAAAAGGGTATTTTAAAAAGGAGTATTCTAGAGAGTATTATTTACTAGATCATTTTCTACAACCATTATTAAATATCTCATACAGAAATTCCATTTATCTTAAAAATATATTGAAGTTTGAGAGTATTAATCCAAAATTGAAGCTAATTTAAAGCTCTTATGCAGTTTGAGAGAAAAAACTTAAAAATTCAATCACAAAGCTCCAACTTAGAAGCTAAAACCCCACCATTTTCCTGAGCTATAATGATTTCAGCCTCCTCATTCAGGATAGTTAATTCAGAGTTATTCCAACCTTCTTGTTTGGCTAAAGAGCTTGTGAGAGGCTTCTCAGGAGGCAAGTCTAATCTCACAGGGGCGTGACACTGGAGATCTTTTTCTGCCTCATTCTCCACCCGGTCTCGATCTCGCTTCTTTTTATCCTCCTAAATGGAACAAAGGGAGATAATTTAGAAATATTTCAGAACCAATATCTTTAAATACATAAATCATTTTAAGGGGTAAAAAGACATCATTGTAAAGAAAATATTCTTAATAACAAGCTCAATGTACTTTACTGCCATCTACTGGAAAAGGAGAGAATAATACGTTCACGAAGGAAAAAACAAAGGGGGTCTCTATGCCAGAAATAACCAGTTAGAAAAACAATACTATCCAAAAAAGCAACATAGTGTATATAGAAATAAATCTAATAAAAGATACCCAAAACCTTTTGGGAAAAACTGTGAAACATTACTGAAGGTCACAGAAGGCCTGAATAAAGGAGATATACTATGTTCATGAATTCAGAGTCAATCCTCTCTCAAGTTATCAATACATTCGATGTAATGCCAATCGAAATTTAAAAACAAAAATTTCCATGGAATTCAACAAGCCAATTGCATTAATTTACCTCGAAGAGTGAACGATTAAGAACACAATAGTTTTGAAAAAGGTCAGAGTAAGATGATACGTCTTACCAGATATTATTTGTATAACGTGATAATAAGACAATGTGGGTCTGACACACAGACAAATAAGCCAACAGAAGAGATCAGAGCCCAGAAACAGACCCATGTACATAGAATAATCTTAGTATATCACAGAGGTGACATTATAAGTCAATGACAAAAGGGTGGTGCTGAGACAACTGTTACCTGAAAAGAGAAAATAGAATTTGAGCTCTACTTCATGCCATACACAAAAGTGAATTCCAGATAAAGACTTAAATGTACAAAGCAAAGCTTCAGAACTTCAGATAAAAGAAAAGCATCTTTAAGACCCAAGAGTAGAAAAAGACTTTCTTAAAAAGATATAAAATGAATAAATTTTAAAGGAAAACCTTGATAAATTTGATATTAAGTTGATAAATTTTGGTACCTCAACAAAATCCATGAACCAAGTTAAAAATCTAACGATAGACTGAGATAAAGTACTTGAAACACAACTTATAAAACATTAAGGATTCCATGAAGAGCATCTATAAATCTATGCAAAAAGGCAAAAAATCCAAAAAAGAAATAGATAAGTGATATCACAGGTAACTCACAGAATAAGAAATGTGAAATGTTGAGAACATGAGAACTAGCTCAAGCTCCCTAGAACTTGGGTAATTATAGATTTAAAAACTAGAAGGCATTTCGCCTCTCTTTGGCAACATTTGTCTGAAATGTCAAGTTTTGATAAAAATGTAGAGAAATGGGATTTTCATACCTTGCAATTGGGTGAATAGGAACAATCCTTAGCAGAGCAATTAGCAATATCTAGCAAAGCTAGCAAAGCCTTTAACCTACTTCTCAACTGCTACTCTCTGTGCATATACCAGAGAAATTTCCTGTCGTATGGTCTACATGGAGACTTGTAAGAGATTACTGCAGCATTGTTTAAAATAGTAAAAAATAGGAATAATCCAATGCCTATTAAAAGGAAAATAGATTAATAAATTGTGTCATATTTACATAACAGGTAATGTAAATGAGCTAAAATTGTATTGTATCAACATGGATAACATTCAGAAACAATGTCTGAAGAAAAGTTGCAGAACAATTACTGTTACAAGCTATGTATGAAAATGTGTAAGCATACATTGTTTACAGATGTATGCAGAACTTGTAATTATAAAAACATGCATGTGATATACACCAAATTCAGTACAGTGGTTCTATCAGAAGGAAAGACAGAAATGGGACTCTGAAAGGGTATAAGGGATCTCTGTCTGCCCTCTTCTTTCCTTAGGGGAAAAAAAAAATATATATATATATATACACACACACACACACATATATATATGGCTAAATGTTGAGATCTGTTAAAGCTGGATGGTTGGTATCAAGATGGTAGTTTTATTATTCTCTGTACTCTGCATTCTTAAAATTTAAATTCTGAAGTAAAATTGTCCAACAATGCCCATTTTATGCTCATCAAAATCAAGATTCTCAACAGGATCTTATGGACTCAAAAAGCTATTTTCTTGGCCTATGCCCTATTTTTTATTTCTAGTATCTACAGCAATGGTTCTCAAAGCATGGTCACCAGACTGGCAGCATCAGGATTATTTAGGATTTTGCAAGAAACAAAAATTTTATTTTGCAAGAAACAAAAATTCTTGTGGTTCGCAAGCTTTAGTGTGCATTAGAATCACCTGAAGGTCTCATTAAAAACACAGATGGCTGGGCCTTGTCCCTAGAATTACTGATCTGCAGGTATGGGGTAGAGACAGAGAATTTGTACTTTCTAACAAGTTTCCAGGCCATGTGGGTGTTGCTGGTACAGGGACCACACTTTGAGAATCACTGATCTAGAGCTCTGCACTCTATTTTCAGAATCCAAAGCACCTAATACAGAATATATGGTTGTTTTAAAAGTTCCAGAGAGCAGTTATAAACTGAACTCATGCTTGATCCCAGCTACCACTGTTAGTTGGTTAATGTATTTTTACCACCTCACAACATATTCTGTTGCAGTAATTCTTAACTTTGGAAAATTTTAAATCCTTCGTCCAGAAATACTGGTATGGATCTTGGTAGGCTGGCAAGTTTAGAAGATCCATTCTATGAAATAACAGCCACAGAGACACAGATTCCTTCCTATTAAATGTGACCTGTGAAGAAAGGACAGCTTGAGAGGCAGTATGCATTCTCCCAGGTAGAAAAAACTCATCCAGTGCCAGTGCCAAGAGTCTAGAACTGGGGCCAGCAAACTTTTTGGTCAACGACCAAACTGGGCCAAGTGCAGTGGCTCGTGCCTGTAATCCCAGAGCTTTGGGAGGCTGAGGCAGGTGTACCACTTGAGGCCGGGAGTTTGAGACCAGCCTGGCCAACAAAGCGAAACTCCATCTCTACTAAAAATACAAAAATCCGCTGCGGGTGGTGGTGCACGCCTGTAATCCCAGCTACTTGGGAGGCTGAGGCAGGAGAATCGCTTGAACCCGTAGGTAGAGGTTGCAGTGAGCCAAGAACGCATCACTGCACTCCAGCCTGGGCGACAGAACAAGACTCTGTCTCAAAAACAAAACAAATCAAAACAAAACAAAAACCCAAAACGGCCAAACTGTAAACATTTAGGCTTTGTGGCCCATTAAGTTCTGTCACAACTACTAAACTCTGCTTTTGTATTATAGTATGTGTTGTAGTATGAAAACCACCACAGATAAAATGTAAATGAATTAATTTGGTTGTGTTTCAATAAAAATTTATTTACAAAAACTGTTGGCCAACTTGCTAACCTATGCTCTAAGAGTCCAGCTTCATCCTTAAAACACTCTGCTGGCTGGATGCGGTGGCTCACCCCTGTCATCCCAGAACTTTGGGAGGCCGAGGTGGGTGGATCACTTGAGCTCAGGAGTTCGAGGCCAGCCTAGGCAACATAGCGAAATCCAGGAGTTTTGGTGTGCACCTGGAGTCCCAGCTACTTGGGAGGCTGAGGTAGGAGCATGGCTTGAGCCCAGGAGGTGGAGGTTGCGGTAAGTCGAGATTGCACCACTGCACTCTAGCCTGGGCAACAGAGCCAGATCCTGTCTCAAAAAAAAAAAAAAAAGAACAAAAAGAATAAAGTAAAAAACCACTCTGTGACCTTAGGCAATTCATTTACTCTCATCAGACCTCTTTACCACATGCAAGATGGAGATTTAACTGTTATTATTTATCTTACAGAGTTGATAAGATGGTCAATCATAAACTAGCCAAGTGGAAAAAGTACCAAAGGAGGGTATGTTTCTGAACTACCCCTACCTAGTATCTTTACCTAGTTATCCTGGTCTACCGTAACCACTTTATCATTCAGTAAAGCAAAAAGTCTTTGGGGCTAGGGAGTCCAAAAGAAAAAAAGAATATAAAAACATATGCTTGGAAACTACCCTAAACTGAATAGAGATATCATAGCATGTTATTTCCAGACTGAGAATCAGGAGATCTAGCTTCTAGTTCACCAGCATATGACTTTTAACAAGTTACCCCACTGTTTTAGTCTCAGTTTCCCATCTGTACAACACAAGGCTGTGATCTCTACAGGTCTCTCTCCACCTAAAATTCTGATTCCAACCTTTACATTTTCTTTTTCATAATTCAGAGTATGTTGCAGAATCTTGTTGTGAATGTCACTTATTAAATGAATATAGTTACGTAAAACCATAAGTTAACACAGTTCTGGTTAACAGTAAATTCTGTTAATTACACAGAAAAAACTAAGCAAAAATATTAGTGCCATTTAACTTTAGGTAGTTAAGGAAGAAGAGTTTACAGTTAGTTTATAAAGCGGGTTTAAATTCTGGCCTCGTCACTAGTAGGTGACAAAGCTATGATATGGATAAACTATGTAATTAGCTATGGTGTCATGGATAAACTATATAATTTTTTGGAGTCTAACGTTCTAATCTTTAAAATAGACACAAGAATACATACCTCACAGGACTATTTTAAGGATTAAATGTGATAGTTTATGTAAAGTTTTAGCACATTACTTAGCACATGATGGACACTCATTCATTCAATAAATAAAAGAGGCTTTACTGTGTGGCTATATAGTGAAAGAGAAAATATACACAGCCCTACTCTTACGGAGCTCAGAGTGAAACAGCAGAGATGTTCATTAAATAACTCATTCAAAAAACAAACAGGTTTATAACAGCAGAGATGTGCATTAAATAACTCATTAAAAAAAATAAACATGTTTACAACTAATTGATCACAACGAGCTACAGATTTTTTTGTTCCTTCCCCATTCCCACTGCTTCACTTGACTAGTCTTAAAAACAACAACAAAACAGATTTCAAGGACAGAATAACTTTTGGGTGAAAATAATTTAGACTGGACAAGTGTGGGAAGGTTTCCATGAGGAAGTAACATCTGAGCTGAGATCTGAAGGAGAAAGAATCTAGCTAGGTTGGGGGTGGAGGTAGGTGTGTGGGAACAGCATTCCAGGCAGGGGAAACATCTTGTATGCATGAAGATCTGAGGCAGGAGAAAGGAAGAGGGGCTATTTCCATGAACTACAAACACATTTACTTTCTTCTGACTAGATTCTAATTTGCCCACAACTTGATGGCAAGTTATTTTATTAATCTGTGTGTAATGCTTTTAAAGCAAATCTTTGCTCAGATTATTAGGATTTAACACTCACCGAACCACATTATTCACTCAACAAATGACATTTGCCTGTTCTACTGGAGCTCCCTCTGGACAGTGGTCCTTGTCTTATTCAGCTCCATACCTGCAAGCTCAGCAAATGCCTAACACATAATACTTGCTAAGTATTTGCAGAAGTAATTAATCATAGGAGACAGCATGACATAGGAACACAAAAGCATGCAAATTAACAGCTAAAGTCCTTAGTAATAAGTACTGTCCTTCAGGTTGGTTACTTTCGGAGGATATATACACATACATATATTCAAGTGATGCTCCAATATGCAAAACAATGTAGAGTTCCCTTTTAACAGCTGATTTTAGAATCCAATGAAAAATGTTTCATTACCTGGCAGCTGCACATCATTTTTGGCCCTAGGCTGAAAACAGCATTTGCTACACACGTTAGCCATTAGCTCTATGATGCTTTCCCCTAGCTGCCCACGGCAGAATGACGCATACCTTTCCCTGGACTCCTGGAACAAGTTAGTCAAACCTCCCTTAGGATTTACCAGGTCGTGAGGTTTATTTATACTTTCATGTCTGATTCCTGGGTCCAACTTTGAGCTCCTGTAGGATTTTATTTATTTATTTACCTATCTTAATCACTGGAGCCTAGTACAGTCTGGCCAGATAATAGGTGTCAGGTAAATATTTGTTGAATAAAGAAACAGATAAACAGCCTTCTATCAGAGGAGCAATGCTACTCATAGGCCCCTTTTCTGAGTTCTTCCTTCCTTGGAAAGGTCTTTTGGGGTTGAGACGACTACCTCAGGAGGGACACACACAGACCAATGCTGAGAAAGGGGGAGGGTTTTCTGCCAAGGCAGATAAGCCACAACAGCCCAGAGATGCCAGGTGTGACAGATGGCACAAGTCAATGAACTGTGTTTTGCCAGAATTCTCACTTTGCTTAATACGATTAGTCACTGCTCCTCTCTAGTTAAAAGCTACCTCATACTCTGTGGCTCAGTTAAATCAGCAGTACGAGATACTAACAGCACCTACCTCACAGAATTATTTCTAAGGATCAAAATAGTAAATATACACAAAGAATTTAGAATAGTGTCTGGCAGACAGTAAACACTCGGATGTTAGTTATGAGTCTGCCTCCACTGTTGGACTTAGTATAGATAGTGCTTTAATAAAATAGGTACTTACTGGAATTTACTGTAATTTTCATTAAAGTTTTACTTAATTTTAGCTTTATATATAATAACATCCTATATGTGTTAATGCTTTTGAGTAAAAAAATTTTTTTAATGACTACTATCTTTCTCATTTTATTCTGATAACATTCCTAAGCAATGTGAGTGGCCTAACTTCTTTCAGCAACTAAACCAGAAGTCGACCTACAAAGCTATTAAGACATCATTTGGGTTAGGACTATGTTCTTCAGAACAGCAAGTGAGTTTCAATAAAGGAATTGAGACCACTCGTCTGAGCTATTTCAATAAAAAGCTTTCTATGCAGGTCTCCTTACAGTTTCCACTCTCTCCATTCAATATTTGTTAGATACTGTTACCAGATTTATGTTACTAACACTCAGCTTTTATCATTCTTCCACTCAAAGTTTTTGATTTCCTACTGACTACATACTGAAGCTCAAACTCCTTACTCTGCCATCTCAGCTGCCTTTCAGATCTTACCCTATCCTCCCCTCCATGCATTCTGTGTTTAAAAAGAGACTTACTTTATGTCCCCTATACGCATCTCCTTCTTGCCCATTTTTGAGCTAATCCTCTAACAACAGCTCCATAATCCTCTGGTGTGTGGGCTTCCTGACCTCCACGTCTCTACGCAGTGGCCTATCATTCTATTCAGGGATCATCATCTAAAGGCAGCACATAAATAAAAATTGGGTTGTCAAATCACCTTGGAAAATACCTGAAGTAGCCCATTAAGTACAATACTCATGACTTACAATCTTAGAATACTTCTACTGAACTACCATAAAAAGAGCCATTTCTCTCAGGGCATATAGTTGACCCCATGTTAACTGAACATATAGTGTTACATCACTGTATTTTGATTTCTAAAGCCCAACTCAAATGCTGCTTCTTGAGAAAAGTCTTCTGTGATTTCCCCCAGCTCCATGTACTCTCAGGAGCCTCAGAACTAGAACCCTGCCTCTGTTAGGGCACTGACTTTATTTCCCCATGTGCTGTGGGCAGAGGTTGGTGCCTACTTTAACAACTCTTTCAGATTAAAGACCTCTTAAGGGCAGAATTTGAGTTATTGTTCTGGCATTAACTGTGAGACTTTGGTAAAGTTACTTAACCTCCCTGAGCCTCAATTTTCTCATTAATAAAAGAGGAGATAGTATGATCCAGTAATTCTATTTGTGGGTGTGTATCCAAAAGAAGTGAAAGTAGGGGTCCTGAAGAGAACTTTGTACAATTCATGTTCCTCGCAGCATTATTCATAACAGCCAAAAGGTGGAAGCAAACCACATGTCCACTGACTGATAAATAAATAAAATGTGGTATATCCATACAATGGAGTAGCAATTAGCCTTAGAAGGGAAGGACATTCCAACACACGCTACAACAGACGAACCTTGAGGACATTGTGCTAAATGATATAGGACAGCTACAAAAAGACAAATACTGTATCATTCCACTTATAAAAGCAGTCAAATTCACAGAGACAGAAAGTGGAATGGTGGTTGCCAAGGTCTGAGGAGAGGGAGAAAGGAAAATGGGGAGTTTTTAATAGGTACGAAAAAGTTCTGGAAAATAGTTGCACAAAAATGTAAATACATTTAACACTACTGAACTGCACACTTAAAAATAATTAAAATGGTAAATTTTATGCTATGTGTATTGTACCACAATCCAACAAAATAGAGACAGAACACCAGTCTCACAGGATTACAGTAGGGAGTATAGTAGGATGATGTACATAAAGCGCTCAGCACAGAACCTAGGATGTACTATATGCCTGATAAGTAGCAGTTGTTATTTGTAAAACGTTACGTGTAGCTTTTTCGTGTTATAATCATAATGGGTGTGTATATGGTTATTTCCTCTACTGTGATTTTAGAAATACTTCTGTAATTTTTATAAATCATTTTATCAATTAACAGCCTCACAGAATTTTACCTATTGCATCTTAGTTTTACTTAACTATCCTCTTGTGTATGTATGACTAGATCAGATGGCATAAGCATTTTTTATGGCTGTTATTTTATTTTTTACATAACATGGGAAAATATTAAGACTGAACATTTAGGAAAGGAAAACTAATGTTTTAAGAGTCATGCCAGCAGGCAAATTCTTTATCAACTGCTCAGCATCAGAATGTTTAAGGAATAAGAAAATTCATCACTTTCATAGGGGTGGTGTCTTGTGGAAACCAAAGCACGTTGTACCCCTAATGCTTTGGTTGGCATTAAATACCACTGCTGTACAGGGAGAAATACTGCTGATCCTACCCGTTGGGGCATTTTAAACTAATATAGTTAGAGCCTTCCTACTCAAAACAAGAAAATCACTTAACTGAGGCACTTTTGAAAAATTGTAAGGCTTTACGTTGTGTGTTTGTGTGTGTGTGTGTGTGTGCGCGCGCGCGCGTGCGCGTGTGCTTCCCCCAACTTTATCTTATTTTCCTAAGTAACAGATTCCTAATTTTTAGCAAGGTACATTACCCCCATTCACTCCCCGCAACTAAAATGCCAGATATGGTAGCTCACACTTGTAATCCTAGTACTTTTGGGAGGCTGAGGTGAAAGGATCACCTGACCCCAGAAGTTTGGGACCAGCCTGGACAACATAGCAAGACCCCATCTTTACAAAAGAATGTTTTTGAAAAAATTAGCTGGGTGTGGTGATACATGCCTGTAGTCCCAGCTACTCGGGAGACTGAGGTGAGAGGATCACTTAAGTCCAGGAGTTTGAAGCTGCAGTGGACCATGATTGCACCACTGCATTCTGCCCTGGGCAACAACATGGGATCCTATCTCAAAAAGGAAAAAAAAAAAAAAGACAACATTTTCCGGTCTCCCTATCAGCTAAGGTGACTGTGTGATTAGGTTCTGGTTAGTAAAACATAAGCAGAAGTTATGTATGCCTTTCAGAAAAATGTTTTGAAAGGAAAAGGACATCCTTTGTCCTCCATCCAGCTCCATGGAACTGAGAGAAGAGTCGCCAGTCCCTCAGAATCATACATACTCTAGCCCTTCTTTCTCCCAAGAAGAGATCACATCAACTACTATTCCTAAAACTCCCTGGACATCCAGAACACAGCTCACAGAGGCATCTCTAAGGTCTCCCTCCCTACATAACACTAGCAAAAAGAATCTCTCCCTGCTTCCCTGGTCTAGCCTGGAAAAAAAGAATGACCCAAACAGTCCCTACAGAACCAGTGACACCCCAGAGGATCTGAAGTCTCTAGCCCTGAATGTGAAATAGAAACCATCCCCCTACCTGTCCTATTCTGAGAGGTGTGTCCAGAAGAGACTGTGGATATGAACCCATTTTAGGTTGCAATGACATCAAAATACAATGGGACTAATGATCTTTAGAGCCACAGTCAAGAAAGGATAGAGTGGCTGGAACACAGGGGGGAGAACACTTCTAAGAACCCATCCTGAAGATATTCTTACACAAGTGTACAAAGATGTGTGTACAATGAGGCTCACTGCAGTATTACATGTAAGATTTAAAAGTAATAATCATAAGTATGGTATATCCATATAACTAAATACTATGTAATCGATATAAAGATAACGAATAAAACAAGAAACGAAGAATATTAATGTATCAATGGGATTATGGTGGTAACTGCCAGAACAAAAACCAGAGTGGTTCAAAGTGGTTACCTCAACTTTTGTTAAACAAGACGATGGCCGGAACAAAGAGCACGTAAGAGACAAAGGTTGATAAGCCACGTCAACACACTTGGGAGACGGAAGGCAAATGGGGTGATTTGCAGAACAGAGAAAGCAAGATACTCCCGTATGCAGAGAGGTGGACACCTTTGAAAAAAGCCTAAATTCCAGAACCCTGGAAAAGCTCAGAACTGGAGGAGGCAGGGAACCTGAGAGTCTCCAAATCTCGAGACGAGCCAAAATAAGGAGAAATGCCAGACTCAGAAAACTGGGTGGTAAGACCTTCAGCCCCTGCCCCATAGTTGGCTCCAGAAACACGGATAAAACTGGCAAAATCCATCTCCTAGGAGAGGAGGATTTTTCTCTGGAGAAACTAAAAATCCCAGAGAAAACATCTGTAAGGTACAGACATTGGGGCATTCTTCACCAAAATGACTGAGTCCCTGTTAGTCACTCTACAATAAAGTCCATCAACTGACAAACTCTGTCTAGGTACAAAGCATTTACTCAGCTTTGTACAAACTGCAAAAGCTCAACAGACAACTAAAGGATGCTTTCAACAGAAAACAGAGACAGACAAATAAATGGAAGAATTTGGGAGAGAGAGACAGGGCAGGGAGCAAAAGAAAACTTAGGAGAAAAAAACAGGAAAAAACTTCGATTAATATCCTCAGAGAAAGAAAAGAATATACTGCATCTAAAACCAAGAACAGGGTGCTAATTCAAAAAGGACAGTTAGAGAACAAGAAAAAATTCTTGGAAATTCAAGGTATAAGATCTGAAATAAATCTGGAAAAGTCAGAAATTTTAGGGATGTTCCCTGAAGGAAGAACCCTCCCCCACCCCACACACACCCAGAAAAAATATGAGAAAAACATAAGAAAATTAGAGGATCAGTTCAGGAGTCTAATATCTAAAGGGCAGGAGTTCCAGAAACCAAGAAAAGAAAAAATGGAGGGAAAGAAATGAACACAGGAATACTTCAAGCACACAGCTCTGAACTGAAGGCACAAGTATTCATTGTGAAATGTCAGAACACTGAAGATAAGGGGGGAAGATCCTAAAAATTTCAAGTTAGCAAATACTGGTCATATGCAAAGGACTAAGAATCAGAATGGCAACAGACTTCTCAACAGCAAATTTAGAAGCCAGAAAACAACAAAGCAATGCCTTCAAAAGTCTGAAAGAAAATAATTTTCAATCTAAACAAGTCAAACCATCAACCTGTATGAGGGCAGAATACAGATTTTCAAACATGTTAGAACTTATAAAATCTACCCCGTGTATGCTTTCTTAGGACGTTCCTAGAGTTAAGAGTCCACCAGAACAAGGGAATGAATCAAGAAAGAGGAAGGCATGAGATCCAGGAAGCAGGTGAAGGAGAGTCCCAGGAGGCCTTGACAGCAACTAATTCAGCCTCCAGGAGACAGAAAGCTGTAAGATAAATGTCTCCAGAGGAAAATAAAAAAGGAAGTAAAGAACTCAAATGAGTTTCATAAATCTTAGAGTTTGGGAAGAATTATTAAGCAATAACCAAACAAATGAAAGCAATGATCTAACTAGTTAAGATCAGATCTATATTTGCATACTATACTTGTCTACAATCACTTTAATATTGATTTAACCAATAATTGTGATGTACCTATACCTTGAGCAAGGGAAACTGAATTCTCATCTTCCATAACATGATGTCAGTAGAAGATATAAACTGCTAAATCAGTAAATAGCAATATAAACCTTTATTTTGAAATAGAAATAAGTAGGCAAGGAAAAATACCTAAAAAGTGTCCAGAGTGGAGCAGCAGCCTGCTTTGTGTCAAAAAGCTGTGTAGTACTCTTGACTTTTAAAAATCATCTTCACGAATTACTTTACTACTATTAATTAAAAAAAACAACTGGTTACCTCTGAAGAGGGAGTCTATGTGAAGGATTGGGGTGAGGAAAACTTTTTCCATTTTGTGTACTTTTGCACCACATGAACTACTTTTAAAAAATCAAATGCATATATGGGTTTTATAATTTAAGGAAGAAAACAAAACATTACTCCTACCTAGCCAAAGGTAATAAAAACTGGGACAAAAGGGAAGGAATAGACTTAAGAAATCCCCAAAATAAGATCTCTAAGACTTGGTGACTTAGCAATGTGTTCAATCACATGGAAGAGAAAGCTCCTCTTGTATATATAAACATAAGAAAAATTACATAACTAACCTATGAAAATTTACCTTCACAATAATTGATGTAATAAGTCGTTCAGTGGCAGGTTAAATTTGGAAAGTTAATAACAGTAATAACAATGTTATTATTATTAGAGACAGAGTCTCGTATTATTGCCCAGGCTGGAGTGCAGTGGTATGATCATACCTCACTGTACCTCAAACTCCTGGGCTCAAGGGATCCTCCCACCTCAGCCTCCTGAATAGCTGGGACACAGGTGCACACCACCAGGCTCTGGAAATTTTTGTAGTTTATTTTGCAGAGGCAGGGCCTTGCTATGTTGCCCAGGCTGGTCTCGAACTTCCAGCCTCAAGCAATCCTCCCACCTCGGCATTCCAAAGTGTTGGGATTACAAGTGTGGGCTACTGGGCCCAGCCATTAATTATTATTTTGCCCAGCTTTCAAACCAAGATGGTAGCTACTCATTCTTTTCTGTTAAATGCAAATGGTTAAGAATATCAATCTCCATTACAGGTTTCTGACCAAATTTTCTCAACACACTACAACACTGTTTTAAAAGATTTAAAGTTGCTCATTACAGATTTGGCATTATAATATTTATTTCAGAACAAACTTTAAACCCCAGTAGATCCCACTCGCTTCTGAAATGACTATTTTTGACAATCCTTGAACACTGAGGCTTTCTTGAGCATGACTTTTTACCCTGCCTAGATGGAAAAACCATTCTTTGAAGCAGCTCCTCAAAATTTGGACTTAGCTGCTTCCTCACCTGATGTGCGAGTACAATTGCCTAAGAGTATAATCCAAAAACGACTTGCTGAAACTCATAGATGATTCATGTCTCTATTCTGTCCTGCTCCTCCTCAAACGAGCCAGATCTTAGAGGCGTTTGTTTTCCCCAGATACAAAGAAAATAAAATGAGGTTGGCACCTGGAAGAGGCAGTGCCGTCCGCAAAGCCAAAGCAATGTAACCACTTGTACCTTAACTCTTCTCCGTTTTCTCCCCTTTTCTTCCCCTGGAATCTGCTTCTCTCCTTTCTTTCTCTTTTTCCGCTTTCTGTCCTTGTGTTTGTCATGATCGTTTTTGTCTTCGAAGAGGCTGGAGTCGTGCCCCGAGCTGCCCGTGGAGAGTTCGGTGACTTCGTTCCCTCCTACTTTGAGGACCAGCTTCAAGGGCTTCTCTACATACTCTTAAAAAAAGAAAAGAAAAGAAAGGAAAGCGCGTCGATTAAAATCGGGGCTCTCCAGGGAGTGCTAAGGATGCAGAGCGCCAAGGCGCAGCAAGCCCGAGGCGGCTTTGGGCGCTCCGCGAAGCACCTGTTGAATGACGGACCCCGGCCCGGGGGTGCGGCGGCGCCGCCCGCCCCGAACGCTCCCAGGCCTCCCGGGCCCGCCTCACGTCTCCCCACCAGAGACCCACCGGACCAGGGGGACCCGGGTTCGAATGCCGCGGCCGCACGGGGGGCAGCGCGGCCTCCGGCAGGACGCGCCCCCTTCGCCGGCCTGGGCCTGCCGTGGGAAGGAAGGGCCCCGGGCCGCCCCGGAGCCACTGGGAAAGAGCGGAAGCCCGGCAGAGCCGCCGAGGGCCCGCCGCCCGCACCCCGGCCCCCTCCTCACCCTCGTAGAGGTGTTTGTCCGACTTGTGCTTCTTGTGCTTCTTGCCCATGTCCGACCGGGCCCCGGTGCCCGCCCCCCGCGCCAGGCCCAGGCCGTGCGGCGCCGCTTCCGGTCCGGGCCAGGCGAGCGGAGGGCGGGAGCGGGGCCCGCGAGACCCCGCGCCGCGAGGCAGGGGGGCGGCGCGCGCCGGGCGGCGCGATGCCCCTCTCGAGAAGACGGCGCGCGAGACCCGGCCGGAGCCCGAGAGCGGCGGCGGGGGGGGCGCGCGGCCGGCGCAGAGGCGGGAAAGAAGGCCCGCCGCGCGCACAGGGTGCCGGCGGCTGCGGGTGGCGGCCCCTGGCGACCGGAGGTGGTGCTGCAGCTCGCGGGCCGGGGGCGGGGCCGAGGGCGGGGCCGGGGCGGGATCCACCGCTCAGACTCTCGTCTTTCTTCCTTCCTCCCTTTCCCCTCAATTTGTCTGTCTTGTCTCTGTCTCTGTGTGTCTCTCCCTCCGTCTCCACTTCCCTCCCTTCTTTTTACTCCCTCCCTCTCTTTCTTTCTCTTTCCCTTCTTCCCTTCCTTCCTCCTTCCTTCCTTTCTTTCTTCCCTCCTTACTGCCTCCCTTCAAGCCTTCCTTCTCTCTTTTCTTCCTCCCTCATCACCCTTCCTTCTCCTCTTCCCGTCTCCTTCCCTCTTTTTTTCTTTTCTTTTTTTCCCCTTCCTCCTTCCCCCACTCTTCCTTTCTTTCCACTTTCCCTTGCTTCTGTTTCTTCCCTTTTACGATATTGACTGAACCCCATACTGGGTGCCAGACCCAGCAAACTCAGCACATTGGTGACTGAAGATTCTAATCTTAAAAAAAACTTATGTGCTGATAGGTGAAGGTTACCAGACGTTTTGACTGTCTTTACTTCTAGCTGTATGGTGCTTTGTCTGTTTTCAGATAAGCTCGTAATTATAGTCTCCTCTTAAGAAAGGATCTGTTATCAGTCATTTATACTTTAGTAACAATTTAGACCCATGAATCACCTCTCCCAGGAAGATTTGTAGCTTTACCTTGAACTTCAGTGGTGAAATTATAGGCTTATATTTTAGGACCCTATTGTTGGCAACTAATAGAAACCAATTTGAATTATTTCAAGTAAATAAAAAGGGATTTATTGGTTTACATGTCTAGAAAGGGCAAGAATAAAGCTTGCCAGAGGGAAGACAGGAACCAAGGATGTAATGCTGTTGACTGGCATGCCAGCTCGCTCTCTCTCTTGTCTCTCTGTATATCGGTCTCCATCTCCCCCCTTCTTTCCTATATGGCTGGAAACATGGCCACCATCTGCTTCTGAGGCCTCTTCTTTATAGTGTCCTGACCAACTGGGAAAAAGATCTCTTCCTGTCAGCTTCACCTGGAAAACAGTCCCAGGGAAGGACTCTGATTGGCTTGGCTTGTGTCACATGTTTTATGGGACAGGGGATGGGAGATTGATTCGGCCTGGATGCCAAATCTACCCCCTCACCCCCTTGGCCAAGAGAAGTGGAGTCTGTGATTGGCAGCTCCTGCCAGACTTCTATGGTTAGCCAGGGAAGATGAGGTTCTTCTAATGAAGAGAGTTGCTTTTTCATGAAAGCTAAAAGTGTGTGTCTATTATTTCCCTGTAACAAGCCTCTCTGGTGTCCGTGAGGCAGAGATCAGGGTGTGGGAAGAGGGGTTGTGTTGGGGAAGAGACCTTCTGCTGCTCTGAAATCAAGCCAGCTAGGCCCCCTAGGCCCCCTAAGCATAGGGCAAAGCTTGGTTTCAGCTTTTCATCCACTGTCTGTAACTTATTTTGCTTT
The DNA here is from genome assembly GCF_000001405.40 of Homo sapiens. Classification (NCBI taxonomy): domain Eukaryota; kingdom Metazoa; phylum Chordata; class Mammalia; order Primates; family Hominidae; genus Homo; species Homo sapiens. The sequence goes on from NC_000016.10 coordinate 50,370,532, forward strand.
AAGAACCACTATGCCAACTCCCACTGTGGGTCTGGCCTCTATTGTGGCATTGCCTTGCTCCAGGCTCAACCTGTGGGTTTACCTGTCTGCTCCTCATTACCCTGGGTACCTCCTTGGTACTTACAGTGCCTAGCACAGTGACTACTACTGTCCAAATGCCCCTCAGAGGAAAAAGGTCTGGTGAACTCATCCATACTATCAAGTTAGTAATTTCCCTACCCTCTCAAGAGTGATTCTACATAGGTCACAAAGTGGTCACATCAATGGAAAGTGAATAAGAGTACGTAGCAGAAAACACCTCCCAGAAAAATGTTCCTGGAAGTGGAAGCCCAAATTCATCTAGTTTTAAATTCTCAGCACTAATACCATGCCTGGCACATAGAAGGCACCAGAAAATGCTAGTTGAGCTGCACGGTCCTGGTTCGGGCAGACTCCCCTGAGAGATTTCTGCCTGCTGCCATTCATGACCTCCCAGTGAGTGTAGAATGGCCTGGAGACTGGCTTCAGAGCAATAGAATATGGCAAAGATGATGGACGTCACTCCTGTGTTGAGGATACATAAGACTTCAGTCTTACTTGCTGACCGTCTCTCTTGCCTTCTTGGCTTGCATGTTTTGATGAAGTAAGCTGCCATGCTGGAGAAGCCCATGTGACAAAGACCTGAGGCTGGGCCCCAGTTGACATCCGGCTACAACTGAGGCTATCAGTCCAACAGCCTTGAAGGATTGAATCCTGCCAGCAACTGTGTGAGCTTCAAAGTGGATCCTTCCTCAGTGGAACATTCAGATGAGACCTCAGCCCTGGCTGACATCCTGATCACAGCCCTGTGAGAGTCCCAGAAGCAGAGGCCCCAGTTAAGCTGTGCCCAGACTTCTCCCCCAACAGCCCAACAGCTCTTGAGTGAGTGAGACAGAGCTGACTTGAGTCCTGGGGTCACAGATGCTTACAGGGTCTGTGACTTTGGCATGTCCTGAGAGGGCTGCCTACCTCTGAACCTTGGAACCAGGGTGAGGTCATTGGGTGTGCTGCTGCAACAGGGTGGTTGTAAGGATCAAAGAAGATAATGTGGTCAGAGTGCCGAGAGTAATGCCTGATATGGTAGATAGTAAATGGTCAATAAATATCAGCTGCTAATACTAACTTTTAAATATTTGTGAATGTCACTTTCCTGCTCAAAACCATCTTGTGGCTCCCTGTCTCACTCGAAGTCAAAGCCAAATCTGCACCTTGGCTTTCAGGGCCGGATCTGGCCCTCATTCTCTTTCCAGCCCCATCCCCCTGCCCCCTCCTCCCTCCTGCCCCAAGCCCCTGCTTCTCTTCCCTGTGTTCAGAACACTCTCCCCTGAGCTCCTGGAGTGGCTCCTGCCCTCACATCACCTTGGTCTCCCCTGTGACCACCTCAGAGAAGCTTCTGGACCACCAACCCACACACCCCTTCCCCTCTTCCCTCAGCCTGTGCAATGCCTTGTTTCTCTCCATTGCACCTACAGCCTCCAAAATTATGTTGAATATCTCTTCCCTATCTGTGTGCGTGTCCACCATCTGTCCACTGGCTTCCCAGGTCCCCAAGGTTAGGGACTAGGTCTGTCTCACTCCTGGCTGTGTGCCCCGCACTTAGCACAGAGCTGGGCTCAGCACAGGCCCTGGAGAAATATTTGTTGGACAAATGAATACATCATAATTACTGTGTTGTGATAATAATTCTCTTCCTCCTTCCTCCCCTTTCTGGTGGAGACACGAGGTGACTGGAGCCCTCCGGGAGAGTCTGTGGAGGAGAAAGCCTGGCCACTGGGGGGTGTGGCATGCCCAGGAAATCTCTGCGCAGCTCAGCTTGGAGGTGGCCCCTCTTCAGCCTGGCCTCTCTGCTGAGGAGTTGTTGCCCAGGGTGCCTTCAGGCCTTGGTGCTCTGACAGAGAGGACGCTCTGGGACACAGCTGATGTCCTTGCCACCTGACCCTGAGGTAGAGTGTGGCCTTCATTGGTTGGGTGGGATGAGGGCTGGGCGAAACTCAGGGGCCTTGGTTCTGGGACACCCACTGGGAACCCTTTATAGCTATTCCCCTATAGCCAACAAATGAAAGAGGGCTGCTGGGTGCTGACCTATGATCTGGACAGACTAAAAGCCTCAAACATCAGGGGCTTCTGAGCCCCCTCGCCTCTGTTTGGCTGTACTCCTCAAAGCCCCCTTATGCAGCACTGATGCAGGATGGGGAACTCCTGAGACGGAGAGAATCCTTGGGCTACTAACTTCTTCTCCTGCTTTCCTTTGTCTGAATCTCAGTTTTCTCCTCTGAGGGATGGGCAGAGCCAGCCTCATGCAGCCTGTGTGGCTGGCATGAGGGTTAGCAAAAGCAAGGAGTGAGAAATGTTCTGGCACAACACAGGCCTTCCCAAGTGTAATGGGGCAGACGGTGGGTGGGAAAGGGCCGGTTCTCCTGGATACTCCATGGGGATTCCTGCCCTCTGTCCTGGGGTGGGAGGTGGCATCCCCTGAGCCCAGGCTCCCAGCAGCTCCAGCTAGTGCCTCATTTGGCACCAGGAGCAGGTCTGGGCCTTCCTGGTGCCAGCCTGATGCCAGCCTGTGAGTGCTGCTGGGAGAGGCCTCAAGAGGCTGAGGCTGGTTCAGCAGGCAGCTCTGTGGGGAATCAGTGGCCTGGGGTGATTCGCTATGACAGGTTGTTGACAGTGCAGCTTCCAGGGTTGCTCACGGTCACTGGCGGAGCAGCCCCAGCTGCTGCCTCTGAGTGAGGAAAAGAGAGAGGCGGTGGATGGCCGCCATCCACGCAGGCATGCCACATGGCCTCTGCCCACACGGTCTCAGAGCTGCTTACTGGAGGGCAGCGAGCCCAAGCCATGACACTCACGGCTGCCAACCCCAAAAGTCATTTAGCCTCAGAGCCCTTGATCAAATAAGACAGAGGCAACATCAGGACCTTCCTTCCTTCTTTCAGTTCATATTTTCTGTGTGCCTACTATGTGCTGGGGGGTGCTAGGAACACGGTGGGAGTAAAATAGACACAGCCCTGCCCTTATGGAGAGCACAGTGAGATGCATGTTAGACAGAGAACACAGACAAATATTTAATCATGGCCATGCTAACGGTTAGAAAGGAAAACAGCAAGCTGCTGTCCAGATAGTGCTCTGACCCAGGCTGAGGGCTCATCCAGGCCTAACCTGGAGGATAAGTCTTGGTTAGGTGCCCTACAAGTGGAACCTGAGGCGTGGATCTGTTGGGGTGGCAATTGGGGAGAAGCTGGGAGAGAAGCAGGACGGGGTGGGTAGAAGCAGAGAAAGAGGTGGTCCCAGCCTCAGCCCCGTGCCACAGTGGTGGCGGGGCGAGGGGGGATTGGGAACATCAACTGTCCAGGGAACAGTCCCACCCTGTGGGAGGTGGCTGGCCTTTTGTAGCCCATGGTGGGCAGCGAGGTCTGCCTGATTGTCGCCTATTACAGAGGTGACTCTAGTTTGTCCCAGGGCAATTCTCTGAGGGAGGTGTGCGGCTGCCTTCCGTGAGTGGCCAACACTCCCAGCTGCTGGTGATGCCCCTCCAGCAGGATGTGCCTTCAGGAGAGGTGAGCCAAGGGGGCATCAGCTGCATCTACTAAACAGGCAGAGAGGTCAGCATGTGCAAAGGCGAGGGAAAGTTGGGTGCAGTCAGGGAGGAGAGGAGAGCAGGTTTGGAGCAAGAGAGATGATGGGGACTGTGTCTGGAAGAAAGGCTGGGCTGGGCAGAGCTTTTCAAGGCATGGCAGAGATGCTTGATTTTATTTGGGATGCCCATGAAGGCAGTGGACGTGGGTGCATGGCCATATTGGCAATTTAACAAGAGCGCTTTGGCTTCTGAATGAAGGAAGAATTGGAGTGGGTTAGGAGACCGGGCAGAGAGACCAGCTTAGAAGTGATGTGGTCTTCAAAGGGGAGATGGGGGTGGCTTGGTCTAGCGTGGATGATGTGGGGATGGTGCAATGGGATAATTCAAGAGTTATGTAGGAGGAAGAACTTAGGAGGGGTTAGGGATGCCTATGCAGAACCCAAGAGGAGAATCCAAGTAGGAAGGTGAATGCATGTGTCTGGGGCTTGGAAGGGAGGTGAGACCTGAAAATAGATTTTTGGCATAGAGATGTCTTTGGAACCTCAGGAGTGAATGAGACCACCCAGGAGGAGAGAGTAGAGTGATCAGAGAAGATGGAGCCTTGAAGAGCTTCAATATTATCTAACAGGTGAATAAAGGATGAGGAAGCAGCAGAGGAGACTGAGGAGGGGGAGGGAGGCAGGAGGAGAAGCAGGAGAGTAGGACACCCAGCAGGGGAGGACAGAGCACTGGAGCCAGGTGAGGGCAGTGGCGGGCTGAGAGTGTGTAGAGGAAGGAAAGCTCGGCCAGGCTGCAGGGAGCCTCTAAGCACTGGAAGGGCTGGGGGAGGGTGGATCAGACAAGTAGACTTGTGCATGCAAGGCCACTGAGGTGATGCTGGAGAGTGGGAGGTGTGATGAGACAGAGATACAGAAGGGAACACTGAGGCCTTGAATGACAGGCTGTGGGGTGTGGACTTCCCCCTGTAAAGTGGGATAAACCAGATGAAATGGTCACCTTGGAGAAAGCTGGGCATTTTCCAGGAGCCCCAGGCTGGGGACAGACCATGAGCAGCTCAGAAATGATCCTGCAGGCCCGGGCTCCCGGTCCATCATGATTCCTTGGAGTACTGCCCTGCGGACGGGGCCCAGGATTAAATTCCCTTCACAGAAAGTCACTATGTGTTTGATAAACTCTTATCAGACTGTGGCTGTGGGCTTGTGCCATGTCACCCAGATCTCTAATTTCATAGTCCTGGCTCTGCCAAAGACTGGCTGTGAAACCTGGACATGTCTCTCCCCTATCTCCATCTAAACAGGGCTGCAGAAAGAGGAGGAGTCAGTCAGATGCGCTGACTCATGCCTGTAATCCCAGCACTTTTGGAGGCTGAGGTGGGAGGATTGCTCAAGACTGGCTTGGGTGACGTAGCGAGACCCCATTTCTATAAAAAATTAAAAATTAGCCAGGTGTAGTGGTGCATGCCTGTGGTCCCAGCTACTCAGGAGGCTGAGGCAGGAGGATCACTTGAGACCAAGAGGTGAAGGCTGCAGTGAACTATGATTGTGCCACTGCATTCCAGCCTGGGCAACACAGTGAGATCCTGTCTCAAAAACAAAAAAAAAGGTAAAAAGATAAAGAAAGAGGACTCGACTGGCTGCTTTCAAGCTGTTGGTTCTAGGGAAGCACTTCTGACGCTCTGTCAGTGTCTGATAAAGACTTTGTTTTTAAAAATATGTGTGTATTTTAGGTTTTTCTTGATTCAGTTATTTAGTTTTAAACCTATTTATTGCCTAAGTAATTAATGTTTGTTATAGACCAATTGAAAATACAAATAGGTGTAAGGAAGATATTTCAAATTGCTCATAATCTCACCACTTTCTGTAATAGTTTGGTATATGTCATTCCAGATATTCTCCAGTGGTGTTTTTTTTTTTTTTATTAGAGTTTGGTGGTGATTCTTTTCTCCCTGCCTCAGGGGATAGATTCATGATACCCCTTTATTGAGCCTGGCTACTCAAAGATTGGTCCAGGGACGGCTGCATTGGCAGGACCTGGGAGCTTGGTAGAGATGCAGAGTCTCAGGTCCCACCTCAGGATTGTAGAATCGGAATTCACATTTTAAACAAGATTCCTGGGTGATTCATATATGTGTATTAAAGTTTGAGAAGCACTATTCTGGAACATTAGCTTATACTTAGACTTAATTTTCTTGGACAAGAGAAAGGGAACATTTCTGAAGTTGGAACAACTAGACATCAAAAGGAGACCCTTTGACAAAACCAGATAAACTAAAAGGTTCTTTTTTTTTTTTTTTTTTTTTTTAACTCATAAGCCCACAGAAAGATGGAAAATATCTGAGGGACTTTTCATTTACTTTATTTATTCATTTATTTTAGAGATGGGGTCTTGCTGTGTTGCCCAGGCTGGAGTGCAGTGGCTATTCACAGGGGCGATCGTAGTGCAGAACAACCTTGAACTCTTGGGTGCAAGCAATCCTCCTGCCTCAACCTTCCAAGTAGCTGGGACTACAGGCGTGTGCCACTGCACCTGGCGTTTACCCCAATTATTTAAAAAGTTTCTTTTTCTTTCTTTTTTTCTTTTTTTGAGACTGAGTCTCACTCTGTTGCCTAGGCTGGAGTGCAGTGGTGCAATCTCGGCTCACTGCAAGCTCCGCCTCCTGGGTTCATGACATTCTCCTGCCTCAGCCTCCCGAGTAGCTGGGACTATAGGTGCCCGCCACCAAGCCCAGCTAATTTTTCGTATCTTTAGTAGAGACGGGGTTTCAACGTGTTAGCCAGGATGGTCTCGATCTTCTGACCTCCTGACCTCCTGATCTGCCAGCCTCGGCCTCCCAAAAAAGTATTTTTAACTATTAAAAAAGAACAGTGATAGAATGCTAGAACTTATTCCTTCTATCTAGTAATTTTGTATTCATTAACCAACTTTTTTTTGTGTTTGTTTGTTTTTTGTTTTTGTTTTTCCTGTGAAGCTTTTATTTTGGGCAGAGGGCAGGGAGCTCAGTCCTTCCTGGCAGCTGCTTTCTTCATGGCCGCCAGGACGTGGCTCAGCTCCTCTCTCTTCGTCTTGGCATAGATGTGTGTTAAGCAACCTCTTTCTATCTGCCTTCCCTATTCTTCCCAGCCTCCAGTTACTACCCTACTTCCTGCTCTAGCCTACCCTCTACTTCCATGAGATCAACTCCTTTAGCTTCCACATATGAGTGAGGGCAAAGGATTTAGCCTTTAATCCTGCAGTATTTCTCTTTCTGTGCCTGGCTTATTTCACTTAATGTCGTGTCTTCCAGGTCACCCATGTTATTTCAAACAACAGGATTTCCTTCTTTTTTTAAGGCTGAGTAGTATTCCACTGTGTATTTGCTTTATCCATTCGTCTGCTGATGGATATTTAGCTAGATAGGAGGAATACATTTTAGTGTTCTTTGGCACTGTAGGGTGACTATAGTTAATAATAATTTATTGTATATTTCAAATAGCTAGAAAAGAAGATTTTGAATGTTTTCAACACAAAGAAATAATAAATGTGTAAGGTGATGGATGTGCTAATTACTCTGATTTGATCATTACACATTGCATATATGTATCAAAATATCACTCTGTACCCCATAAATATGTATAATTATTATGTATCAATTATAAATAATTTTTAAAAAGTGATTGAAAACCTCCCACACATGCAAATATATAATAAAATTTTATACATTGGAAATGAATAACACATTGACATTTGGGTCTTCATTGATTGTAAAAAGTAAATGTTAAGAACTTTTTTTTTCTTTTTTTTTTTTTTAAGATGGAGTCTCACTCTGTCTCCTAGGCTGGAGTACAGTGGCATGATCTTGGCTCACTGCAACCTCCGCCTCCCAGGTTCAAGTGAGTCTCCTGCCTCAGCCTCCCGAGTAGCTGGGTTTACAGGCATGCACCACCACACCCAGCTAATTCTTGTATTTTCAGTAGCGACAGGGTTTCCCCATGTTGGCCAGGCTGGTCTCGAACTCCTGACCTTAGGTGATCCACCTGCCTTGGCCTCCTGAAGTGCTAGGACTACAGACGTGAGCCACTGTGCCCAGCCAAATGTTAAGAACTTTTAACGTAAAAGATAAAACACATTTGCACTAACAAGCTACTGCTTTTATTTCTCACACATAGGCATTCTGCTTAAAACTTCATTTGAAACAAGAAGCTGCTGAAAATCTTTGAAAACCACTCAGTGATAGGACTTCCAGGGGCCCTTCCACGGCTCTGTAATTCGGTTAGATAAAACATTATAATGATCAGATGTTTTTATTTTTAAAATACACATCTTTTAGCAGACCATAAAGCCACACACAGATTAGTTGAGCTTGTTGTGTGGCTGGATAAAGTCAGCTGGAACTTGATTTAGGGGAAGAACACTGAACTGGAGATCACAAAGCCTGGTTCTCATTCTTGCATTGCTTGGCCTCCATGTGACAGTCAGAAACCCATCCCTAATGAGGTTGAGCTTCAGGTGTGGCTATATCCAGGTGCTCAAATGATGTCCCCAAGATTCAGGCTTTCTCTCTCTCTGGTCTACTTCCTTCTGCCCTGGTCCCATCCTCAGACAGGCTCCATTGGCCTCTAGAAGCTCCCAGATGATATCCTCATAGATCCCAGTCCAGAAAAAAAGGGAATGTGCCTTTCCCCAGTGGCCCATCAAAAGTCACAGGGCTATGTGATTGGACTGGTTTATATCATGTACCCACCTAGAGCCTATGACCATGAAGGGGTGGGATGTGGGTGGAGGGTGGTCAAGGTGGTGGCAGAATTCAGGGACAAGTGAATCCTAGACCATGGGTCTTCTAACCCAGGAGCTTGGGAGGGAGACGAGTGCCACCTAAACCACATGGCCTAAGTAAGTTGGGATCCCTTAGAAAAATTAGGGTACTGTGACCAGAGGATTGGAGAATGGATGCTGTACCCAAAGTAACCAAGCATTAAACAAAACAAAACAAAACAAAACAAAACAAAACAAACACCTGTTTCTAAACTCAGTTTCTCTACCTGCCTTGAGAATGAGCAGGTTGTGAGGGCCCAATGAGAGGAGGAAGTAAATGATGAGCACTGTTACCTGTTACTTGGAGCCCTATTACTGAGGGGAGCCCCGAGCCCAATTACTCAGAGCCCTGTTACTTGGCGCTGACAGGAGCCCCGAGGCACCTTGCTGCTAACAAACATAACACGCTTCACAAAATGTTCACCCTGTCCCCCATGAGACTGGTCACTGATAAAGAACTGGTAGAAAGGTTCTTTCCTACAAATCCAATTCCAGTCGGCTTGGCTGATGCTTGGCCTGCTCCTCAGAGAGGCAAACATGCCCATTTGCTGGGGAAATGCAACCCAGGGGCGTTTTCTCCTCCTCTCTCTACTGTGATCTTGCCTTTCAGAGCCAGTAGGGGTTCAGACTTGGAGTTGCTGACATTGTCAGCCCCGGAAGAAAAGTTGTGAGGCTCAGCCAGATCTATTTATGCCAGATTTTACAACATCATTGAATTATTTGCACTCAGAACTGCTGATGTTCTGTTGTTATTGTTGTTTAAGTCTACACATAGGCATTTTGGAAGGCACCAATGAATGGGCATCTCTTTATAGTTTCTGAGGCAGAAAAAGGAAAAACTTTTTTCTCCCCTTTATTTAGGAGAAAAGTGAGTGGAGTGGGGAATACAGCCTTCTCCTTCCTGCCTGCCTGTCCCTCTTTCACCTGGGGTAAAATCTGCTTCTGAAAGCCTCCCCAGAGCCCGCTATGAGGAAGGAATAGCCCCTCATCTGTGCACCCTGGCTATTGACTCAGCAAGAGCTGCCATATTTCCTGGCTTCCACTCTGCTCCGCCATAAATCCACTTTCCCCACCACAGCCAGAGTGACTTTGAAATACACAGATTTCCGGGCCAGGGGCAGTGGCTCACACCTGTAATCCCAGCACTTTGGGAGGCCAAGGTAGGAGGACCAGGAGTTTGAGACCAACCTGGGCAAGATAGTGAGAACCCCATCTCTGTTAAAAACAAAACACATGGATTTTTCTGTGGGTGGTGGTACGTTACAAAAATAAAAACAAAAACATAGATTATAGATTGGATTAGGCCACATCATCGTCCTGTTCATAACCCTTTGGGGGGTCTCCCATCTCAGATCAAGCCCAAGCTTTTTTCCTAAGCCTACAAGGCTCAGTGTAACCTGACCTCGTGCTCTTCTCTGACCCCGATTTCTGCCACTGCCTACTTCTACCCACTAATCTCCAGACATAATTTGCCTAATCTTAGTCCCTTGAACATGCCACACTCTTCCTCCATGCAGGCCTTTCACACATGCTATTCCCTTATTCTGGAATGCTGTTCCCACACTCTTCATATGGCTGGCCTCTTCTCATCTCTCACCACCTCAGAAAGGCAACCCTAAACTGCTCCAACAAGTCCCCTTTTAGTTTCTGTCTTTATTTATATATATATTTTGAGATGGAGTTTTGCTTTTGTCGCCCAGGCTGGAGTTCAGGTGCGAGATCTCAGATCACTGCAACCTCCACTTCCTAGTTTCAAGGGATTCTCCTGCCCCAGCCTCCCGAGTAGCTGAGATTACAGGTGCTCACCACCACACCCAGCTAATTTTTTGTGTTTTTGGTAGAGACGGGGTTTCGCCATGTTGGCCAGGCTGGTCTTGAACTCCTGACCTCAGGTTATCCACCTGCCTCGGCCTCCCAGAGTGCTGGGATTACAGGCGTGAGCCACTGCACCCGGACCTCTTTTAGTTTCTCTTATAGCACCCTGTGGTTTTTCTGTTTCTGATAAAACACATCACATTTGCAATTCCGTATTTATTTGTCTATTGTCTGCCTTCCCATAAGACTGAGAACTTCCTGAGGGCAAGAGCTGAGTCTATTCTGTTTTGTTCACTGGCACTTGACATGTACCTAATACATTTTTGTTGCCCAAATGATTAGACGGTTGAAGTCCTCTCTTGTGGAAGGCAGGACTTCCTTCTGTGTTCTTCCTTCTGGCAGTGACTTATTTCTCCTCCCAGGAGGGGATTGGAGAGAGGAGGTTTTGTCATGCTTCCCTCTGTCCCCCTCAAGGCACTCAACATGGTATTTGGCCCACCATGGGAGCCCAGTGGAGGATGATGAATGAATTCACATTAAATATGTTCTTCCTCTTCCCCCCAACTGCACAGCCAGCTACTCCTGGGAGAGGCATAAATAGTGACCTACAGGCCGGCTGCAGTGGCCCACACCTGTAATCCCAGCACTTTGGGAGGCCTAGGTTGGTGGATTACTGGAGGCCGGGAGTTGGAGATCAGCCTGGCCAACACGGGGAAACTCTGTCTCTACTAAAAATACAAAAATTAGCCAGGCATGGTGGCACATGCCTGTAATCCCAGCTTCTTGGGACGCTGAGGCACAAGAATTGCTTGAACCCTGGAGGTGGGGGTCTCAGTGAGCCAAGATTGTGCCACTGTGCTCCAGTCTGGGCAACAGAGCAAGACCGCCTCAAACAAAAATAAGTGACCTACACCATGAGACTTTGGAGTTGTCAAGCCTTTGCAAAATCTCAAACTCTCTCTTCTACTGATGTGAGTACTGTAGTGCCTGAGAGTCCATTACAACAGAGCAAGGGCAAGGTCTAAGAATCATCTTCCAAGGTCAGCACACCTGGAAGGGGTATTGCCTGAACTGAGCCTGGTAATTTCCTCCTGGGATGGGGAGGGTGGGGAGGGTGGAGAACACAGTGACAGCGCCCCCTGCCCCAGGCTTTCACTTCACCAGATATCCATTAAGCACAGTGATTGTTAGGGTCCACAGGGACTTCAGATACAAACAAGACACAGCCCCTAACCTCAGGAGGCTCAGGGTTTGGTGGAATAGACGCGTGACTTGCCCCCTTTCTGCCGTATGACACTTTGGGCTCGTTACTTGAAAGCCTTGGCTTCCTCATCTGTAAAATGGGGTTATAAATGTACCAATCTCATTGGTGATAATTCATTGAGTTGATGCATAAAAATGCTTAGGACAGGGCCAGGCTCAATAAGGGTGAGTAGTCAGTGTTATTATCTGCCATGCCTCAGGCAAGGTACAGAGTTTCCCCAAGGCTACTTGACCTCTTCCTGTTTACCCTGCCTCCTGGCCAGCTGCCCTCTGGTGGTAACTGTGCAGAGTGGTCGCCTGCCTCTGGCACCTGTCTGATCTGCCCCGGTCCTGCTGACCCCTCCTGTGGGCCTTTTGGTTGTCTGGACTCTTGGTATGTCCCAGGCCTTCCCTTTTTGCTAGGTTTCCAAGGCTGCTCTTCTGCGTCAGCAGGTTTCTCAGGCTTTTCAGACCCAAGTGACCATCTTGGGACATAGGCAGAGAGAAGCCTTGATGTTACTAGTTATTTCTGCCCATTGGGCACCAAATAAACACTTTCTCTAGCAACAGCCTCTTGACTTCCACTTAGAGAGCCTCCTCTCCCCACATGACCTAAGCCTGCCAATGAGAGTGTCACAGCCGCGAGGGCCAGTGAGGATTGGTTCAGGGGTGAGCATGTGACCCAGGCCTGCCAGTGAGAGTATCACAGCTGCCAGGACCAATGATTGGTTCAGAGGTGGGCCTGTGACTGGAATCTGGTTAATGAGAATATCATAGCCCCTGGCTTGGTGATTGGTACAGAGGTGGGCAGGGACTGAGGCTTGGCTTTGGTGGGACCTTTCCATGAAAAGCTTGCTGAGCCAGTGGTATGTCAGTCTGGTGCTTTTGGGGCTTGAGAGGAGGCCCTGCCTGAGAATAAAGCTAATGGTGGAGAAAGCAGAGCCAAGAGCTAGTGGCCTGGTGACAGTAATTGAGTCTCTGGATCCAGCTGAGCCTGAAGTTCATCAACCTCTTACACTTTTCAATCCAAGGGTTGAATAAATTCCCCCTCTGAGTTTTGTGTACTTTGAACTGGATTTCTAGCCCTTGCAACTGAAAGAACATAGGCTGACTTGTGTGTGCATGGACACACACACACACACACACACACACACACACACACACACACACTTCATTCAGTGCCTACTGAGGAGTCCCTCTGCTTAGGGAACTGAGCACTGCCTGTTCCCAGAGCATACAGAGGTGACCAGGACAGTTCCTGACCTCAGGAGTCCCAGGAATGGGGCAACAAGTCCGACTTCTTGCTCAGATACTTTTAAGTGTGGCGGGCCCATTCTCACCAGGGCCAGCTACGTCATTTGTAGGGCTGAGTGCAAAATGAACACGTGGGGTCCTTTGTTCAAAATTATTAAGAATTTCAAGGTAGGAACTCAGAGCATTAATCCAAGTGTGAACCCCTATGTTCATGAGGGAACATATACATGAGGAAACTATCACACAAACCATTATCAAATAGGTCTAATTTAAGGTATTCTGGGGGACAAAGGCTTGGCTCCTTCAAAATAGAATCCTTGGTAGGGACCCAGGTTTGAGTAGTGCTCACCATGGCAGTAGCCTTGAGGGGAGCTGGGAATGATTGGGTGACCATACGATCTGCCTGTGGTCACCAAGGAAGGCTGTTTTGCCTGGAAGGGAAGAAAGCTCCTGGGAACAGAAATCTCAAGACCAGGCATATGGGTGGGTGGGAGCAGAGGGAGGTGGAGTTGGTTGGGATCCTTGTTTTGAAGTGGGAGGCAAACAAAGATGGGCGAGGTCCATGTTTGGTAAAAAGATGGACCAGGAGTCACAAAAGTGTCAGGGAGACCTGGTGGTCTCCTGGTTCTGCAACCAGGCAGACCTGGGGTTGAGTTCCACTTTGGCTGTTTAGTAGCTTAGCGACCTTGGGAAAGTCACTTGACCTCTCTGAGTGCAGTTTCACGGAATGGAAAATAGCAGTGATATTACCCCCAGCAGGTTTGTAGTGAGTACCTAATGGGATAGTGTCTATAAAAAAATCCTTTATAGGCTGGGCAGGAAATCGAGACCATCCTGGCTAACATGGTGAAACCCCGTCTCTACTAAAAATACAAAAAATTAGCTGGGCATGTTGGCATGCACCTGTAGTCCCAGCTACTCGGGAGGCTGAGGCAGAGAATTGCTTGAACCTGGGAGGCAAAGGTTGCAGTGAGTCGAGATCGCGCCACTGCACTCCAGCCTGGGCGACAGAGTGAGACTCCATCTCAAGAAAGAAAAAAAAAATCCTTTATAAGCTATGAAATATGACCAAAATCCATCAGTTCTAAAACTCATCTTTTTTACATTTCATATCTCTAAAATCGGGATAAATCTTATTATCCAAGGTGTGACATATTTAATTGGCAACTTTTCTTTTTCCTTGGTGGCTCATGAAATAATTTGTGTGTGTCACGATCAGTGGCATCTCATTAACAGATCTGCTGAAATGATCGTTGAAACAGCAGTCGTTGGCTTTTCCATCTCCACTGCCACCCTTGCCTGTGTTTCCAGAGAACAGAAATTAGACCTTTTCATCTGTGTCCTCTCGGAGCCTGACATAATGTCTGGCACAGGTCAGTGCTCAATTAATGCTTTAAACCAAAGTTTAAAGTGACTAGCTAAAGGGTTTTGCTGGAAGGGCTTTTGACAAGCTAAACCCAACCCTCTCACCTTCTGATTAATTGCAACTTGGGGCTGAGGCGTGGTCATTTGTGTGTCTTGTTTTCCTGGCCACCCAACTGATGCCTCTTTGTCTTATTTCTGAGAGTTGCTATGGTTCATGCTCTTCGTTTCTATAAGGTACACAGGGAACACACTTACCCCCTCATTCTTCCTGCCCCCTCCACCACTCTTAAGACTGACTCAATTAGCGTGTCACATCCCTCTGGCCTCAGTGATTGGTCCAGGGATGAACATATGACCCAATCAGAACCTTTGAGATACTATGAGATTTTTTTTTGCAGGATGTAGCAGCCCCTGACTGGGCCCCATGCATAGCCTCTTGGTATTTGCCGTTTCCATGCACACGGGCTGAACTTCCAATTGCCCGTCTTTGGGTCTATGCTTGAGTACTCTCTCAGGCTGCTGGGGCCCACTCTGTCCATGTGTGCTGCAGGGGCTAGAAGTCAGGGGGCTAATGGAGCCAAGGAGTTGCCAAGGTAGCCAGGGGAGGCAAGTGAGGTGCGTAGGGTGCAAAATTTGAGGAGTCCTAGTCCCAGCTTTGTGGCAGCCCTCAACCAATGGCTGATGGGAGCTGGTGGATAAATACCCCATTTCTCTGCGAGGTGCATGTTCTACCCTGGCCCTCACAGTTCCCCAGTGGGATTAGGCTCCGGGTGCCCACAGAGATAACTGCATGGTAACATATCTTGTATTGGCTTCCTTCTCCGTGCTGGCTCTCTTCCCCATTCCCTTACCAGTACTTCCTGTGATCACTTCCCAAGGAAACCATTTGTCCTAAAATCGTTGACTAAGGGTCTCCTTCTGAGGGAGCCCAAACCAAGACACTGGAGCCCCTGCTATTGTCTGTGGTTGAGGGCTGACGCCACTGTAGAGGCCAGCAGCTGTCTTGCCAGCTGGAGGGGCAAAGGATGGAGCCAACATGGGGGAGAGCAGAACCGGGAGATGGCAGGTGATATGATTTGACGATGCTCTGCTGCAAGGATCATGCACCACAGTTCAGAAACTTTCTAGACTTCCCCTTGAGCACTCTCTGTGCACCTATGTTTTTTCTCCTACAGCCAGCCATCTTTTCTCTTCTCTCCACTTTCTCCAAAAATGCTATTTTCCGGAACTATTCACTGCTTTCTCTCTCTCAGCTTCTGAGCCCCACTCCACTAAATTGGTCTCCTGGGATTTACCATTCAGGAAATTGTTTGCATGTGGGTAGGGACTTGTAAGGAAAAAAGTAAAAAGGGGTGTCAGTATGTTGGTATGATGGGATGTGGGGTGGGGAGTGTGGTATGTGCATATTTGTGTTTGTACTTCTTGGCACAAACCATAGGTTCATGATCATTGGTACAGCCTTATCTACTGGGAACTCACATGGGAACCCAAAAGAAATGACCGAAGGCCTTCTCCCTTCTGTCACCTCTTTCCACCTCTCAGGAACCTCGTATCTCTCTCATTTCTGCTGTTCTTACATCTCTGTTCTTTCTCTTCCTCTCTGCCTCCTTCCTCTGCTTCAACATGGCCCAAGGTGATCACCCGTAGGCAGAAACCAACTCCAGCTCAAGTTCTCCACAGAGAATCTGATAGGCTCTGCTCAACTGCCAATAAATGAGCTTTCTTGGGCCAGGCCCTATCCTTTGTCCAATCAGCTTTGGACTTGGTGTTGAGGGTGGGGCCCTGGGCAGGATGGCCAGTGAAATATCCTGGATGGCTCCTCCCATCACAGATGCCTGCTCCCAGAGCTGCAGGACAGTGTCTGGGAGGCGGGATGATGACAACGATGACTGAACACTTACTTTAAACCAGGTGTGGATCACACATTGCAGATGTTACGTGTACAGATCTTAAGTGTATAGCTCAATACTTGTATTACTTTTAATTCCCATAGCAAACCCACCATATGGACGAGATTATTATTACCCCCAATGTACGGACATGGAAACTGAGGTATGGCCACTGAAAGCATAACCAGCACTGTATTCTACCCCTGTCACCAAGTCACCTCCAGGGATAGGCATAACCCACTGTGTTCCCAGGCAGCGACAGGGAGACAAACCAGGTGATGTTAACTTCCCCAGTGCATAGGGTGCCAGGTGGAAGCCTGCCAGCCTGGCTCTCCCCTTTTGGCCATCCTTATTCTCCCCCTGGCC
This sequence comes from Homo sapiens, assembly GCF_000001405.40. Classification (NCBI taxonomy): domain Eukaryota; kingdom Metazoa; phylum Chordata; class Mammalia; order Primates; family Hominidae; genus Homo; species Homo sapiens. Next base: position 50,386,846 of record NC_000016.10, read on the forward strand.
CCCTCCTCCTGGCCGCTTGGTACCTTCCTCTCTTTTCCCGGGCAACCCAGCCGCAGATGGAGGCAGACCCTGGGAGTCACCAAGCGGCTTTATGATGTGCAGATGGTGTTTCCGCGGAGCCCCTCGCTTTTCATGTCGGTGGCCTCTGGGAGCTGGGCCAGCCCAGATGTCCCTGATCGTGAGAAAGCCTCCCCTGGCAAGGCTGGTGCAGGATGCCAGTGACGGGGCCTCTGGCCAGTTCTGGTGTGGGTTGTCTGGTGAGGAGCTTGACTGGATGCTCGTGAGGCGGATGCCTCTGTCATTTATGTCCAGCTCTGCGAGTTCAAACGGTGCATCTGTAGAGCCAGGAATATCCCTTCTGAGTCCACAGACAAATGGATAGAGACTTTGCACAGCCAGCTTTTCAAAAGGACCCTACATTGATCTCTTTTTTCCCCCATACATGTTGTTTTATCTGACTCTCAAGCTATCTATGTGCACAGACTGCCTCTCCCATCAGAGGAGGTCCCCTCCTGTGATGGGAACAATCTCACCCCCATCAGTGATAAACTGGGCCAGGATCAGGAGGCATGTGTCTCCTCCATTAGACTAAGAGTTTGCAGTATTAGGGAAAATGGAACTCTGCTCTTTCCTCTCCAAATGGGACTTCCCCAAATCAGGAAAATGTGACCCTGCCATCAGATTGGGAGTTTTCAAGGTTGAGATCGATGAGTCTGTCTCTTTCATCAGGCTGAAAACCCTCCAGGTATGAGATGGGGGTCTCTTCCGTCTGATCAGGAGCTCCCTGAGAGTGGGGATGATGGCTGCTTTTCATCTCTCTCCTCCCAGAGTGCTCAGACAAGGCTCAGAGGATGTCGAGAGCTGAAAAGAGTCCTGCTGACCATCCTAGGGGCGGGCAAATTTCAGCCTGGACTCGGAAGACCTGCCCTTGCCCAAAGCACCTGAGGAGAGTGGGATCAGTGTCAGCCACAGCAGGTTCCAGAGAGACACAGGTGAGGAAGACTGTTGTGAGATGTATGGACCCTGGACAGAGTTTGTTTTGTGACCTGCTACATAACCCAACTTCTGGCTCTGGGCTTGGTTCCCAACAAGAGTTCAGTGATGACGAGTGAATAAATGAATGAACGAAGACCTGGTTCCTGTCCTTGAGAAACTCAACTCTTCTAAGGAAGAAATGAAGCCCACTTCTCTTGGGTGCCTCTATGTGTTGGACATAATTTTAGGTTCTCTCACGTACATCACAGAATCTTCAAAACCAGCCTAGAGGAGGTTGAAGTGAGCTGAAATTGTGCCATTGCACTCAGCCTGGGTGACAAGAGCAAGACTGTTAAAAACAAACAAAAACCAGCCTAGAGAATAAATTTTATTTTTTCAACTTTATAGATAAAGAAACTGGGGCTTAGAGAGGCAAAGTGACCTGTCCAAAGTCTCATAGCTATTGAATAAGGGAACTGACATTTGAACTGAGGTCCTTCCACTTCCAGTGTGCGCTCTTCCTGGAAACATTATTATCATTTGATTTCAGAGCTACGCAAGACAGATATGGATGAAGTGGCACATGAGCTGGGAGTGGTATGTGAGAAGGAAGCTCAGAAAGGCTTCACAGGAGTAACATTGGAGATGTGTTTTGAAGGATCAGTAGGAGTTCACCAGACTGAGAAGATGTGGAGGCATGGTTAGAAAAGGAGGGGCAAATTGTCTACCTGGAAGGTTCCCTGTAGGGGTTGGTGGGCAGGCTGCCCCCTCCCACATGTGCTCTGTGGCACTGCCTCTCTGTGGAGCTGGACTTCCTCTCCCTTTTTGGGAGGACAACAGATGGAAGCCTCATCTTATGCTGGCACAGCCTCATCTCATGCTGGCACATTGCTGCCAAGAGGCCAGGAAATCTCTGTTGTGGGCCTCCTACCCTGGTGGCAGAGCCAACTGTGCTTCTGGAAGGAAAGAAAGGTGGGTTGGGATCAGCTGTGATGAGAAGTTTCCCCTTTGAGTCCTCTGAAGAAGATAGCATAGAGGAGGAGCCGAGACCCTGGTCTTGGATCTGGCCAGAGAAAGATGGGGTTGGGCAAGTTGTCTCCAAGGGCTGTGACCAGAGGCCCTCTCTCTCTGGCTTAGAAAGCAGCTGGAGACTTATTATATCCCCTGGGGGTGTGAACGTCCTTTAGAAATCTTTTCTGGGCCTGGTGTTTGAGGACAGGCAGGTATTATATTTTTCTGGGGTGGGAGGGCAGAACAGATTTTCCACAGATTCTTGGTTTTTGATCGATGGTTAGACTTTGTGAATTCATTATTTTGCTGAAACTGAGTAGAATGAAGTCCAGCTCTTATTGAGCTCATCAGGGTCCGATTAGAATCACAGGTTCAAGGAGGTCAGAAGGAACGAGCAGAGGCCCTCAAGGCCTGTGGCTTTTAAATTGTATGTGTGTTTTAATAAGCAGATACTTAAAAAAAGCCTGGAGATCTTATTCTGAAGCTCAGTGTGTGTAGCAGATACAAGCAGAGCAGCTGTTTGCAGTGAAGTGGGGAACTTAAAGACCACCTACTCAGGCCAGGGGCAGGGCTCACACCTGTAATCCCAACAATTTGGAAGGCTAAGGTGGGAGAGTCCCTTGAGCCCAGGAGTTCAAGATCAGCCTGGGCAACAGCGAGACTTCATCTTTACAAAAAAATTAAAATTTCTCTTGGTATGGTAGCATGCACCTGTAGTCCCAGCTACTTGGGAGGCTGAGATAGGAGGATTGCTTGAGCCTGGGAAGTTGACACTGCAGTAAGTTATGATTGCACCACTGCACTTTAGCCTGGGTGACAGAACAAGACCCTGTCTCACAAAAAAAAAAAAAAAAAAAAGAAAAGAAAAGAAAGAAGAAAAAAAGACTACTTGCTCAGCTTCTTTTATTTTTTACCAAAAAATTTTTTTATTAAAAAAAAATAGAAATGGGGTCTTGCTATGTTGCCTAGGCTGTTACCCAGGCTGGTCTCAAACTCCTGGGCTCAAGTGATCCTCCTGCCTCGGCCTCCCAAAGTGCTGGGATTACAGGTGTGAACCACAGGCCCAGCCACTCAGCTTCTTTTGACTCCACCTCTGTCCCTTTGGGGGTGTTCATGGAGCCCCAGTTCTTCCCAGCATGCCAGTATCTCTGGCCACCTCTTACCCTTGAATTCTACTGGGGCTGAGTCCCTGAGAGGGGAATGATTTACTTGCGGTTGCATCAGCAAGTGGTTATGTGGGATGGTATCCCCCAAATCCCTGCACTGAACTCAGTGTGGGAGGGACTGTCCAGCTGCAGCACTGGCTCTGACGCCACCTCCTCCAGGCTTCCCGCTCAGGCCCGGGGTGCACTCAGGATCCAAGGCTTTGGGCTCCAGGCTTTGCCACCCAACAGGATAAGGGAAACTCCACCCATAGGTTAAGTCCTGTCCCTTCTGCAGGAAGGCAAGCTGAGGCCCAGAGACTGCCAGGTTCCAGGTTATGTTAACTCTGACCCATTAACGCAGAACTGGGCCAGAGCTGCCCAGGGGTCTGTGGCTCCAGGATCTTTGCTGGTCCAAGACTCAGTTGTCTGAGGGAGACCCTCCCCTGGAACCTGGCAAACAGCCATCTGCCCAGGCCTTGCCCAGCTGGGGGCTGTGAGAAGCAGGTTCTGATACCGAAGCTGCCAGGGCATTACTAATGGGCTGTCGGCTGTAATCAGGGCAGCAGCCTTTCATCTCCTGCCATCCCCTCCTGCTCAGGGCAGCCTCGCACCAGCTTCCTCTCCTGGCTCTGTCTGTCTGTCTGGGTCTGGGGCCGCTCCGGAGCTGGGACCCAGGCAGGGGCTGGAGGGAGGAGGCCTCGCTGGAAACCGCTGCCGAGGCCTGGGCTCTGTGTCCAATTGTGGAGTTTCCGGGGGCCCGCAGGCCATCCCAGGGCCCCCGCCAGGTGAGGCTGGGCCCCTCTCTGAGCCTCGGCCTGGAAAGCTCCATCCACTCCAGTCAGGCCCGCCTGAGATTACCTAGGTGTTCTGGTGACTTCTGAGGGCCTCGCATGAAAGATAACGCCCAAATCAACAAATCTGCCATTGTGGCTTTGAAGAGACTGTTTCAATCACTTTATTTTGTCTTTATGTCAGGTTTGCCAGATGGCTTGGGTCTTTCTGAGGTCCTGTACCGAGGGGGCACAGAGAGAACTGGTGCAGCTTCAAAGCTCCTTTTTAATCTTTAGCAACATCACAGCGGCTGGGAAACTGCCTCGGCTCCCTCAAGTCTCTCCCACAAAAGAGGCGCGGCCGAGGCTCTAATGAAAGCCAGATAAAGGGATGGCTGGAATCAGAAACAGAGGGAAAAGAGCAGTCGTTAGTCTTTCTTGTAGCTGTTTCAAAAGAAATTCTAAGACAAATTATGGCTTTGGGTGTTTTTCTAAAAGGACTGCAGCAGGGAGAGGAGGTGGGGGAGGTGCTTTGACCCCTCAGCACCCTTCCCCTTGCATGAAAGGCAGAGGAGACTGAAAAAAGGCTGAAATACAACAATAAACTTTCTGCTTGTGCGCGTGGGGATGAAAGGCGCGCTGGCATAATTATGGGCGAGGGTGCGCGGGGGCGGGCGGGCGGCTTTACCTTGCCGCCAGCGCTATTAATGATGAGGCTCCCTCTTTTTCTTCTCTAGAAGGGGTGCCTTTGGTTTTCGGGAATGGGGTGGGGCACCGTGCGCCGAGGCTGACATTTGGCGCAGGTGGTGGGGATGCGATGCATTGCTCAGTGCAGAGGTGCTTGGGAGCCACAGCGCCCTCGTGGCTGCCAAGGCCCTGTCATCGTGAGAAGGAGGCAGATGTACCGGTGGGTCATCCTGCCTCCCTTTCGCCCTCCTTTAAGGTCTCAAGGTCTGTCTCTTGGGCCCTGGGGAGGGTTGGGGGGGCGGGGGCGTTCTGACCCCTAATTCTAGCTCCACATGGGTCAGTCCTATTCTGGGAGAGTTAGAGGGGTTCCCACCTGTCCTCTTCCATTGCACACGCTGTCTTAAATCCACACTGTCAGCCCAAATGTCAGGCCCTACCAGTGCTGCTGAGATCTCATGGTGTGCCGGGCTATCCTTACCTCCTATCTCACCTTGGGCCATCTTAGTTTCCATGGATGTTGGTCAGCTACTTGGCAAGATCTTGTGGGCATGGGACAGCTAAGGTTTGATAGGCAGGCAGGGAAGAGGTGGGGAAGCTGGACAGCATTCAGGGGCTTCACGGGAGGGACAGGGTGGATAGCGTGGGAGTCCCTGAGTAGCACCCCTGGGAAGGCACCTCTGATTCTGAAGGTGATGGCCCACAGAGTCACAAGGCCGCTGTATTAGTCCATTTTCATGCTGCTGATAAAGACATACCCGAGGCTAGGTAATTTTTAAAGAAAAAGAGGCTTAATGGACTCACAGTTCCACGTGGCTGGGGAGGCCTCACAATCACGGTGGAAGGTGAAAGGCATGTCTTGCATGGCAGCAGACGAGAGAGAATGAGAGCCAAGTGAAAGGGGAGACCCCTTATAAAACCATCAGATCTCATGAGACTTATTCACTACCATGAGAACAGTGTGGGGGAAACTGCCCCCATGATTCAATTATCTCTCATGGGGTCCCTCCCACAACACATGTGAATTATGGGAGCTACAATTCAAGGTAAGATTTGGGTGGGGACACAGCCAAACCCTATGAGCCACAGAATGCCAGCCCTGGAAGGGCCCCTTGCTGTACAGATGGCAGATGAGGTCTCAGGAGGGAAGGATTTAACCAAGGTCACAGGGCTGGTTTAGGGACACAGTAAGATCTCAAGCCCATGTCCACTAAAGCAAGCAGATATTCTGAGAGAAGGCGGGTCCCATGTGATGTGGGTCAGAAGAGCGTTGAGCTCCTGCGGGGAGGGATGGACAGGGTCAGGCGTGCTCCCCCATGTTTTGGGGACCTCTCACTGTCCCCAGGACCTTTCACTGTCCCCCGGACCTCTCATTTCTACTTTGCAGGGCTCAGTGGCTGCAGGCTTTGGCCTTTGGAGCTTTGGCCAAGAGATCAGGGGGATTCTGGGGCTTTCTGAGCATCAGGACCATCATTTGGGGTGAGGTCAAGTGGAAGGCATTATGGATCCTTCCTTCCTTTTCTTTTCTTTTTTACTTCTTTTATTCTTCTTTCTCTCTCTTTTCTTTTTTTCTTTTCTTTCTTTCTTTCTTTCTTTCTTTCTTTCTTTCTTTCTTTCTTTCTTTCCTTCTTTCTTTCTTTCCTTCCTTCCTTCCCTCCTTCCTTCTTAATCTCTCTCTCGCTCTCTTTTCTTTATTTTCCCTCCCTCCCTCCCTCCCTTCCTTCTTTTCTTCCTTCCTTCCTTCCTTCCTTTCTTCCTTCCTTTTCATATTAATAATAATGATAGTAATAATATGGGCCTAACCCTGACCCCCATACCCTGCCCCATGGGCATCTGTCCTCCCTCACTTTGCCCCGGAGCCTCTTTCCCTGCTTAGGAGACTTGAGGAGAATAGAAACTAAAGAAATGTATGCCCAAATTGCTGCCCAACTTTTATTTGCTGGTTCTAAAAGGGTCCTCCTTGTCCCCCTCTTACCCCCAGCCCCAGAGAGGAGAGAGTTACATATGCTGATGGCGAGTGCTGTGGGAGGGCACATGAGGAGGGGGCCCCGTCTGTGTGTCTTCACGCTTTCTGCCTTTGCTCTCTTCCTGTGTGTCTCTGATGTTCTCTGTCTGTCTGTCTCTCCCCTCCTGCCCCTCCCCAGTGGTGTGCTGGCCTGGGGCTCTGGTTTCTATTCCTGGCACTGGGGCCTCTGTGGCCCCCATGCTCTGACGCTCTATGCCACTGCTGCACCTGTGACTGAGCCAGGAGCTTTGGCGGAGGGTTGCCAGGTGAAGACCCCCACGGTGGCTCACTGGAGGGGAGGGGGTGGTGAGGTAGCGAGGGCTGGGCTGTCATATCGATCCTCCTTCCTTGGGGCAAATGGCAGAGCCTGGCAGAAGCTGCTTGCCAGGCCTCTGGGCTGCTTTTATGAAGGAGAATTTGGGAAGATCAGTGGCTGTAACAAAGTGCGGAACAGGCTTCTCCTGCTCCTCTGCATGTCCAGATTATACCAGACACCACCAGGCAGACAGTATTGGGCAGCGGGGAGGGCACAGGCTGTGGGACTGGACACCTAGGGTTTGAATCCCACCTCCTCAACTTTGTAACCAGGAGGAGACTCTGGGCAAGTGTCTTCCCTGTTTGTACCTCACTTTTCTCATCTGTAAAATGGGACTAATAATTGTATTTACCTCGGGGGATTGTCATGAGGAATAAATGAGTTAATACATGTAAAGTACTTAGAATCGTGCCTGTTATACTGTTGCTCAACAGATGTGAGTAATAAGAATAACTGCTGTTATTTCAATATGTATCTTTTCAGGCATCATTATCAGCAACAGCTAAGTTGATAATCCACTGTATGGATCAGAGCTCATGCTTGGGTGTTGGGAGGGTACTGGGGTAAATCTCTTCCTTGCTTTCCTTCATTCATTCATTTTTGTTTTTCTTTCTTTCTTTCTTTTCTTTTCTTTCTTCTTTCTTTCTTTCCCCTTTTCTCTCTTTCTTTCTCTCTCTCTCTCTCTCCCCTTCCTTTCCCTTCCCTTCCCTTCTTTCCCCTCCCCTCCCCTCCCCTTCCTTCTCCTTTTTTTCTTGTCTTCTGGCAACAGACCCTTCTTTCCCAGGGGTGCCCAGTCCGTGTAGTTCTGAGGGTGGGGCTGAGCCTGCCATGCATGTGCTGCACAGATCTGACCAGTCAGAGAACTGTATTCCTTGGGCCACAGTGATTGGCTCAGGGACAATCATGTGACACAAGGCAGCCAGAGTTCTCCCCAGAATTTTGCTGCCCTAGTGTTAGCGAAGACAGCTTTCCATCCTCTGAGATCCCCAGTTCTAAGGGTGTTGTAAGCTGGAGTCACTAGAAGCCCACCTTCTCCAGCTACATGAAGGAAGCTATCAACAGTAGAAGAAAATGAGGCCATTATGTCAAAAAAGGCAGAAATAAGACATGGAGTGGGGGTGGTGGGGGGAGAGAGAGAAAGAGAGAGAGAGAGAGAGAGAAATGTGATACCTTAATTACCTACCTTAAGTGTAGCCATGCCTACAACTCTCGTGCTGTATGTGCTTCTGACTGAGTCAATTACCTTTGCTTTTATAAAGATCCGAGTTTGGTTTCTTGCAATCAAAAGAGTCCTGATCAATATGGAAGCTGACTTGGTTACCAAGGGTGCCTGCTGTTGTGTTGACATCACCCTCACTCATAGGGGCTCAGTCTCTTTCATAGATGAACTGCACCATGAGAAAAGGGCTGAGGACCAGGTGGTGAAGGGGCAGGAGTATTTGCCTTGGAGGATTGGAGCTGGTGTGCATTCAGCAGAAATGAGCCTTCCTTGGAGTAGTAGCCATCCAGCTGGGCTTGATTTCAGGGACTTGGAGAAGTGGAGGTGGGAGTTGGTGAGCATTCCAGAAGAAGGGCACAGCATGAGGGAAAGGCTTAAAGTAGAGGAAATGTAAGGTGTATTGAAAGAACAGCAGCTAGTCTTGATTGGCTGAATTGTCAGGCAAATGAGTGATGGAAAGCTGAAGGTGATGAGGCTGGAGAATTATGCTGGAGTCAGAGCATGGACTACAGGAGAGTCAGAGCATGGAGGTTTTGAGTTTCAGGTCTAGGATCTTGGATTTTGTGGCCTAGACAATAGGGAACCATGCAAGTGTTTTGTTTTGTTTTTTTTTGGTGGAAGTTGAAAGATTCAGAGCTGTGTAGTAGATTGTTAAAATGGGGAGGTGAGGCTGGGCCTATAGTCCCAACACTTTTGAAGGCCGAGGCGGGAGGATTGCTTGAGGCCAGAAGTTTGAAACCAGCCTGAGTAACATAGCCAGACCCTGTCTCTAGAAAAGAAAAATAAAAAAATTAGTTAGACTACAGTTTTATCTGTAGTCTGGCACTACAGATAAAAAATTAGTATCTGTAGTCCCAGATACACAGCAGGCTGAGGTGGGAGGATTGCTTGAGCCCAGGACTCCAATGCTACAGTAAGCCGTGATCGTGCCATTGCACTCCAGCCTGGGCTACAGAGTGAGATCTTGTCTCTAAAGGGACACTTCCGGCAGGAAGTGAATCTGGACCTTCTAGGGCCCAAAGTGGCAGAATGAAGTCACACAGGCAAAAACAGAGTCAGAGATAGAGAAGTGAGACCAAGTCCTGAGGCCATGATTGGAGCCCCTGAATCAGACACACCCTAGCCATTTCAGGTACCTGGGACTATGAAATTGAATTGAGTTTTCTATAACCTGCACACAAGAGTCCTGAGCGTATGCAGCTGCAGCAGCAAGTAAGCAACTGACTAGCTCTGTGTGGGCCTGCGTGCTCTCAGAGGAAAGGGAGGAGCAAAAAAGGAAGCAGTGGGCAGGTCCTGAGTACCTGAGAGGTTGGTGATACAGCTAGCAGGGACTGGGCTTATGGGAGAAGAAGCCATTTTTGTGGGGAAGTGCAGAATCTGAAATATCGGCATGAACCAAAGGTGGCTGGCCATTTCTCCACCGTCAGGAGAAAGAAGTGCATTCCAAGACATTTTGTTGAGGACTCGGCCAACTAGCAGAACCCATCCTGGGCCAGAGTTGGCTTCACTCAGTGGAGCCTAGGCATAGAGCAGGACCAGACACTGGCTCTGAGGCCCATGGTTTACCGACTGTATTAGTCAGGGTTCCCTAGAAGGACAGAACTAATAGGATAGATGTATATATGAAAGGGAGTTTATTAAGGAGTATTGACTCACACGATCACAAGGTGAAGTCCCACAGTAGGCTATCTGCAAGCTGAGGAGCAAGGAAGCCAGTCCAAGTCCCAAAACCTCAAAAATAGGGAAGCCGACAGGGCAGCCTTCAGTCTGTGGCTGAAGGCCCTAGAGCCCCTGGCGAACCACTGGTGTAAATCCAAGAGTCCAAAAGCTGAAGAACTTGGAGTCCAATGTTTGAGGGCAGGAAGCACCCAGCACGGGAGAAAGATGGCCGGAAGACTCAGCCAGTCTAGCATTTCCACATTCTTCTGCTTGATTTTATTCTAGCCACACTGGCAGCTGATTAGACCCACCCAGATTGAGGGTGGGTCTGCCTCTCCCAATCCACTGACTCAAATGTTAATCTCCTTTGGCAACACCCTCACAGACACACCCAGGAACAAAACTTTTCATCCTTCAATCTGATCGAGTTGACACTCAATATTAACCATCAGGCCGACTATTCATCAATCAGCATTGTGGCAATGTTCAGCAATGTTTTTCTTTCTGCTTTGCGCAGAGTTCTCTGGGAAGTTAAAGGAACTAGAAACTTTCTTCCTCATAACCGACTGGTAAGGTGAGTTGAGGATTGAGCAGGCTGAGGAGCAGAGTTTACACCCTGCCTCTGCTATACTCTGTCTTCGTGCTCTTGGGCAAATTACTTAGTTGCTTGAAAGATGAATCAGAGATTACCAGGTGGAGGTGATTCAGGGAGCATTCAGGCAGGAGGACTGGCCAGTGGCTAAGGGAAGAGAAGCCCCAGGGGGTGGTGGGTGAGTCATGGGCTCTGATGTCAGTTGGATCTGGGTTCTCATACTGGTTCAAGTGCATGCCCTTAAAACAAGTCCTTCAGCCTCTCTCTCTCAGCTTGCTCACCTAAAAAGTGGACCCAATGATCTCTATCTTGTAAGGTTGATATGAAGATTACTGGAGTAACTTTCCTATAAAGTGCCTGGCACATAATTGATGTTGCATAAATGATTGATTTGGGCCAGGCGTGGTGGCTCATGCCTGTGATCCCAGCACTTTGGGATATCACTTAAGGCCAGAAGTTCGAGACCAGACTTGGGAACTTAGTGAGACCCCCCATCTCAATTAAAAATATTTTAAAGAATGATTGTTTTGCCATTATAAGCCATCTGCAAGCTGAGGAGCAAGGAAGCCAGTCCGAGTCCCAAAACCTCAAAAGAAGGGAAGCCAACAGTGCAGCCTTCAGTCTGTGGCCGAAGGCCTGAGAACCCCTGGCAAACCGCTGGTGTAGATACAAGAGTCCAAAAGCTGAAGAACTTGGAGTCCGATGCTTGAGGACAGGAAGCATTATTTTTTAGTGATTTATTCTGATTCCTCAAGGCACAAAGGCAGTGGAGAAACATGGAGGTGGGTGTATTCATCTGTCTTTATTCAGTTGCACATAAAGGAAACCCAAATAAAACTGGCTTTAGAAGAAACAAAAGGAAGTGGTTGACTCACGTAAGAGTCAAGTACAGAGGTATTAATGGATTTCAGGCATGGCTAGATCTAGGGGCTCAAATAATATCACCAGGATACTGCCTATCTCTCCATCATTTGGCTCTGTTTTCTGTGGCATAGGCTCCTCTCAATGGTGTGCTAGAGCAAATTGTAAAACATTCAGGAATTTTGGGCACCAGTTGGTCATCGTTGGTAGCATGAAACTGGCCATGGTCGGAGTATTTGTATCATGGAAATTGGCAAATGCTATAAATAAGCGCTTTTTTTCTTTTTTTTTTTTGGTGGGAGGAGAGCTTGTTTACCAACACATGACTGCTCCATTCTCAAAAGTCTCTTCCCCTGCCATGGGAAGAAGGCAGCCCGCAGCTACTGGTTGACATCCCACCACCTAGGCTACCACAGTGGAAAGTGAGTATCTCTTTCCCAGAAGTTCCAGGAAATGTCCCAGAGTTGGGTCTCATTGGCCTGGCTTGGATCTCATGCCCATTCGTGACATAGCAACTGAGGCCAGGGTGTGGAGTGTACTGACTGTCTTGTGTCCCTTCTGGAACTGTGAGATGGGGTCAGCTCCACCTGAACCGTGTGGAGTGAGAGTGGGTATAGATGGTTCCCTTTACTGTCACGAGCAACCACAGACCCTGGTGGCACACAAAACAGGAAATGTTTATTGTTCACACATCTGCAGGTTGGCTGGAGGGTCTGCTCCAGGCTGGGCTTGTCTGGGGTAGTTAGTGGGGACAGCTCTGCTCTTCTCTCTCCTTCTCCTTCGGGGACCAACTGACCAACCCAGATTGTTCACCTTCTGGTGACAGCAGAGTCACAACACAGCAAGAAGGAACAGCGATGTACTTGCAAGGCCTAGGGATAGACTAGCACACCGTTACTTCCGCCTCATTCCGTTGACCAAAGCACGTTACAAGACTGAGGCTGGGATATAAACTTTGCTTCTTCTTCTCCTTGTTTTTTTTTTTTTTTGTTTTGTTTTTTGTTTTTTTTTTTTTTGAGGTGGAGTCTCGCTCTGTCACCCAGGCTGTAGTGCAGTGGCGCGATCTTGGCTCACTGCAACCTCTGCCTCCCAGGTTCAAGGGATTCTCCTGCCTCAGCCTCCCTGCTAGCTGGGATTATGGGATTACAGGGCCCTGCCACCACACCCAGCTAATTTATTTTTTCTTTTTAGTAGAAACAGGGTTTCGTCATGTTGGTCAGGCTGGTCTCAAACTCCTGACCTCAAGTGATCCTTCTGCGTTGCCTCCCAAAGTGCTGGTATTACAGGCATGAGCCACTGTGCCCAGCCAAATTTTGCTTCTTTAGTGAGATAGACTGTAATGACAGATGGTGGAGGGAATAGATGTGGAGACGGGAGAAAAATTGCAAATATTGCAACTTACCACCTTCCTTAAGGAAGATCAGGGCACTGCCAAAAGTAGAGAGGGCTGGAGGATAGGGGGATATAAGCCATAGATGTTCCCTGAGGGTATTAGGAAGGGTGGGGGGACTCTGATGTGGCTGTGGCCTGGGTGTGGGAGGGATAAGGGTAAGAGGGGAGGCCAAAAGGAGTATAAGGTAAGGATGAGCCTGGGCCCCGGCACACCACCCTCGTGGGCTGGGTGACTGCACCTCATCTCCAGGCTCAGGGGAGCTGTCTTAACTTTTTCTTTTTCTTTTGTTTTCTTTTTTCTTTTCTTTTCTTCTCTTTTTTTCTTTTGTTTCTTTTCTTTTCTCCTTCCTTCCTTCCTTCCCTTTCTTTCTTTCTTTCTTTTTTTTTTTTGTGTGTGTGTGTGACAGGGTTTCACTCTATGTCCAGGCTGGAGTGCAGTGCAGTGGCATGATCATGGCTCACTGCAGCCTTGAACTACTTGGGCTCAAGGGGTTCTCCTGCTTCAGCCTCTCAAGTAGCTAGGACTACAGGCACATGCCAGCACACCCAGCTAATTTTTTAAAACAATTTTTTTTGTAGAGATGGAATATTGCTATATTGCACAGGCTGGTCTGGAACTCCTGGGCTCAAGTGATCCACCCACCTTGGCCTCTCAAAGTTCAAGAGCCAGCATGCCCAGCCTCTCTTAACTTTTGTTTCCCCAGATCCAGACCTTGAAGCAAGGATTTGCGTGTAAGTTAATTGATCTGGAAGGTGATGCCAGGAGACCCTGATACAGAAGTAGGAAAATAAGCAGTGTTGTGCTGGCAGACTGGCTCTCTGAAAAAAAAAAAAATCCATTGTTTGTAGTGTGTGCCCATTTTCATGGTGAGAATGTTCCCACTATGGTTGATTTCAAGCTACTAGTGTGATGTAACTGAAAGAGGCCTTGGGGAGAAATGGGTGGAATCGGCTCTTGTGAGCTGGTCTGAGCCATTTTTCAGCACAACACTGCAGGTGACGGGGATGGCAGGGAAGGCAGCCAGTAAAAGGTGCATATCAAGCCAGCCACCACATGAGCAGCTGTGGAGCTTCCCACCACTGGGGAGTGGCGGGAGGTGGTATAGAACTTATGCCCTGTGTTAGCCCATTTGGCGGTGAGGGGCCTGGGGAATGTATGCACTGCCTCTCCATCCATCACTGGTTGAAGCTGTTTCCCCAGGGTTGGCAATTCAATGCACTTCTGGCCAGGGATCTGGTGGACAGAGAAAGAGACACAGGGGCTGGAAGTTGCAAGTTGGGCCAGCATGTGTGGAAATGGTAAGGTCTGTGACAGGAGCCATTCGAGTGTCGCCAGCAGAGTGAGGCCTTCCTGCTGAATCCCTTAGAGCTGCCTGCAACAGGCCAGCCTTCCTGGTCCCCTCACCAGCTCCCAGGTGCCATTCTCCCATAGTGTACTATGCCGCCATTGAGAAAAACATTACCTGCCTCCCTCAAAGAAGAAACGAAATGAGGCAAACATCTTTGACATTTTTGGTGGTATCATTTTGTTTTGTTTTACGGTTTTTTGTTTTTTTTTTTTGTAGAGACAGAGGTCTTGCTGTGTTGCTCAGGCTGGTCTTGAACTTCCGGCCTTGAGCAATCCTCCTGCCTTGGCCTCCCAAAGCACTGGGATTACAGGCGTGAGTCACCATGGTCGGCGATGACACCATTTGATTGATGTTTTCTGAACGTAGAAGTGTTTCTCTGGAATATTTTCAGATTTGTCAATTCCCTGGTCTTCTGTCTAGCCTTTGTAGGGTGGGAATGAGAGTCATATTATGTTTATTTTATTTCTTGCTTTTTCTCAGGCCCTCTGATGTTTTCTTCTTGGAGCTGGGCTTTACAGAAATAAATTTCTACAGAGTCTGGAGAAAATGCTCTTAAAAAAAAATAGCTGAAATCTCCATTCCTCCATTGAAAACCCACTCATTTTGGTGGTGTACTGCACAGAGCAAACTCTGGGGGTGTCCTGCCCAGGTGACTTTGCTACTCACAGGTCCCACCTCTGGCTTCTTACTGCAAAGAACTGCAGCTACCTGAGGTCATTCTCAAGGATCAGGAGGGTGACCAGCCTCACACAGGCAGGCCCATAGCACCGGGGAGCAGGGCGCCCTTTTGGATGGCCATCACGGGAGGGTGAGCCCATGCCTCATCTTTATCACCCGTCAGGTGGGTTACCTCTTAGGGGTGGCCCAGAGACTGGTTGGGATTGAACCATTTTGCGAACAGCTGTAAACTGCCCCTTCCTCTAGCCTGTGTTAGCTTCCTTCCCCTCCCATGTCCTTCCCCACTCTCCTGCTGGTACCTCCTAGGACCACTTCCCTAATCTGCTGCTTGCCCTCACATCCTTGTGTGAGGGCCTGCTTCTGGGGAACCCAACCTGGGACATGGGGTGTCAGGCCTCCTTGGCTTCTGAGTGAGATTAATCTGACCGGGTTGAAGCCACATCTGGTGGTGCTTGTTGTTTTCCCTCAGGGCTTGGCACAGCATGAGGGACACATCAGGGTTCCAACATCTGGTTGATGAATCAAAGAACGTGAACATTTAAATATAAGGAAGCAGGGCTGAAAGCTGACGGGGAGACAGGGATGGACCTGGGTCTACAGGTGCCATGTCCTCCCAGGTCTGCACATCCAGCCTCCTCTCTCCTGAGCCCCAGACCTGTGCATTCAACCAGATGTCTTCACCTGGGTCCTCAAGCTCAATGCAACTCATCATCCCTCCCCACCCCCTCCATAGGTAACCTGCCTCCTCTCCTGCGTGGCTGGTGTCAGGCAATGAAGGTAGGCACAGGCTTCAACTCCGCTTGCCCTCAGCCACACAGTTCTTGTTTCATCACTGTGTGCATCTTTCTCGACGCTCTCCACTGTGTCCAGCTCCCCTGGCACCTCTCTGGCCCCTGCCAGCCTCATCTCTCACCTCCAGTCTTGCCTCCCTGCAATCCCTCCTGTGGCCCTGAGTGAACTTTCTGAAGCGGCCTTGACCGCGTGGCTTGCTGCTGAAAATCCTTGGCTGTGGCTCCCCACTGCGGTAAAGAGGAAATCCAAACTCCTTGTGATGGCCTAGCAAGGCCCTGCAGGAATTGCTTCCTGCCAGACCTCCAGCCCCTACGAGTTCTGTTCTCCTTAACACCCTCCCCACACCTGCAGAGCCAAGCTGCTTTCAGTCCCTTGAACCTATGATCTCTCACCTTCAGGCCTCCGTGCATGCTGTTCTCTCTGCCCCAACACTCTTCCCTCCCCTCCTTCCTGGGCCAACAACCCCATGGAGCAGATGCTTCTGAATCCCCTGTCTGGGTTACAAAAGCCTGCTTGTAACCTTGTGCTTTCCCTGTGGCTATTTGGATGCTCCTGAATTATGACCTGTTATTTAAACCCATGTCTCTCCTGTGAAAAATAAACTCTCCTAGAGCAGGGCTGATTTGTTCGCAGTTGTACCCCTGGCATTCAGCACCATGCCCGCATTGCAGTTGCATAGTAAATGTCAGGTGGGTGAATTAGGGAGTGAAAGGAAGGCTGTTCCCCAGCCCACCTGGGAGGAGTGGATCTGGAGACCTGGGCTTCTATCTAGCTCTCCCAGACGAGATGAGATGGAGCTGTGGCTTGGATGCCTTTGTGGCCCCACGACATCATATTCAGGTCCTTAACAGTAAGAGAGGGGAGGGAGACATGGTGAGAAGGAGGGAGGAAGGAGAAGAAAGGAAGCCCTAATCCATGGCCCAGAAGAAATGAACATCTCCACGTTTCCCACATCTCATCTAAGTAGGTCACACGGAAGAACTTGGAGTCCCTGTCAAAGTTTCAGGCAAAAACAATAACTTGGTTTTGACCTTGCTCTCTTCAAAAAGCAAGTTGCTGCTGAGCTGTAACATCAAAAAGAATAAATAATTGTTTTTCTTTTTTGTTGTTATGATATGGATCATCTGAGCGGTTAGTGGTAAGCAAGCCACTTTGATTCCACTCTGGCTCCCCAGCGCTCCAGCCTCTCTTTATGTCAGCAGGCTCCTGTTTCCACCCCAGGATAGCAGAATCCCTTGATTAAATTCATATTTGTTTTAATCTTTCCCTGTGTCTGATCTTGAGCTCAAAGATGGTCAGGAAAAAAAGCCGGCTGCCCTGCTGCGGCCACGGGGAGGGCCTGTGTCAGGCCCCACGCTGGTTGTTCTGTCCGGTGTGATAAGGCAGCCAGCCCATGGTGCCCTGGCATGCCTGCTGCCGTGCCAGCCCCAGTCCTCACACCACCAGCGGCTGCCAGACAGCTCACAGAGCTGCTGGGCTGCAGGAGAACACGAGGAGGCCCAGCGATGTGGCAGCCGTCTGCGCTGGCCATAGCCTCCTGTGTTGACCTGGGAGTGCTGGAATTCTCGAACATTTTTAAAGTGGAGAAAATTATGACTCTTAGGTGGAATGAAGTTTGTCACTCTGCTTAGTTCAGAGTGGGTCCCTATCATTTGCCTGTGATTTACACGCCCCCCCCACTCTTTCATTCTCCCAGCACGGAGGCAACTGTCCAGTGTGTTTGGTGAATGTTCCTAAATACATAATGCTGCTTTATATGTAGATGCGTGTTTCTTTTCTTCATTGTGGCATAATGCACATAACCTAAAATTTACCTTTTTTTTTCTTTTTCCTTTGAGGCACAGTCTTACTCTATTGCCCAGGCTGGAGTGCAGTGATGCAATCATAGCTCACTGTAACCTTCCACTCCTGGGCTCATGTGATCCTCCTACCTCAGCCTCCCAAGTAGCTGGGATTACAGGTGCATGGCATCATGGCTGGCTAATTAAAAAAAATTTTTTTTGTACAAATAGGGTCTTGCTATATTGCCCACGTTGGTCTTGATCATCTGGTCTCAAGCAATCCTCAAGGTGCTTTTTGTGTGTAGATAGTTGTAAAATTTGGGAGGCCTTGGCCTCCCAAAGTGCTGGGATTATAGGTGGGAGCTGCTGCACCAAACATTATCTTTTCAATGAGTGGTTTTTTTGTTTTGTTTTGTTTTGTTTTTACCATACAGAAAGGTATTGTGTTGTGTACACCATAGGAGTCAAGAGCACAAGTTCTAGGCCAGGTGTAGTGGCTCATGCCTGTAATCCAAGCACTCTGGGAGGCTGAGGTGGGTGGATCATCAGGTCAAGAGATTGAGACCATCCTGGCCAACATGGTGAAACCCCGTCTCTACCAAAAATACAAAAATTAGCTGGGCGTGGTGGCGGGCGCCTGTAGTCCCAGCTACTTGGGAGGCTGAGGCAGGAGAATCGCTTGAACCTGGGAGGCGGAGGTTGCAGTGAGATGAGATCGCGCCACTGCACTCCAGCCTGGCAACAGAGTGAGACTCCATCTCAAAAAAAAAAAAAAAAAAAAAAAGGGCACAGGTGCTAGACTCCACTGACCCAGTTCAAAACCCAAGCTCTGCCACTTGCTGGCTGGCAGTTACTTAGCCTTGATGCCTCAGTTTCTCCAACTGTCGTGTGGGATGGTAATTGTTCCCACTTCAAAGAGATGGCCAGAGGATTAAGAGAGTTAATACTTTAAAAGCACCCAGAACACTACTTGGCATAAAGTAAATGCTCAAAAAATATTAACTATGTTTATTATTCTATTTCTCACTTGTTATTTTCTCTTACTCAGCTCAGTGTTTTTATTTTAATTTTTAATTTTCATTTTTTAATTTTTTATTTTGAGATAGAGTCTTGCTCTGTTGCCCAGGCTGGAGTCCAGTGGTGCAATCACAGCTTTCTGCAGCCTGGAACTCCCTGGCTCAAGCAATTCTCCCCCATCAGCCTCCCAAATAGCTGGGACTATAGGTGCATACTATCACACCCATATAATTTTTGCATTTTTTGTAGAGACACGGTTCACTATGTTGCCCAGGCTGGCCTCAAACTCCTGGCCTCAAGCTATCCTCCCCTCTTGGCCTCCCAAAGTATTGGGATCACAGGCATGAGCCATACCTCCTGGCCAGCCCAGTATTTTTGAGAACCACCCACGTTGTTGTATATGCATCTGATTCCTTACTTTTAACTGCATTCCATAGGGTGCATTGCCTACATTTTACTTATTGATTCCCCAGAGATGACACCTAATTGGCAGTACATCAATGGGCATCCCTTGCAGACCAGTGGGAGGATTTCTGCTCCCAGGAATGGCATCACTGGCTTAGGGATTGGCAAACTTTCTGTAAGGGGTGAGATAGTAAATATTTTCAGTGTCATGGGCTATACAGTTTCTGTTACCGCTTTTCAACTCTGTTTTTGTTGCCCTAAGGCAACCATAGACCATATGTAAATGAATGTGTGTGGCTATGTTCAAATAAAACTTTATTTATTATTATTATTATTATTATTTTTGAAACAGAGTCTCGATCTGTTGCCCAGGCTGGAGGGCAGTGGTGCAATCTCAGCTCACTGCAACCTCCACCTCCTGGGTTCAAGTGTTTCTCATGCCTCAGCCTCCCAAGTAGCTGGGACTACAGGTGCATAATTTGCCCAAGAGCACCAAGAAAGAGTTTGATGAGTTTTTACAAAGTGAACATCTCCATGAAATCAGCACCCAGATAACAAATAGGACTTCTTTACTTCTGTATGCAAGTTCACAGAAAAAAAAAATTAGAACTTCACCAGCATCCCAGAAACTTCTCTCATATTCCCTCCCAGATATCCCCACCTTCCCAAGGGCATCCACTCTCCTGGCTTCTAACAGCACAAATTAATTTTGCCTGGTTGTGAACCTGAACTTTATATAACTGGAATCATCAGCACATACCCTTTTGTGTTGGGTTTCTTTTGCTCAACACCTTGTGAGATTCACCCGTGTTGATGCTTGGGTGTAGATTTAGTTTGCTTATTCTCACTGCTGAAGAAGTATTTCATGACACACCACCATTTATCATTCTTTTTTTTTTGAGACAGAGTCTCACTCTGTTCCTTAGGCTGGAGTGCAGTGGCACGATCTCAGCTCACTGCAACCTCTGTCTCCTGGGTTCAAGTGATTGTCGTGCTTCAGCTGCCCAAGTAGCTGGGATTACAGGCACGCACCACCACACCCAGCTAGGCTTTTTATTTTTTATTTATTTTTATTTTTAGTAGAGACGGGGGTTTCACCATGTTGGGCAGGCTGGTCTCGAACTCCTGACCTCAAGTGATCTGCGCACCTCGGCCTCCCAAAGTGCTGGGATTACAGGTATGAGCCACCGTGCCTGGCCACCATTTACCATTCTACCCTTGCTGGGCATCTGGGTAGTTTCCAGCCATCATGCATAATGTACTATGAACACTCTTACATATGTCTTTTGGTGACCACATGCATGCATTTCTATTAGGTATATAACTAGGAATAGAATAGTTAGGTTCTTGAGGAACAAATGTTTAGCACTAGTTAAATGCCACCAAGCAAGTGACATTCCCATCCCAGTGCCTGAGAGTTCCATTTGCTCTGGATCCAATATTGCATTAGGGCTTACAACCAGCCATTGGGTTTTTAGGGATTCTGAATGTCCTTAAACTTCACCAGCCTGTGGGCTCAAATGAGGTCACTCTGACATGTCTAGTGGGCTTTCCCTGATTGGACAGCTCTACCCCCTCCTGTTTTCCTCCATGGAGCAATAGACACTAAAACAGTGCATTAGTCAATCACTATGACAACATTTATTGAGTACTTGCTATATGCACGGTGCAAGTCTAAGAATTAACTGATTTAATCCTTACAACAACACTTTGTGGTAGGTGCACTTATTCTTATGCCATTTTACAGATGAGGAAACCAAGACACAGAGGATAGAAGTAACTTGTTCAAGGGGACATAACCGTAGGTGGCCGTGCCAACAGGAAACCCCAGGAAGTCTGGCTTCAGAGCCATTCCCTTTAGCTCTGATGGCACACTGTCTTGTAGTTCAGTCTTCAAATGCCACAGCCTCTGGGCCATCATTTCCTCCTCCCGGGGTTCTCCATGAAAGCCCCACACTCATGGTTCTGTGCAGGCAGCTGCTCTCCATTTGTCATTGGTGCTGCCCTGGGCTACCCTCCACTGGCCTTCCTTGGGCTGCCATCCTGCGAGCAGCTGCCATTGTTTCATAGGCAATGGGCCCAACTGTGTCAGAGGATCCCACCATGGGCGGAGGGGTGGGGAGGGGTGGCTCTTATCGCCATGGTGACTGGCATGGGAGGGGCTTGACTAGGAGAGCCAGCAGGGCAAGAACTATCACTCCTCTCCCACCCTCAGACTCACTTGCCGGTGACCAAGTCTGGCTCACAACATCAGACATTTCTTTCCTTTAGGAGGATTTAGATTTTAGAGGTCCTAATTCAGTCTGGACTCTGGTTTCATACAATAGAATCTGGCAGTGGTAAACTTAACCATATGGGGAATGGATCAGAAGAGTATGAAGTAACCCAGCAAAAGGCTGGCATCTTGCAAAGGTGGATGGAGCCAAGACTCTTCTGAGATTTCATAAGGTATGTTCCTTTAAAATAGGAAGGGCATTTGGATTCTGGAAAGAGAGGAGGGAGAAACAGAAAGATCACGCCCCTTTCCCTTAGGATTTGGTATCTGCCTCAACTCCCTCAGTCTGTTAAATAGGTGGAATATGCCTGAACTCAGATTCTGGCCTTCTTCTTGTAAAAAGGCCCCTCCCTAACCTTGCGTCAATTAGCTGGTACTGACAGGACTGGGAAGGTCGTTGCAGGCCCCATCTGGGCATAGCAAGGTATCCTTAGTATGTTGGAATATTGAGTCATTTTTTTCGTAATAGTGGCTTTGCTGCCTGAAACAAAGAATAGCCAAATGAAGGGATGAGCAGTTTTCCAGCAATGATTTGTCCAAGTAAAATCATGGTACCATCCAACATTGCGAGACATCTGCAGGGTGAGAGCTACAGCAACGCCTCTGACAAATGGAATGCTGAACTTGAGACATGATTTATGCAACTATTTCTCACCTCTTTATTCCACATTCCAATCTTAGGATAACATTTAAAATCTTAATGTTGTTTTCAGGAATAGCCAATAAAATAAATCGGCTCTGCTTTTGTCACTGCTGGAAGTTTTGTTTTTCTTTATGAAAACTCCTTAAATACAAAACAAATACGTAATGAAAATGTGAGAAACATAGCTAAATATGAAGTACCGGGTTTTAATGAATTTATAATTTAGAAATGCAAAAACAACTTAGATTGCAGGTAGTAGACTTGGCAGATGCAAATTTGTTTTATCCTTGCAATAAGTTTCAGAAATTAAAAAAAAAAATCATTGGGTGCAAACAAAGTTATCAATGAACATGTTCATTTTGACCATATTCACTTTGGGTGGGGCATTTCACATAGCACCAGAGACATGTGAAGCCTTTGGGGCAGCCAAGATTGCCTGAAAATTATTTTGAAATTAAAAATTTTACTAACAAGTGCATTTCTTTTTTTTGAGACAGTGTCTTGCTCTGTCACACATGCTGTGCAATGATGTGAACATGGCCCACTGCAGCCTTGACCTCTTGGGCTCAAGTGGTCTTTTTGCCTCAACTTCCCTTGTAGCTGGAACCACAGGCATGCATTACCATGCCTGGCTAATTAAAAAAAATTTTTTTTTGTAGAGATGGGCTCTTCCCATCTTGCCCAGGTTAAATGCATTTTTAAAAAGCATGTCGTATAAAAGCAGAGTTCACAGAAACCAAAAGCACCCCCAAATCCTGAAAACTGGCTAAAATAAAATAAACTGTCACCAACTATTCAACAGTAAAAAAATTGATTTATGAGATATTAAACAAAACGAAAGAAAAACCAGTGACTAATTATGACCTATTTGACATTTTGACCATTACTCCATCTGCCAATTCACCTGAAGCTGTAGATATTTATCAAACAGATGAAGAATGCTGGCTGGTCTTAGGTGGACTCAATGCCCACACACATCTCCTGTCCCTCAACAATATCAGGTCTGCCCACTCACCCACTTACCCACTGCTGGTGTTCAACTTCTGGTTCTGGATTTTCTGTGGCGATGAATGTCTTTGAACGTTTATCCTGCTTTTGCTCTAGGAAGAGCATTTGAGTGTGGCCAAATATCCCCAGTTGAGGAGGGAAAGTTTGTCTTTACAGAGCAATGCCAGCTAATAAATGAAGAAACCAGACAAATCAGAAAATGACCAGTTTGCAACTATCAATGAACTAATTGGCTGGGGTCAGGATCATCAACGGATGTTGAAAGCATTAGGTGAAAAGTTGATAAGGAACTGGATTTTTGTACAATGTCAAGGTACCATCCCTACAGTCTACTTGCAAAAGGAAATAACGTCATTTATATTGGCAAGATCTAATGGCTGCCATGTTACCCAGAAACCAAATCAAGTTTGGCATCAATTAATAGTGGAAACTCTATTGTTCCAGGCCTCCTGATGGGATGCCATCATGAAGCACACAGCCTCACCTTTGAAGCTTTCTTACCAACGATGTTGAACATGTTTCTCACCAACCGTTTAGTCCTAATTCTGGTTTATAAAAAATACAGAAGACAGAGGAACAAATTAAATGATACCACAAGGAAACAATAAGATAGACAAATATAGAATGTAGCAATGAGATAGACAAATATAGAATGTGGAACAGTCCTTAAGATTAAAAGTCAATGTCATGGAGGAAAAAATAAGACAAGATTAAGAGGATTGTTCTAGAGTAAAGGAGATCTAAGAGACATAATTAAAAGCAAGGTGTGGTCTTTGGGCCCTAGTTTAAGCAGATATCAATAAAAGACATTTTTGGAGCAAATGGGGATATGAATATGGACTTATTATTAGATGATATTTGGGAATTGTGTTGATTCTGTTAGACGTGATAATAACATTGTGGAAAATATCCTTATTTTTTGGCAATGCATGCTAAGTATTACTGTTATGTTGTCTAAAATTTACTTTCAAACGGTTCAGCAAAAAAATTTGAATTAAGCAAATATGTTAAATCTAGATGAAAGTTTACTCTTTTCCTATTCTATTCTATTTTTCAGTATATTTCAAGCATGTCTTCAAAACCTTAAAAATAGAAGTATTCCAGTACATACGAAAACCTTTAAATTTCTAAATAGTCTGGTC
The DNA here is from genome assembly GCF_000001405.40 of Homo sapiens. NCBI lineage: Eukaryota > Metazoa > Chordata > Mammalia > Primates > Hominidae > Homo > Homo sapiens. The sequence goes on from NC_000016.10 coordinate 50,410,565, forward strand.
ATACATAGCAAATATATGGGGCTGGTGACTGATTTGGGAAAAAACAGGCTATGCTATAAAATGCTGAGTTTATGGCCCCCACAGCGACAGTAACCTGAGGGAGGTGTGGGTGGTGGAGTCTGGGTGTGGTGGGCCATGGCTTTGCCACAGCTCATGAGACTCTCCATGCTGGTGGCCGGCAGCTCCTATGGGAGCCATTGCCGAGGTTTATGGTTGGGTTTACGAAATCCATTCAATACTTTGGCACTTGCACAAAAAATACATGTGTAAAGGTGAGTGTGCCCTTGGAAAATCTTTTTTTTTTTTTTTTTTTTAAACAAACCAACAAACAAGGCCACCAGGCCTATAAAATCCAGGTGAAGTCTACACATCGTGTCTCACCTCTCCCCTAGCCTCCTGATTTTACTGTCACTTCCCCTGAGGTTGAGGCCAACCATGGCTTGCCCTTAGATTCAGAAGCTGTGATCCTTGACCTTGACTGCTAAGAAAGGCATGTGCGACCTGGAACAAATTACTTGCCTCCTGGTACATTGGATTTCTCATCAGAAAACTGAGATGACAAAATCTCTCTTCAAGGTTTTGGGTTTTAGGTGAAATTCACATAACATAAGTTAACCATTTTAAAGCAAACAATTCAGTAGCACTTAGAACATTCACAAGGTTGTGCAATCATCACCACCCTCCATCTGTGGAATCTTTGCATCTTCCCAAACGGAAACTCTGTATCCATTAAACAATGACTCCCTATTTCCCTCTCAGTCTAGCCCCTGAAAAACCATCTTTCTACTTTCCATTTCTATGGAATTACTTACCCTGGCTATTTCCTATAAATGGAATAATATAATATATGATCTTTTTTGTGTTTGGCTTCTGTCTCTTAACATAATGCTTTCAAGGTTCACCTATGTTGTAGCATGTGTGAGTTCTTAGCTCCTTGTTATGGCTGAACAACATTACTTGTATAATACCACAATTTGCTTATCCATTTGCTTGTTAATGGACATTTGGGTTGTTTCCACCCCTTGACTATTGTGAATAGCAGTGCTATGAACATGCATATATAAGTACTTTTTTGAATCCTTGATTTCAATGTTGGGTGTGTATCTAAGAACGTAATAGATGTCATATAGTAATTCTATGTTTAACTTTTTGAAGAGCTGCCAAACTATTTTCCACAGTAACCAAAACATTTCACATTCCTGCCAGCAAAATTTGAGGGTTTCATATTCTCTACATCTTCACCAATACTTGTTATTTTCTATTTTTTTGAATGTAGCCATCCTAGTGGGTGTGAAGTGGTATCTCATTGTGGTTTTGACTTCCACTGCCCTAAAAATTAATGATGTTGAACATCCTTTCATGTGATTATTGGCCATTTGAATATCTTTTTTTTTTTTTTTTTGAGACAGAGTCTCTCTTTGTCACCCAGGCTGGAGTGCAGTGCCACAATCTCAGCTCACTGCAACCTCTGCCTCCCGGGTTCAAGCAATTCTTCTGCCTCAGCCTCCCAAGTAGCTGGAACTACAGGTGTGTACCACCATGCCTGGCTAATTTTTGTAAGTGCTGGGATTATATGCTTGAGCCACCACACCCAGATTCATTTGCATATCTTCTTTGAAGAAATGTCTATTCAAGTTCTTTGCCCTTTTTTTGAATTAGGTTGTTTGTTTTCTTGTGTGTTGAGTTCTAGGCATTCTTTATATATTCTAGATACTAATCCCTTATCAGATATATGATTTGCAAGAATTTCCTTCAATTTTGTGTGTTACCTTTTTACTCTCTCACTCTTTTTTTTCTTTTTGAGACAGGGTCTTGTTCTGTCACTCAGGCTAGAGTACAATGGCGTGATCATGGCTCACTGCAGCCTCGACCTCCTGGGCTCAAGAGATCCTCCTGCCTCAGCCTCCTGAGTAGTTGGGACTGTAGGCATGTGCCACCACACCCAGCTAATTTTTTTTTTTTTTAGAGATGGGGTCTCACTATGTTGCCCAGGCTGGTCTTGAATTCTTGGGCTCAAGTAGTCCTTCTACCTCAGCCTCCCAAACTGTTTGAGATTACAGGCGTGAGCCACCACACCTGGCACACTCTCTTGATAGTGTCTTTTGGTGCACAAAAGTTTTAAAAGTTGACAAAGTTCAATGTATGTATTTTTGTTGTTGTTTCCTTTACTTTTGGTGTCTTTTCTAAGACTCTATTGGCAAATACAAGGTCATGAGTATTTATCCCCATGTTTACCATGGGGATTACAATTAACATCCTAAATATATAAAAACTTAGTTGGAATTAATTCCTACTTAGTTTCAATAGCATACAAAAACTCTGTTCCTATGTACCTCAGTCCATTCCCTTTTAAAGTCATAAATTACATCTTTATACACTGTTTGCCTATTAATATAGAATTTTAATTGTTGTTTTAGGCATTTGTCTTATAAATAAGTTAGAAAACAAAAAGTGGAGTTAGAAACCAAAAATATAATTACACTGGCTTTTATATTTATCTATGTAATTATTTTTACCAGAATTCCCAATTTCTTCATATGAATTTGAGTTACTGTCTAGTGTCTTTTCAGCCAGAAAGGCTCCCTTTAGCATTTCTTTTAGGCCAAGTCTAGTAGTGACAAACTCTCTCAGCTTTTTTAAAATCTGGGAATGTTTTAATTTCTCCTTTTAAATTGCTTTTGTTTGATTGACTTTGTTTATTTTGATTGTGGTAAAATATAGGTAACAAAATTTACTGTTATGGCCGGCTGCAGTGGCTCACACCTGTAATCCCAGGACTTTGGGAGGCTGAGGCGGGCGGATCACAAGGTCAGGAGTTCAATACCAGCCTGGCCAACATGGTGAAACCCCATCTCTAGTAAAAATACAAAAATTAGCCGGGCTTGGTGGCACATGTCTGTAATCCCAGCTACTCAGCAGGCTGAGGCAGGAGAATCGCTTGACCCCGGGAGGTGGAGGTTGCAGTGAGCCAAGATCACACCACTGCACTCCAGCCTGGGAGAAAGAGTGAAACTCTGTCTCAAAAAGAAATATCATCTATCTATCTATGTATCTATGTATCTATGTATCTATGTATCTATGTATCTATCTATCTATCTATCTATCTATCTATCTATCTATCTATCTATCTATCTATAATCTATTTCCAGAACTTTTTTATCTTCCAAACATAAATGCCAAACCCATTAAGCAATAGCTCCCCATTCCTCTCCTCTTCCCTCTTCCTTTGCCCCCAGTTCCTGATAACCTCTATTCTACCTTTTGTCTCTATAAATTTGATACTCTATGTACCTCATATAAGAGAAATCATACAATATGTCCTTTTTTGTTTTTGTCTGGCTTATTTCACTTAGCATAATTTTCCAAGCTTCATTCATGTTATAGTATGTGTCAGAATTTCATTCCTTTTTAAGGATAAATAACATTCCATTATATGTCTATATTACATTACGTTTATCCATTCATCTGATGATAGGCCTTTGGGTCATTTCCATCTTCTGGGTATTGAGAATAAGGCTGCTATGAACATTGGTGCACAAGAATCTGTTTAAGTTCCTGATTTCTTATTTATTTAAATGATTAATGTATTTAAAATATTCTTTTCTTCTGAGTCAGCTTGCTAGGGAATGTGTCCCTGATTTCAATTCTTTTGGATGTATACCTAGAAGTGAAATTGCTGGATCATACAGTAATTCTATGTTTAATTTTTGAGGAGATGCCAAGCTGTTTCCCACAGCAGCTGCATCATTTTACATCTCCATCAGCAACACACAAGGTGAATTTCTTCACCTCCTCACCAACCCTTTCCCTTTCCTTTCCTTTCCTTTCCTTTCCTTCCCTTTCCCCTTCCCCTTCCCCTTCCCCTTTCTCTCCCTTCCCTTCCCCTCTCCTCTCCTCTCCTTTCTTTTTTTTTTTTTTTTTTCCAAAGAAATGGTGTCTCCTTCTGTTGCCCAAGCTGGAGTGCAGTGGTGCAATCATAGCTCACTGTATTCTCGAACTCCTGGGCTCAAATGATTCTCCCACCTCAGCCTCCCTAGTAGCTGGGATTACAGGTGAGCACCACTGCATCTCTCTCTCTCTCTCTCTCTCTCTCTCGTTCTCTCGCTCTCTCTCCTCACCCCCCCTTCCTCTCTCTCTGTCTCTTTGTAAATAATAGCTTTCATAGTGGGCATAAAGCGGTATCTCATTATGGCTTTGATTTGTATTTCACTAGTGACTAGTGATGTTCAGCCTCTTTTTATGTGCATATTGGTCATTTGCATATCTTCCTGGGAGAAATGTCAGGTTCTTTGCCTATGTTTCAATAGAGTTATTTGTTTTATTGTTGTTGAGTTGTAGGAGATTTAATATATTCTGGACATTAATCCTTTACCAGATATACAATTTGCAAATATTTTCTCTCATTTTGTGAGTTGTCTTTTCACTCTGTTACAGTTTTTAATTTTTATTTTCTTACCTGGAACATAGATGCAATCACTCTGCTATAGTGTCTTTGATGCACACAAGTTTTAATTTTGATGGAGTCCAGTTTATCTATTTTTTCTTTTGTTGCCTGTACAATTAGTGCCACATTTAATAAATCATTGCCAAAGTGAAGGTCACAAAGATGTTTCTTCTATATTTTCTATTAACAGTTTCATAGTTTAAGTTTTTATTTATTTATTAGAGACAGGGTCTTGCTATGTTGCCCAGGCTGGCCTTGAACTCTTGGGCTCAAGCAATCTTTCCACTGCAGCCTCTCAAGTGGCTGGGACTATAGGCAAGTGCCACCACCCCCAGCTCAGCTTTTAAATTTAGGTCTTTGATCCATTTTGTTTATGGTACAAGGTAAGGGTCTAACTTAATTCTTTTGGATGTGGATATCTAGTTTTCCCAGTACCATCTGTTGAAAACGTTGTTCTTTCTCCATTGAATGGTCTTGCCACCTTTGTCATAAATCAATTAACTGTATATGGGTTTATTTCTGGGCTGTTTACTCTAGTCCATGGATTGATATGTCTATCCTTATGCTAGTACCACACTTCTTTGATTACTGTAGCTACAGGAAGTTATAAAATCAGAAAGAGTAAATCCTCCACCTTTGTTCTTTTTCAAGATCGTTTTGACTACTTGGGATCCCTTAAAATTCACATGAATTTAGTATAGGCTTTTTTTTTTCTGTTTCTGAAAAAAAAAAAACAAAAAACTACCATTGGGATTTTGATAGATTCAACACCATTGAATCCATACATTGTTTCGGGTAGTGTTGTCAATTTAACAATATTAAGTCTTCCAATCCATGAACACAGGATATATTTCCATTTACTTAGATGATCTTTATTCTTTCAGCAATATTTTGCAGTTTTCAGTGTATAAGTCTCTCACTTCCTTGGTTAAATTTATTTCTAAGTGTTTTATTATTTTAGATGCTGTTGTCAATGGACTTTTTAAATTAATTTCCTTTTTGAGTTGTTCATTGCTAGTGTGTAAGAAACACAACTGATTTTTGTGTCTTGATTTTATATCCTACAAGTTTACTGAATTTTTTTATTAGCTTAACTGTGTGTGTGCGTATGTGTGTGTGTGTGTTCTTCTTTAGGGTTTTCTACATAAAAGAGCATATCATCTGTGAATAAACGAATTTTATTTCTTCCTTTCCAATATGGATGCTTTTTAATTCTATTTCTTGTCTAAATGCTCTGGATAGAACTTCTATTACTATGTTGCACAGAAATGATAAAAGCAGGCATTCTTGTTTTTTTCTGTTCTAAGGGGAAAAGATTTCAGTCTTTCATCATTGAATATGATATCAGCTGTAGATTTTTCAAATATAGCCTCTATCATGTTGAGGAAGTTCTACTCTATTCTTAGCTTATTTAGTTGTTGATTAGCTTATTTATTATGAAAGGATATTGGATTCTGCAAACATTTTTCCTGCATCAATTGAGACGATGATAATTTTTCCTTCATTCTATTAATGTTATGTATTACATTGATAGATTTTCTTATGTTGAACCATCCTTGCATTCCAGAGATAAATCCCACTTAATTGTGACGTATAATCCTTTTACTATGTTGCTGAATTCGGTTTCCTAGTATTTTGTTGAGAATTTTAGCACCTGTATTCATAAGAGATATTGGTCTGTAGTTTTCCTTTCTTATACCCTTTTTGCCCAATTTTGGTATCAGAGTTAATACTGGCCTTATAAGTTATAAGATGTTCCCTCCTCTTCAGTATATTGGAAGAATCTGAGACAGATTGATATTAATTCTTCTTTAAATATTTGGTAGAATTCACTAGTAAAGCCATCTGGTCCTGAGCTTTTCTTTGTTGGGAGGTTTTGATTGCTAGTTCAATCTCCTTACTTGTTATAGGTCTATCCAGATTTTCTATTTTTCCTTGTGTCAGTTTTGGTAGTTTATGTGTTTCTAGGATTTGTCTATTTCATCTAGAGTATCCAATTTGCTGGCATACAGTTGTTGATAGTATTTTCTTAGAATCCCTTTTATTTCCATAAAATTGGTAGTAATGTCCTCATTTTCATTTTTAATTTTAGTTATTTGTGTCTTTCCTCTTTTTTTTGTTAGTCAGTATAGGTAAAGGTTTATCCATTTTGTTGATCTTTCAAAGAACCATCATTGAATAGTGTTAAGAGTGAAAGAAAAGAAAAAAAACCCAGAACTAAAGAACTAATGTTTTGTTTAGTTGATATTTCTCTATAGCTTTTCTATTCTTTCCGTAGTGTGTGTGTGTGTGTGTGTGCATGCATGTGTGTGTGTGTGTGTGTGTGTCTGTGTGTTCTGTCTTCAGTCTAATCTTTATTATTTCCTTCCTTCTGTTAGCTTAGGTCTAGTTTTTTCTTCTCATTCTAGTTTTTTAAGGTATACAATTGGGTTATTGATTTGAGATCTTTCTTTTTAAAAAATGTATGCATTTACAGCTATAGGTTTCCCTCATAGCACTGCTTTCACTATATTCCATACATTTGGTTGGCTGTGTTATCATTTTCATTTTTGAAAAAATATTTTCTAATTTTCTTTGTGGTTTATTCTTTGCTCCATTGCTTATTTAAGATTTGTTGTTTAATTTTCACATATTTGTGAATTTTCCTGTTTTCCTTTTACTATTAATTTCTAGTTTTATTCCATTGTAGTTGCAAAATATACTTTGTATAATTTCAACTAAAAATTTTTCATAAGACTGTTTTGTACCCTAACATATGGTCTATCATGGATAATGTTCCATGTGTACCTAGAAGAATGTGTATTTTGATGCTGTTGGGTAGAATGTTCTGTATATGTCTTTTAGGTCTAATTGGTTTATAGTGTTATTTATATCTTCTGCTTTCTTACTGATGTTCTATCTTATTGTTGTTTATTATTAAAAGTGAGGTATTGAAGGTTCCAATTATTGTAGTACTGTCTATTTCTCTGTTCAATTCTTTTTTTTTTTTTTAAATTTTTCTGCTTTCCCATGCTTCCTAGAGATATTTGTCTCTTCAGTTCTGTCAAGTTTTGCTTCATCTATCTTAGGTCTCTGTTGTTAGGTTTATATAGGTTTACAATTGTTATATATTCTTGCCCAATTAAACCTTTTATCAATATATACTCACCTTTTATGTCTTTTGTTGAGCTTTTTTCACTAAAAGGTTGTTTTGTCTGACAATAATATAGCCACCTGGCTATCTTTTGGTTACTATTTGCATAGAATACCTTTCTCTATCCTTCTAATTTCAATCTCTTTGTATTGTTATATCTAAAGTGAGTCTTATGTAAACAGCATTTAGATGGATCATGTTTCTCTTTTATTCAGTCTGCTAAGCTCTGCCTTTTAATAGGAGAGTAATTTACATTTAATGTGATTACTGATAAAGGGGGGTTTACTTCTACCATTTTGCTTTTTTTTTCTATATGTATTATATATTTTTTGTTCCTCTATTTCTCCCTTACTGCTTTTTTTGGTATTTAGTCGATTTTTTTTAGTGTACCATTTTGGTTCCTTTCTTTCCTTTTCTGTGAATTTTAATTTTATTTTCTTAATAGCTACTTTGGGAGATTACAGTTAACATCTTAAACTTATAACAACCTAGTTTGCAAAAGTACCAATGTAGTTTCAAAGGTGTATACATACTCTACTCCTATACATCTCTGTTCTTCTTTCTTTGTTTTGTAATTGTCACAAATCACATTTTTACACGTGTGTTCATTAACATAGACTTATAATTGTTTTATGCATTTGCCTTTTATATCACATAGAAAAAAAAGAGAAGTTACAAACCCAAAGAACAATAATACTGACTTTATATTTACCTATGTAGTTGCCTTTACCAGTGTTCTTTATTTCTTCTTATGGCTTTGAGTTAATAGCTAGTGTCCTTTTGTTTCAGACTGAAGGACTTATTTTGGTAATTCTTGTAGGGAAGATCCACTGGTAATGAACTTCCTCAGGTTTTGTTTATATGGAAATGTCTTAATTTTCCCTTCATTCATTCATTCTTCTTTTTTTTTTTTAGACAGAATCTCACTCTGTTGCCCAGGCTGGAGTGCAGTGGCATGATCTCATCTCACTGCAACCTTCACCTCCTGGGTTCAAGTGCTTCTTGTGCCTCAGCCTCCAGAGTGGCTGTGATTACAGGTGTGCACAACCACACCCAAGTAATTTTTGTATTTTTTAGTAGAGATGGGGTTTCACCATGTTGGCCAGGCTGAAAGATAGTTTTGCTGGATACAGAACTCTTGGTTGACAGTTTCTTTCAGCATGTTAAATATCATCCCACTGCCTTCTGGCCTCCATAATTTCTGATGAGAAATCAGCTATTAATCTTATTGAAGATCTCTTATATGTGACCCAAATAGCTTTTCCCTTGCTGTTTTCAAAGTTCTCTTTGCCTTTGTGTTTCAGTAGTTTGGTTGTAATGTGTCTTGATGTGGATATTTTGAGTTTAACCTACTTGGGGTTTATTGAGCTTGTTGGATATGTATATGGATGCATTTCATCACATTTGAGAAAAATTTGGCCACTCTTTCTTTGAATGTTTTTTTCTGCCACCTTTTCTCTCTATTCTCCTACCTGGATTACTGTGGTTTGTATGCTGGTATTGTTGATGGTGTTCCACAGCTCCCTCAGTTTCTGTTCATTTTTCTTTCTTTCTGTATTTTTCTTTCCACTCTTCAGAACGGGTATTAATTTTCTCAGGCTGCTATAACAGAATAGAATACCATAGTGTGGGTGAAACAATAGACATCTATTTCTCACAGCTCTCAAGACTGAGAAATCTAAGATCAAGGTGCCAGCAAAAATGAGTTTTATTCTGAGGCATCTTCTCTTGCCTTGTTGCCTTCTCATTGTATGCTGACATGACTTCTTTGTCTATGTGTGTGTGGGGGGAGAGACAGAGAGAGCGAGAGGGATCTTTCTCTTCTTAAAGGTCTTCAATTCTATCAGGTGAGGGTTCTGCCCCAATCTCACTTTACTTTAATTACCTCCTAAAGGCACTATGTCCAGTCACATTGGTGGTGTTAGGGTTTCAACATATACATTTACTGGGGACATAATTCAGACCATAGCAGACTGGATAACTTCAATGATTTTTTCTTTAAGTTTGCTGATGCTTTCATCTGCCTGCTCAGATCCACTGTTGAATCTCTCTAGTATATTTTTAATTTCTGCTATTGTACTTCTCAGGTCCAGAATTTCTATTTGGTTCCTTTTCTAAATTTTGGCTCTTTATTGATATTCGCTATCCGTTCATACATTGTCCTTTTGGTTTCCTTTAGTTCATTGGGCCTACTCCTTCCAGGATTTGCTGTTGTTGATTGCGGATGGCTATAGCCATCCATTTGTTTAATGACTTTTCCTATTTTTTGCAAAGACTATTTCTTGTTGTGTGTGGCCACTAAACTCTCTGTTCTTTTATATCAGTGGTTATCCAGTTAACTGTCAGAAATTTCCTTAAATACCTGGCTGGACACATTGGTTCATGCCTGTAATCCCAACACTTTGGGAGGCTGAGGTGGGCAGATCACTTGAGGCCAGGAGTTCAAGACCAGCCTGGCCAACATGATGAAACCCCATCTCTACTAAAAATACAAAAATTAGCTGGTCATGGTGGCATGAGCCTGTAATCCCAGCTACTCAGGAGGCTGAGGCAGGAGAATTGCTTGAATCCAGGAGGCAGAGGTTGCAGTGAGGTGAGATCACACCACTTCACTCCAGCCTAGGCGACAGAGTGAAACCCCATCTTGAAAGAAAGAAAGAAAGAAAGAGAAAAGAAATTTCCTTAAATACCTGGAGCCAAACTGTGGAAAAATATATCCCCCCGCCTAGGTTTTTGCAGATTGACTCTAAGCTGGGGCACTTCTTCAATACTAAGCCAGGCCACATAGAACTTTGCTTAGCCTCTACCTCCTGCTTATGTGGTTCTCAAAGATCAGCCGAAGGTGGAAGCCAAGGGTCCTATCAGGTATTTTCTGATCATGTGTCTAACCCTAGTCATGTGCCTTTAACTCCAGGTTTCCTGATATACTTGGTAGCCCTTCAAATCCCATATTGCCCCAAGAATCTTTCTCCTTAGCGTCCTCCTTTCCAAACTTTTAAGTCTATCTCTCTTGCCTTTTCTGTGCCTTGTCTCAGGTGGTTCTAGGTAATATATGTTTTTAAATGTTTTCCACAGATACCTCACAGAAAGCCACTCTAGGCTGAGGGGGATGAAACGAAGGTCAGCCTCTATGCTGGTTTCCCAGGTAACTGCCATACCGGTTAAGATGTACTACCACAATTATTAAAGAACAGGGTCTGTATTGCCTTCCATCTGCAGCAAACCAAACTAGAAATGCAGGCTGCCATCCACATGGCCAATGCTGAGATGGGGACTGGGGGATGACAGGTGGGTAAGCAAAAGTGCTACATGCTTTCTCACTGAACTTAACAACTTGTTTCTTCATTAAGCGTGCCCATAGTGGCTATAAGCTTTTGATTAGATTTCAGAGTTCCAAAAGAATTAATTCTATCAATTTTTGCCAGTTTAGTGGTTGCTTCTACGGAGGAACCAATTCTTAGAGTTCCTTACTCTTCCATTTCTGTGGTATCATTCTATCTCTCCCAGGTTTAAAAAAAATTTAAAAACACTTTTTATTAAGGAAAAATTTAAGCATATACAAAAGTAAGGAGGTTGTTTTAATGAACATCCATGAACTCATCAACCATGTGAAAAATTACCAACTCATGGCCAATCTTATTTCATCGATACCACCAACCATCGTCAAAGACTTACTAAGTGTTGTGCTCAGAGTGCCTCATGCATTATCTTATTTTCACATTACTTCTACGAGATGGATATTAATATCCCCATTTTACAGATGAGAAAATGAAAACTGAGGGATTTAGTAATTTTCCCAAGGTCACACACAACTTCCTGGGATCAGATTCTGAACTTGTACCTATCTGGGATCTGAATCATGGCTTAAGCTGATTCTCCAATCACTTTTTCTCAGAAGCTCATTTGATGCTGACAGCAACCTGAATGTGGTGGACATGACTAATGTTCATTCAAATTTGCTTCTTATTTTCCAAGTGGAGATGGAATTATGATTCCTCAACTCCTTGAAATTAGACAGGGTTCTGTGGCAAGTTCTGGCCAAGGCAATGTAGGCAGAATTGACTTGTATCAGTACTGGGCTGAAGCATTTCATTGCTGGTGCTTCACTTCCAACCCTCTCTTTGCCTGCTGCAGAGAACTCTTTAACCTCATCTTGAGATGCTAGTTATAGGTGATGGGTTGGGGTTGGGGCTGGGGAGCCTCTATCACCTTGGGTACCTTAAAGATGATTACTACAGGAGAGCACAGCCTTTTGCTGATGATTGTACATGCAGTATGTATAAGAAATAAACCTTTGTTGTGGCAAACCACAGAGGTGTTGGGCTTGTCTGTTACCGCAACATAATATAGCCTATCCTGACTAGTAAAATAGTGCAATCATCCTTGTTTTATAGATAAGGAAACTGAGCCACAGGAACTTGCCCACTGTCATATAAATCACCCAGTTTTAGAACTAGAGATGGAATGTGTGCATGTGTCTTTATAGTACAATGATTTATAATCCTTTGGGTATATACCCAGTAATGAGATTGCTGGGTCAAATGGTATTTCTGGTTCTAGATCCTTGAGGACACACCACACTGTCATCCACAATGGCTGAACTAATTTACACTCCCACCAACAGTGTAAAAGCATTCCTATTTCTCCACAGCCTCGCCAGCATCTGTTGTTTCTGAATGGCAGGATTTTTGTCTGGTAGAAGACAAGAAGGCATAAGAGCAGCAGAATGTTTTAGGATGGTCAAGCTTGTGGCCCTGCAGAGGGCAAATTAGGGAGAGGGGAAGAGGAAGACCAGTTAGAAAGCAGTTGCAATAATGCAAGCAGGAGCTGCCACAGGCCTAGACCAGCAAGGACAGTGGGTGTGGCAGGGAAGGACAGTGGTGAGAGACCTGGTAAGGGAAGAGCTGTGCAGTGGTCATGGTTGTACCACTCCTGTTAGCATGGTCTCAAGTCACCTTGTGTTGACTAATCCAATTTCATCCTTCTGGTCCAGTCAGCCCAGGCCTTGCCCGAGTCCTTTGTGTCTTGTCTGTGGCCTCCAGACTAGCTGGTAGGCTGGAGGGAGGGACAGGCTGTTAGCAGCTGGCTGAATGCTGATGGATACATGTTCCCAGTCATTCCTTTCAATCTCAACCCTGTCTGTCACCATCTCTTCTCCCTAAGAGTGCAGAAAGCAAAGCTGCTCTGGGACCATCCCAAATGCCAAGGTCAGGGGGTGGTGGCCGATGCCACGCTGGGAACTGGCTCTTCAATTTTAAAGTGAAGCCACTGGCTTCAGACGTGCTGGTCTTGGGCACCTCTAGGGTCACCCTCCTGCTTCCCTGGAATCAGACCTGCCAGGTCCCTTTTACCAAGTCAGCTGAAAAGTTTCTAATCTCTTTGCAAAGTGTCAAGTATCTTCCAGCACCTTGAAAGGTGATTTTCTAAAAGCAGATCAAACAGTTTTGACATTTGCTACGGAGCCATTTAAAGTTCTACTACAGGCTCACCGTTGGCCACGGCAGCTCAACTGGCCGCAGATAAAGGTTGAAGCAGCACGTCTCTCCACAGACATGAGGAGCCGGCTCGTGGGAGCCGCATCCCGGAGAGAAACACAGTCCACAAAAGTTAATCTGCTGCTTTGTCTTGGCCGACAATTTATTCTTTCATGAAAGCCAGCCCATAATCCCCAATTGAATTCTGCACACACATTTTTTTAATTTGCTGGAATTTGCAAAAACACATCAGTGGCTCTGCAGCCTTTGGATTTTCATGTTTAGCAAAAATAATCCCACGACATCGCCTTCAAAGCGCTCTCTGCATCAGGCTTTTTCCCGGCTCGATCTTGCCTTCTAACAAGGGAGCTGAACAGTGAGGGGCACTGAGGTCGGGGTTGCTGTCTGCTGTGCTATCCGCTGCCAGCCAGGACCATACAGGACCAGGGTCACTAACTTAGTTGTCTTCAAGGTCAGTCAAATAAAGTAAGTGGGCGGAGTGAGCTGGGTAAATAATAAGGAGTGGTGGAGACTGTGGCAAACTGAAAATTGCATACCCTTTCAAAATGGGGCAGCTGGCCTCAGCAATGGATAACTGTCGCTGGGTGGGAATGTGGGCTCAGTACTTTCAGAGCTTCCCATCTTCCAAAAGAAGCAAGACATTTGGCATTTAAAAAATATGAAATTGCTTCATTTTTAAATGTTGATCCAAATTCTCTTAAAACACTCTGCAGGCCAAACCAAAGATGTCTGTTGGCCCAATCTGGCTTGCAGAGCTGCGGGTTTATAACCTCTGATCAAAGGGCAGAGACATGAGTGGGGAGGTTAGACTCACCTCCTACCTTTCTTCCTTTTTCTTCTTTCCTTTTTCTTCCTTTCTCTCTCTCTCTTTCTTTGTTCATTCTTTCTTTTCTTTTCGACAGGGTCTTGCTCTTTTTGCCCAGGCTGAAGCACAGTGACACAATCATAGGTCACTGCAGCCTCAAACTCTTGAGCTCAAGCAATCCTCCTTTGGCCTCCCAAAGTGCTGGGATTACAGGTGTGAGTCACCTTTTTTCTTTAACCTGAGAGGTCATGCATCCAGTTCAATGGCCTCATTTTACAGATGGGGAAACTGAGGCCAATCACTCAGATAACTCACTGATCTTTCTCCTACTGCCTCTTATGTAAGACTTAAGGCATGTTGTCACTTAAAATGTGAGACTTAAAAATGTCGCTCCCCAGGATGTGAGACTTAAGGTGTAATAACCCCCAGAAATCTCATTTTAATAACAGATACAAACCTTTACAACTCAAAGGAATACCTCTCTTCAACGGTGACACTTTAGACAATGTGACAGGAGAGTTGGGTAAGGGCTTTTCAAAAGTTCCTGCAATGCTAGGTGGGTGTCCTCTCTGCCCCAGGTAGTTCCTGGAGTAGTTCTCCCTACCCCAGCAATATCTAGGATGGGTTCCTGTCCTCCCACCAAACTGCTGGGGCACAAATTGGTTCCCATGAGAGACTGGACCCCTGGAACTCTGGGGCTCCTGTTTGGAGTTTCTTTTTTTTGAGACAGGGTCCCCCTCTGTCACCCAGGCTGGAGTGCAGTGTTGCAATCACAACTCATTGCAGCTTCGACCTCCTGGGCTCAAGCGATCCTCTTGTCTCAGCCTCAGGAGTAGCTAGGACTACAGGGAAGTGCTGCCACGCCTGGCTAGATTTTTAATTTTTATTTTGTAGACATGGAGTCTCCCCATGTTGTCCAGGCTGGTGGAGTTTCTGCACCTGCAGATCTGCCATAAAATTCTCAAGATGGCTCTGGTCTGGCTGCTGCCTAACATGGAAGGGGGTACCTTCCTGAGAGTTCAGCAAAATAAATCCAAGCTGCAAAGATTCTTCCAGGACCTGCTTTGAGATTGGCTAGAGCAGAAGCAGTTAGCTACAAGGAGAGGGTGGCATTCTCATCTTTTCTGCCCTGCTGGCCTGGAAACCCGTGGCTGGTCAGTGAGCCCTCCCTCCTGCCCCAGGCTCCCACCCATGTCCTCATCCTGCTCCACACCTCCTCTTGTGCAGTCTGTCAGAGCTCTGACCACCAAATTAGCCCTTCGTGATTTTATTTGGCTTTTATTGGCTCAAGCTGTATGTTGGAGATGGAGCCAGATGTGAGGCCGGAGGACGACTTGAAAGGCCAGGTAATTAGCAGCATCTGCCTCTGCCTTCTTATCTTGACAGGCAGACACACAGAGCAGTGACCTGGGAGCCGGGAGGCAGCTGCTTTCTTGACATAAAACGAGGCAAAGGCCAAAGGGGAACTGCACTTGGCCTGGAATGGCAGCATGTGTGTGTGTACGTGTATGTGTGTGTGTGCGTGCACGTGTGTGTGTGTGCCTGCAACCACATGTTAGTGTGAGTGCATTGAAGATCATCCCCTCCACCCATTGTTTTCTTGCTCCAGACTCTGAAGAACTGTCTGCCAACTTCTAACCACCTGGGGTGGAATTATTATTTTTCAATGGAGAAATCATTTACATACAGTGAAATGCATAGATCTTAAGTATATGGTTTGCTGTGTTTTCACAAGTGAGTAAAATTCATGTAACACATGGTCCAATGAAGACATGAAACATTTTCCTTGCCCCTAGAAAGTTCTTTTTCTTTGTATTTATTTATTTCTTTTTGAGACAGGGCCTCTCTTTGTTGCCTAGCCTGGAGTGCAATGGTGTGGTTATAGCTCACTGCAGCCTCTAACTGCTGGGCTCAAGTGATCTTCCTGCCTCAGCCTCCCAAGTAGCTGGAACTACATGCCCCACTGCACCAAGCTAATTATTTTTTTGTAGAGATGGAGATTTGTTATGTTGCTCGGCTGGTTTTGAATTCACCACCTCAAACAGTCTTCTCGCCTTGACCTCCCCAAGTGTGGGGATTACAGAAGTGAGCTACCATACCTGGCCCCTAGAAAGTTCTTTATGGTTCTTCCCAGTGACTCCTCCCCTCTCCCTCACACAGGCAACCATATTCAGTTCCAATTTCTATTGCCAAAAATGAATTTTTGCCCGTTCTTAGATATCATGTAAATGGAACCATAGAATACAATCATAGACTTGCAGTCTTCTTGTGTCTGGCTTCTTTTGCTCAACCTAATGTTTTGGAGATTCATCCAAGTTGTTACATGTATTAGGAATTCATCCTTTTCACTGCTGAGTAGTATTTCACTGTATGAGTGGATCACAATTTATTTATCCATTCTCTGGTTGATGGATATTCGGATATTCATTTTTTTTGCTGTTTTGAATAAAGCAGTATATCAGTTTTTTATGGCTGTGTCACTAATTACCATAACCATAATGGCTTAAAACACCACAGATGTATTACCTCACTGTTTCTCTGGGTTAGGTGTCCAGGCATGGATGGGTTGGGTCCGGTGCCAGGGGTCTCACCGGGCTTAAATCAAGGTGTCAGCCAGTGCTGTGATCTCATCTGAGGCTCGGGGTCCTCTGCTAAGTTCACAGCACTGTTGGTGGAATTCAGTTTCTCGTGGTGGTTGGACCGAGGCCTTGAGCTCCTAGAGGTCACCTTGCCTTCCACATGGCCTTCTCCACAGCATGCCAGTTTTCTTCTTCAGGGCCAACAGGAGTACGTCTGCTGTGGCATCACATCTCTCTGACTTCTTCCATCTCGGATCTCTAGACCGTCTTTTAAAGGGTGCACCTGATTAGGTCAGGCCCACTGAGGGTGATACGGTTTGGATGTGCATCCCCTCCAGATCTTTAAAAAATTTTTTTTGTGGGTATATAGTAGGTGTATACATTTATAGAGTACATTAGATGTTTTGATACAGGCATGTAATGTCACTACTACTCAGCAGTGAAAAGGAATGAATTCCTAATACATGTAACAACTTGGATGAATCTCCAAAACATTAGGTTGAGCAAAAGAAGCCAGACACAAGAAGACTGCAAGTCTATGATTACATTCTATGGTTCCATTTACATGATATCTAAGAACGGGCAAAAATTCATTTTTGGCAATAGAAATTGGAACTGAATATGGTTGCCTGTATGAGGGAGAGGGGAGGAGTCACTGGGAAGAACCATGAAGAACTTTCTAGGGGCCAGGCTTGGTAGCTCACTTCTGTAATCCCCACACTTGGGGAGGTCAAGGCGAGAGGACTGTTTGAGGCTGTGAATTCAAAACCAGCCTGAGCAACATAACAAATCTCCATCTCTACAAAAAAATAATTAGCTTGGTGCAGTGGGGCATGTAGTTCCAGCTACTTGGGAGGCTGAGGCAGGAAGATCACTTGAGCCCAGCAGTTAGAGGCTGCAGTGAGCTATAACCACACCATTGCACTCCAGGCTAGGCAACAAAGAGAGGCCCTGTCTCAAAAAGAAATAAATAAATACAAAGAAAAATAATCCCATTATGGAAGATGGAGTATCCATCCCTTGAAGCATTTGTCCTTTGTGTTACAAACAATCCTATTATACTATTTTAGTTATTTTAAATATACAATTAAATTATTATTGACTATAGTCACCCTGTTGTGCTATCAAATACTAGGTCTTATTCATTCATTCTAACTATTATTTTGTACCCCTTATCCCCTCCAAATCCTATGTTGAAACGTGACCTCCAATGTTAGAGGTGGGTGTAGGGAGAGGTGTTTGGGTCATGGGGGTAGATCACTTATGAATGGCTCACCATGGTAATGAGTGAGTTCTTGCTCTGGTATTTCCTGTGAGAGTTTGTTGCCTAAAAGAATATGGCACCTCCCCCTCTCTCCTACTCCCACTTTTGCCATAAGATGTGCTTGCTCCCCCATTGTCTTCCACCATGGTTGGAAGCTTTCCGAGGCCTTCATCAGAAGCTGAGCAGATGTTGGTGCTATGCTTGTACAGCCTGTAGAACCATGAACCAAAATAAACCTCTTTTCTTTATAAATTACCCAGTCTCAGGTATTCCTTTAGAGTAACGCAAATGGACTAACATACAAGATAACCTCCCTTTTGATTAACGTCAACCGATTAGGGTCCTTAATTACATCTGCATACGTTCTTGACCTTTGTCATATGATTAACCTAGTTACAAGAATAACATCCTATTCTATTCACATTCAGGGTGTGCACTCCAGGGATGACAGTCTTGGGGGCTACCTTAGAATTCTGTCTGTCACAAGTAACTATGAATATTCTGGAGCTTATCATTGAAGTATGCACTTTTAAAAAATAAGAGCATTTCTGGCCAGGTACAGTGGCTCATGACTGTACTTCCAACACTGTGGGAGGCTGGGTGGGAGGATCACTTGAAGCTAAGAGTTCAAGGCCAGCCTGGGCAACACAGCAAGAGCCCTGTCTCTACAAAAAAATAAACAATTAGCTGGACATGGTGGCATGCACCTGTAGTCCCAGCTACTCAGGAGGCTGAGGTGGGAGGCTGCAGTGAGCTATGATCATGCCAGTGGCTGACAGAGTGAGACCCTATCTCTTAAAAAAAAAAAAAGAGCATTTCTTATTAACCCAAAATAACATGATCCCACTTAACAAGGTAAACACTTATTTCTAAATATCATCTTATACCTGGCCCATATTTAAGTTTTCTTGCCAGGCAAGGTGGCTGATGCTTGTAATCCCAGCTCTTTGGGAGGCCAAGGCTGGAGGATCACTTGAGCCCAGGAGTTCAAGACCAGCCTGGGCAACATAGTGAGACCTCGCCTCTACAAAAAAAAATTAACCAGGTATAGTGGTACTCACCTGTAGTCTCAGCTACTTGGGAGGCTGAGGTAGGAGGATCACTTGAGCCTGGGAGTTCAAGGCTGCAGTGAGGCATGATTGCACCACTGCACTCCAGCCTAGGTGACAGAGGGAGATGCTGTCTCAAACATCTAGTCCCCAATGCAACAGTATTAAGAGGTGGGGCCTTTGGGAGGTGATTAGGTCATGAGAGTTCCATCTTCATAAATGAGGTTAGTGCCCTTAGACCAGAGGCCTGAGGGAGCCTGTGAGTCCCTTTTTGCCCTTTCATCATGAGGACTCGGCAAGAAGTTGCCATCTATGAGGAATAGGCCCTCACTGGGAACCAAATCTGCTGGTGCCTTTATCTTGGACTTTCCAGCCTCCAGAACTATGAGCAATAAATTACGTTGTTAGTAAATTACCAGTCTTGGATATTTTGTTACAGCAGCCAGAATAGACTAAGACATGGTCTTAATACATCAATTGATAATTCTTGCCTGAATCAGTGATTCCATTAGAGATCAGGGTGGAATTTTGACCTGGCATTCCCACTCTGTGGAACTATGGTTTGGTCTGAAATATGCTTTTGGTCTCTGAGGGCCTGATCTCCCTCCAAGTTGGACCATCTGGCTTAGACCCACCATCACCAGGCCCAGGGGCAGAGGTGGCCTGAGATGGGAAGGGGTTGGGAGACCTGGTGACTGGTACCTGCTTCTGAAAGGCAGCCACCTTGGTGTGTCTATGCCCCTCTCTCTATCCAATGCCCCTGAGGGCCTGGGCTCTGTCTGTGTGGGGTTGTATCTTCCTGCAGCAGAGCTCTGCCTGTCTGTTGGATTAGACTCTCCTAAAGCCTGTCTTGTTCCCTGGGGCCCGATCACAATGAACCAGCCATGCAGAGCTGCATCTGGAGATACAGTCATGTAATGCTGGCATCACCAACCACTGGTAAGGTGCCCATCAGATAACAAACATCAGGACACTTAGGAAAGTTTGGGTGGGGTGCACATACTCCCTCCACCCTGGACTCCCTCCTGGAAAATGGCTCAGCAGCTGGGTTCTGACTCCAGGCCAGTTGCCCCCGCCCCACGGGCAGAGAAATCTGCCTTTAATTTAGCAGTTCTATTTCTTTCTCCCTGGAAAGTCTTTGTGGTAACAATTAAGGAACTCTTTTATCCCCTCCTGGTTGAGGAGTGAGGAATTTGGGGATGGCATAGGAAAGCCTCCTTTCCTTGCTAATTCCCAAGACACAGCAACTTTTTCTTGGAAAGGGCATCTGGCAGAAGCCTCTGGGAGAGTCCCGATTGGTGATTTGGTGGTTTACATCTATGGAGGGCTGTAGATGTACCAGGCACCACACCGGGCACATCGCATGGATTACCTTACAGCATCTTCACAACCATCCCTCAAAGAAGGAAGGTCCCAAGCTCACCAGATCCATCCTAGTAGCATGTTAATACCATCTCCCAAGTCCTGGGCATTAAGTCTGACCGTGGGTGTTAAATCTGACCATGGGACAGTGCTCTCAAATCAGTACACTCTCTCTCATCGAGCTTTATAGTCTGCTCCCCATCTAACCCCCTTAACTCAGACACCTCGGGATCCAATTCCATGTATATTATCTGGTTCCTGCCACTACAGATTGATGAGACCCCACAGCTCCCTCAGGGGATGGAATTCTCCATCACACAGCAGGCCCAGCACCATGACCAGCTTGTGACTTGACCCCAGTTATCAGGCTGGTGGCCAGGAGAAGAGGTAGGGGTAATTCCTAAGGGGGTATGTGCTGTTTTACAAGGTAGAGAACTCTGCACCACTTTCAAGCAAAGGGAGCGTTAGCTTTTAAAAGGGAGGAGAGGAGTCATTTCTGCAGCGTCAGAGGGTTCAGGAGGATCAAGGATTTCAAGATTCCCAAGTGTCAGTGTCCTACTCCTTCCGTCCTTCCGAATCAGGGTGCTAATTTCGGCATAGGCAGATTTGCTGGGTTTGTAAAATTCAACTCTCTCTGGAGCAGTGCTATTTTTATAATTATGTCTTGAGCTCCATTCTGAGGTTTTTATGCCTTCTTGCTGCAGAAGACAAGAGTCTTGTATTTCAACCTTACATTGAAGATTAATCACCTCCAGCCTCTGTCTTTATTTTTATAGGGAGAGGGTCTCTCTACGTTCCCAGGCTGGTCTTGAACTTCTGACCTCAAGTGATTCTACTGCCTTGGCCTCCCAAAGTCCTGGGATTACAGTCATGAGCCACCATGCCTGGCCCTCTTTGTCTTCCTCTACAGCACTGATAGCCCTGAACAATGGCTATCTGTAGTATGTCTCAAATGCCTGAACTACCGTATCAGCCAGTGCATTCTTTCCCACCCTTCTCCTATGCTAGTTCACCCCTGGTGAACATTTGAGCAAATGCACCACTTTTGCATGCAAGGTGCTTTCTGTATTCTAGCTACCACCAGTAATGGGGTCCTCATTCTCAACTGGCCAGTAGGGTGATCCAGTTCTAAAATCCCAATTTAGAGTCACTGCCCTCAGACCACCTCTGTTACAGGTGAGTTTCCAGAGAATCCAATTTTGAGACAGATTTGCATGCAGGTGGTTTAGTGGGGGACCAATACCTGTCAGAGGCTGTGGGCAGCAGGGCTGGATGAGGAGAAACTGAGCAACAGTACAGTCTCATTAGAGGTCTTAGCTGATTCTGTGGGGAGTGTGGGGGCAGGAGAACCCTCCTGAATTGTGTTGGAGACCAAGGATCTGGGTCTTTATACTCTTGCACTGACCTGTCATTGGACATGAGTTCCCCAGGGAAGGAGTGTGATATGGTTTGGCTGTGTCCCCAGCCAAATCTCATCTTGAATTGTAGCTCCCATAATTCCCACATGTTGTGGGAGGGATGCAGTGTGAGGTAATTGAATCATGGGGGCAGTTCCCAACATGCTGTTCTCTTGGTAGTGAGTAAGTCTCATGAGATCTGATGGTTTTATAAGGAGAAACCCCTTTTGCTTGGCTCTCATTTCTCTGTTGCCTGCTGCCATGTAAGACTTGCCTTTCACCTTCCGCCATGATTGTGAGGCCTCCCCAGCCACTCGGAACTCTGAGTCCATTAACCTCTTTTTCTTTATAAATCACCCAGTCTCTGTTATGTCTTTATTAGCAGAGGGAGAACAGATTAATACAGTGTGTCACCTTGGGCAAGGCAACTCGTTTTGAGTGAAGGCCAATCTCAGAGAGGAACTCAGGGATGAGCCATTAGCAGCTAACACCCCTGAAAGACAGGAAAATGAGCACCTCAGTCCTGAAGGGGGAACTGGGCAGCTCCTAACAGTATCCACTACAGAGAAGTAAGTTTTTTCCAATTTTCCTCCTACTATAACAATACTGTAATGAACATCTCTGCACATCTCTCTCCTTGTGTAAATGTTTGAGCAATGATTCCCTGCTTTGCACATCACATAATGTAGACAGAATATGAGGATTTGTGTATAACACACAGGAGTAAACAGGCAAGAGTGTGGAACCCGGGCATGAGCTGCTTGTGTGGGCAGCTGGCAGGGGTTCACACTGCTCCAGGTATTTTCTTTCCCCCGTTGTTGCCTCATGGCCTGAGAGGATCAATATCTTCATTCTACACAAAAGGGTCTGAGCTCTCTACTCCGGGTTTGGATGCATCTGGAAGAGGAATTCCTGGATGTAAGGCATGCACACTGTCATCTTTATGAGGTATTAACATTTTATCTATAAAACTAGAAGATGCCCTTTTACATCTTTCAGGTTTAGTATTGCTGTCAACTCGATAGGTGTGAAATAGTGTCTTATTGCTTAATTTTCCCTTTCTCTGTTTACCCATGTCATCGGGCATCTTTTCACAAGTCTATTGGCCATCTGCTTCCCCCTTCTGAGACTTGCTTGCTCATTTCCATTGCCCTTTTTGCTGATGAGTTGTTCATCTTTTCCTTATTGATTTGTGGGACTCATTGCTCTGCTCCCTGGGGCTGTCTCTGTCAATTCAATGCCCCTGCTGCTATGGTCACTGCCTCCCCCTACCCATATACCAAATAGAGTCTTTGATTCTCTCCATCTTTATGTCTGGGGAGGTACACCTGGTTGCCTGAGAGAGTTAAAGCCACACACTTTCCCCTGAGCTGCATGGGAGCCTGAGAATATGAGCACCTGGCACTTCAGCTTCCTTCATTGGAGGTGGGCTCAGCTTCTCAACAAGTTTCATAAGGTGAAGAATTGCTCAGAAGGACATCCAATTTGGGAAAGTCTGCCTCAAAAATGGATAAATATCTATCCCAGTGTTAGCAGATCTTTACTTCACAAGGTTAGTGAGAGCTTAAAGAAAATAGAATATGCAAAAGTACCCAGCAGGTGCTCGTAGAATAGCCCATCATCTTCCTTTGCAGCTTTGCTGGGACAAATGTCCATTATGGGAATGGCAAATTAAGTGGACTCACACATTATAGGCATTGAACTAATGCAAACTCCACACTCTCTCAACTGTGTGCTTACAGGTTGTGGGAGAGGAAAATAACAGTTTGTCTGGACAGTTGGTTTTATCTGACCAGTGCACAGCTACCTGGGAGTGAATGGGAGGAAACGGGGTTCTGTTTTTGCTGTGCCTTCAGGCAAGCTCAGTTCCTCCCTCCCCCGTGCCTCTCCCACTTCCCTGATTGATTCTAGTTTTTAAAGACAGGCATTTTCATACACCCCAGCCTCTCAACAGTAGTCAAGCCCATCACTTGGGGTTCAACCAACAACACAGTGATCTATGGCAAGACTGGAGGAAAACCTCCTGGCTGGACTCATTATGAGCCTGAGCTATCCTATACTTTGTTTGAGATTTAGGAGATTTTCAAGGATAATCTTTGATTTGATGCAGTTTTCTTTTCATGCCAGGACTTTAGAATCTACCCTCTGCAGAAGAGGCAATTCCCGACAGAAGACAGTGGTCTCATTTCAAATGCTGTGTGTAATTGAGTGACTATGATGGTCTGGAGAATGGCAGGAAAGAGGGTGGTGATTGAAGGCAGTGTCTGCCAGGAGGGCAGGAATGGGCATATGTGCATTGGTGCTGGGTATGAGATGGAGCAGGACCCCTCTTAGGTCTTTATGACCTGTATCTTGTGCCGACCTCCCATCTCATCCTGTGACTTAGAATGCATTAACTGTCTGGGAATGTAACCCAGTGGGTTTCAGCCTTATTTTACCCACCTCCTATTCAAAATGGAGTTGCTCTTGTTCTAAGGCCTCTGACAACCCTAACTCCTCAGGGAGATGGATTTGTGGTTTCCTCCCATCTCCTCATTTGGTGGCCCTACAATTAAACCTCCTTCTCTACTGTCGTGGAGAAGAAGAGCCTAGGAAGACATGATCACTAAATATGACGTGGTGTCCCAATGTCCAGGAAGAGGGCATCAAGTCCAAGCTAAGGAAATATGAATAAGCAACAGACTTTAGTTAATAATAACAATGGATGGATATTGGTTCATTCACTGTAACAAATGTTCCATACTAATGTAAGACATCAGTAACAGGGGAAACTGTGTGTAGGGGGTATATGGAAACTCTTTGTACTATATGCTCAATCTTTCTGTAAATCTAAAACTGTTCTAAAAAATAGAGTGCATTTCATTCTCATTATAAAAAACAAATCAAACCAACAAAAACCTCTTTCTCTGCTGCATCCCAATGTCTTGGTGTATTGACTTGCTGTGCACATTGGACAAAGGGCTTATTATGGTTATACCCTCTGTTAGCTCAAGGTTAATTCTCGAGTGTACTCCTGGACATAAATGTGTGGTCTCTTGTGAGTTTGAGCAATGCAGAAATTTCCAGAGCCTGGAGACTCAGTCCGGGTCAAGTCCTGCTAAGCTAAGAGCTGACAAGCAGCCGGAGAGCTTACCCCGGGCTGTATACACTGCTTCGGGGCTGCCAACTGCTGGGCACTCCCCTATCGATCTGGAATCCTGGAGCATCTTTGCTGCAAAGGTCTGCAGAGAATGTATGGTATAACAAGGGAAATATTTAGGCCAGGCATGGTGGCTCACACCTGTAATTCCAACACTTTGGGAGGCCGAGGTGGAAGAATCACTTGAGTCCAGGAATGGGAGAGCAGCCTGGGCAACATATTGAGACCTCATCTCTACAAAAAGTCACAAAATCAACCAGGTATAGTGGCACATGCCTGTAGTCCCAGCTACTAGGGAGGCTGAGGCAGAAGGATCACTTGAATCTGGGAGGTCAAGGCTGCAGCAAGTTATGATCGCACCACCGCACTCCAGCCTGGGTGACAGAGCCAAATCCTGTCACTAATATATATATATATATATATATATATATATATATATATATATATGACATATTAGTGTATAATATATATACACTAAATATATATATATTTAAAAATATATTTATGATGATGATAATGATGATGTACATTTGGTCCTTGTCCCTGGTTCCTGGCACCGAGCCCCTAAAACCCCTGGAATTTCTTCAGTGATGGCAGTCTTTTGTTACTACAGTGAGCCCCTTTCAACCATGTCAGAGTTTATGCTAGTGAAGTGACTCAGGGTGGGGCCCCTAGATAACCTCAGGATGGGGCTGGTCACCAAAAAGACCAAACACAGGATTAGAAGGTTGGGACTTTCAGCCACACCCCTGACCTCGGGCAAGGAAAGGGGCTAGACATTGGATTATAAATAAACTCTTGAACAAAAACATTTGCAGCGCTTCGGATTGTTGACCACACTGATGTGCTGGAAGGGTGGCACACCCCAGGAGGACACGGAAGCTCCAGGCCATCCTGCCCCAGAACCTTACTTCAGGCACATCTTCCATTAGGCTGTTGCTGAGTTTTATCCTTTATAACGAACCAGTAATAGTGAGTAAAAGGCTTTTGTGAGTTCTGTGAATCAATCTAGGAAATTATTGAACTTGAGAAGGCGGTCGTGGGAATCCTTGAGTTTGTAATTGCCTGGGCAAAAGTGTGGGTCACCTGGGGACCCCATTTGTGCCTAGCATCTGAAGTAGGGGGAAGTGCTGTGGGACTGAGCACTAAACCTGTGGAGTCTGACACCAACTCTGAGCCATTAGTGTCAGAATTAAATTGAATTGTTAGAAATCCAGTTGGTGTTGGAGAGTTGGAGAACCAGTGTCAGGAAATACCACTGGGCTGGGCACGGGGGCTCATGCCTGTAATCTCAAGACTTTGGGAGGCCGAGGTGGGCAGATCGCTTGAGTCTAGGAGTTCAAGATCAGCCTGGGCAACACAGCAAGACACCCTATCTTTACAAAAAAGAAGGGAGAAAGAAAGGAAGGAAGAAAGAAAGAAAATACCACATACAGTTCCTCAATGGATATCTGTTGAATGAACAGAGAACACTAGCTAACATAAATTAGGCACAATGTCCTGAGTGGTATGCTAAATACTTTCTATGCACTAATTTAGAAACTACTTTTTGAGTTAGTACTATGTCATGTGCCTGGCTTGGTGCTTGGTACAGCTGTGAACAATGAAGCCAATTCAGCACATCTGTTTTAGCGCCTAACTGCGTGCCATGCACTGTTCTAGGTCCTGGAGATATAGCTGTGAGCAACTTAAGTTTACCTAACAAATATTTATTGAGTTCCTACTATGTGTCAGACACCATTCCAGGCCTGCAGAATACAGCAATGACCACAAGTCAAATCCCCACCCTGTGTGCATTTTTCAGGAGTCCTAGGAGCGAAGTCATTTTGCACTTAAGGAAATTGAGGACTGGGCGCGGTGGCTCACGCCTGTAATCCCAGCACTTTGGGAGGCCGAGTTAGGAGAACCTCAAACCCAGGTGTTCAAGATCAGCCTGAGCAACATAGTGAGACCCCCATCTTTATAAAAAAAAAAAAAAAAGTTAGCATAGTGGCATGCATCTGTAGTACCAGCTATTTGGGAGGCTGAGGCTGGAGGATTGCTTGAGCCCTGGAATTTGAGGCTGCAGTGAACCACGATTTTGCCACCGCACTCCATCCTTGGTGACAGAGCCAGATTTTGTCTCTAAAAACAAAAGCAAACAAACAAACAAATTGAGGCTCAGAGAGGTTAATTGTCTTTCACAAAGTCACACAGCCAGGGTAGTAAGGCTAGACCTAACCCCTGCCCAACTGACACCACTGCTTGTGTTCTCACTCTCTGGCCTAGGCTCTTTGTGTGTGTGTGTGTGTGTGTGTGTGTGTGTGTGTGTGTGTGTGAGACAGGGTCTCACTCTGCCACCCAGGCTGGAGTGTAGTAGCCTGATCACAGCTCACTGCAGCCTCGACCTCCTGGGCTCAAGCAATCCTCCCCCCTCAGCCTCCTGAGTAGCTGGGACTACAGGCTTATGCCACCACACCCAGCTAACCAGGCTGAGTCTTAATGTTGGAGTGAGTCCTGTGGTCCACCAGGCTGGGCAATTTAGGGGCTCCTAAGTCACCCACACAAGCCTCCCTCTTCCAGGCCCCCCAGCCCTACTCCCTCTTCTCTGGTACACAGAATGCCTAATGAGACTGGCACTGTTCCCGAGTGACACCCCCGAGTGCCGTAATGTGTTTTTGTGTGCAAAACCCTGTGTTCAGCAAATTGCTGTGACCAAGACCCTATCCAGTTACCTGACGCATCAGAGGTATGTTCTGTGGGGCTGCCAAGCAAAGCAGAGAATAATACTTCTAAGAATTTTAACCATTAGATAGAAAAAGCGTGGTCCTGGCAGCCCCTGGCAGGCACTGCCGAGTGGGAACCAGATACAAAGCAAACAAGAAGGGCGAGTGGCACGTGTGGCCTGTTGTCCTTGCCGGTGGGTCAGCCGCCCTGGCCCCACAGTTGCATTGTCAAAGCCACCAGTCACCTGACTTTTGTTGCTGGCTGGCTGGAGACCGTGGCCCTGGGTTTTCCATACATCAGCTTGGAACTCTGAGCTGAGATCAGCTTCCTGGAGGGGTGGGTTCAGTTTGGACAACTGCTGAGCAGAGGGGTATTGGCTCTGATGCCACGCTGAGAGCTTCTGTGGCTGTCCCTCATCTCAGTGGCCTGTGAACTTCAGGCAGGTGACTCATCCTCACTGGAACTTACTCGGGATGGCAATCAGAATATCTCCTTCATTTGGGAGGATTAGAGAAGTGAGTGAGTTCAGAGAAGCAAAAAAGAACCGAGTCTGGCTCACTCCTGAGACTCTGCTGCTGCTAGCTGTTACCTGAAAGTCAGGCATTCATGCAACAAATATCCATGAAGCACTGCCTAGGTGCCCTGCCAAGTGTGCACAATGGTAAGTAGAACAGATTTAGTCCCTGCCTTCATGGTGCTTACGGTCCAATGAGGGTGATGGGCAGCTAAGGAGTCCTATCAACAAATATGACATTGGAATGGGGTCCAGTGTTGGGGAGAGAGTCCTAAGGTGTCTATGATGGGAGGTTTTGCTGGGTAGGGAAGTTGGGAGAAGTCACTCTGGGGGACTTTGGGGGTGCTCTAGACTTCAAAAATGAGGACATTCTCAAGAAGCAATGGCAATACAACGGAGCAAAGAAACACTTTTCAACAAATGGTTCTGGAACAACTGGACATTCACTTGCTAAAAAATGAATCTAGACACGGAGTTTATACCCCTCACAAAAATTAACTCAAAATGGATCACAGGCCTAAAAGTAAAATATAAAACTATAAAACTCCTAGGAGATAACAAGAGAAAATCTGATGACCTTGGGTTTGGCAATGACTTTACAGATACAGCACCAGAAGTGCAATCCATGAAGGAAAGACTTGATAAGCTGAGCTTCATTAAGATGAAATACTTCTGCTATGGGAAAGACAATGTCAAAATAATGAGAAAACAAGCCATGGACTGGGAGAAAATATTTGCAAAAGATACATCTGATAAAGAACTGTTATCCAAAATATGCAAATAACTCTTTAAAAAATCAACAATAAGAAAACAAGCCAATTAAAAAGTGGGCCAAGGACTTTAACAGACTCCTCACTAAGGAAGATACACAGATGGAAACCAGCATATGAAGAGATGCTCCACATCATATGTCATCCAGAAAATGCAAATTAAAACAACAACGAGACACCACCACGTGCCTGTTAGAATGGCCAAAATCCAGAACACCGACATCACCAAATGCTGATGAGGAGGTGGAGCAACAGGAACTCTCACTCATTGCTAGTGGGAACACACAATGGCACAGCCACTTTGAGAGGCGGTATGACATGTTTTTTTGTTTGTTTGTTTTTACAAAAACTAAACATACTCTTATCATACAATCCAAAAATTGCACTCCTTGGTATTTATCCAAAGGTGCTGAATATTTACGTCTGCATAAAAACCTGCACATGGAAGTTATAGCCATTTACTTGTCAAAATGTGGCAATTGGAAGACAACAATCTTCCCATGTCTTTCAGTAGGTGAATGGATAAACTGTGGTGCCTCCAGACAACGGAGTATTATTCAGTGTTTAAAAAATGATCTATCAAGCCATGAAAAGACAAGGAGGAAACTTAAGTGCATATTCCTAAATGAAAGAAGCCAATCTGAAAAGGCCACAACTGTGTGATTCCAATGATATGACATTCTGAAAAAAGGCAAAACTATGGAAATCAGAAGAGCAGGGGTTGCCAGGGGTTAGGAGGAAGGGATGAATAGGTGAAGCACACAGGATTTTTAGGACAGTAAAACTACTCTCTATGATCCTGTAATGGTGGATACATGTCATTATAAATTTGCCCAAACTCATAGAATGCACAACACCGAGTGAACCTTAAACTACGGACTTTAAGTGATAATGATGTACTCATGTAGGTTCATCAGTTGCAGCAAATGTACCACTCTGGTGGGGGATGTCGACAATCAGGGAGGCTTGGGAGGGAAATTTCTGTGCCTTCCACTCAAGGTAGCTGTGAACTGAAAACTGTTGTAAAAAATAAAGTCTATTAAATTAAAAAACAATGAGGATATTATGAGGGTAAAGAAAGGGACAAGTTTTCTAGGTAGAGGGAACAGCATGGGTGAAGGCCTAGTGGCAAGAGGAAGCCTAATGACTCCAAGGACTTGGAATGAGTTCAGTATGGCTGACTGCAGAGGGACAGGGAACTTGGAGATGATGCTGGAGAGGCAGGTGGGTAGGGGCTGAGTCTTGTGCACTTTGTAGGCCAAGTTCAGCAGTTTTGCCTTTCACCTAAGAGCAGTAGGAAGCATAAAAATGCTTTAGCCAGGTGATGACTTGATTTGATTGGTGTTTTAGTAAAGATCAGTCTGGCTGCTATCTGGAAAATAGAGCATAAGGGCCAGGAGGGGAAGCCCAGAAGCCAGCGAGGGAAGATGGTGGCTTGGACCCAGATGTGGTGATGGTGGGTGGGTTTGAAAGGCAGCAGGGCTTACTGCTATGTTAGATGTGGCTGGGCTGCAAGGGTTGGGGGAGGGGCTCAGAAATGAATGTCATTGTCCCTGGGTTCCTGTGGAGAACCAGCAGGGCCTGCCCAAGTCACACTCAGTTCCCAGGCAGGTGAAGCTGCATCTGATTATCTGCCCCTAAGAAGCTTCCAAAGGCCAAGAAAGCCTGAGCTAGCCACAGCCCTTCCCTTGTTCCCCACGCTTACCAGCCTCTCTCCAGGTGCTCATGAAGGTAAAGTGAAGCCTCTGGAGGACAGACCTGCTGCCTTCCCTCCCCTGGTGCTGGGAGGAGCTTGGGGCTCTGACCCTCTCTCCTCCTCACTCAGGGCAGGCCCCTTTGATGGCAGCGGCAGCCTGTCTGGAGTGGCTCCTGCAAAGATGCTAGCTGCAGTGGGAGAAGTGTGGCTGGGGCTGCATGTCCCATGAGAATAGGCAGAAACCCCACCCACTTCTGAGAGGGCGCGGTGGGAGCCCCACCCTCATGGGCACAGCTGCAGCTACCCAGCTAGCTGCAGCCACAGACCTGGTCATATCTGCACTCTCAGGGACCTGGGAAGCCCCTTGCCCCTGCAGACTCGGAAATTTCTGTTCCTGCTGTCTGGCCTCTCTCCACTCCCAGTACCCACTCTGATCTCAGAGCAAAGTAGAGGCCAAGCCTGGGTGCTATTGCAACCCGACTGGGTGTGTAGACGCTCAGGGCAGTGCTGACATGCCAGCCCCCTGCCACCTTGGCCCCTTCTAGGGGCCAAGCATGGGAGGGAGGCTGAGGGGGTTGACAAGCATGGGAGGGAGGCTGAGGGGGCGCTGAGGGGGCACTGAGGGCAGTTTGGCACTGGCTGAGGGAGGGAGGTTGACAAGCATGGGAGGGAGGCTGAGGGGGCACTGAGGGCAGTTTGGCACTGGCCTGCAGGCGCCCCTCAGCAGGAACAGCCTGGGAGCCATGAATAGAGGCAGGAGGCAGACAGGCCGCAGAAAGGGACAGGTCCCTGGTGAAGGCCCATCTTCAAGCTAGGGATGGCCTGAAGCCTGGGGGCCCAGGCTGCCAGTTCTGTGGATGGGAGTGGGAACTTACAGTACTTTTCCCAGGCCTATTCGTGGTTACCCATGGATCAATCAGCATGGACTTCCTCCCCTCCGAAGCTCATAAAAGCCCCAGACTCAGCCAGACTCAGACATCAGGACGACCTGCCTGGGAAGAGGAGCTAGCCACTATGGGTCTTCTCTCAGCTGAGGGCTGAGCAGAAGTTGGGCCAACCTGCCTGCAGAGAGGAGCTACTCACTGTGGGTCTCCTGAGAGCTGTACTGTAGCTCAATAAAGCACCTCTTCACCTTGCTTACTCTTCACTTGTCTGCATACCTCATTCTTCTTGGATGTGGGACAAGAACTTGGAACACACTGAAAGAGCTGTAACCCAAATGGGGTTGAAACACGCCCTTTGTTTGCCAAATTGTGGTAATAATGAGAAGGAGAGAAGAGAGAAGGAGAGAAGAGTTGCAGCCCTTTGGGGTGCCCAGACCTAGGAGCTTCCTGAGCCAGAGCTGTGACACTCACTTTGGGGCTTGGCAGTCCCTGGCATCTCCAAGCTTCTGGGCACCACCATGTTCCCCAGCACCAGCAGTATAAGCTGCTTGTCATAGGCCTGGTTCAGCCACGGCCTTGCAGGGAGCTGCCAGCTGTTTGGTGCCTGGAGTTGGCCTCTCTGCCGCAGCTGGCATGCATGGCTGTGTGCAGTAGCTGGACCCCACACCCACTCGCATACCCCTCACCACTCTGCACCTGGCTCATTCTTGGCAGATGTGGGATCCAGGATGGTAGTGCAAGCTAAGTGCAACCTGCCAGGCTGAGTGGGCAGAACAAGCCCAACAGGCCCAAGCAAGACTTGGGCAACTGCATTGCTGGCCACAGAAGTTTCTGGCCAGAAAAGTGACACCCCAAGAATCCCATGACACCTCCAGAGCTGAAGCCAGTCCTGATGTCTTCCATGGTTTAGTGCAGTGGCTACAGAGCTGGTTTTGGTGTCAGACATACCTAGGTTTGGGTCCAGATTCTGCCAGTTACAATTATCTGTGGGACTTTGGGGCAAATTCTCAACCTTTCTGTACTTGTTTTCTTATCTGTATTAAGCGGGGGGGGGGGGGGGGGGGTGGGGGGGTGGGGGGAAGTGGGCACTTAACTTGCAAATTATCATGAGGATTTCAATGAGTTATTCCATATAAAACACTAGGGAAAATGCTGGGCACATAGTAGGTGCTTAAATATTAGATATTTTTAAAATTTTTATTTTAAAATTGTAAGTGGACAAATTACAGTTGTATGTATTTATGGAGTAAAAAGTGATATGATTTGTGAATACAGTGTGGGATAATTTAACCTACTTAACATGTCTCTCAC
This sequence comes from Homo sapiens, assembly GCF_000001405.40. Lineage (NCBI taxonomy): Eukaryota > Metazoa > Chordata > Mammalia > Primates > Hominidae > Homo > Homo sapiens. The sequence continues at coordinate 50,443,113 of NC_000016.10, forward strand.
TGCAAATACTTATTTTTTGTGGTGAGAGCATTTGAAAATCTTAGCAATTTTTGAAATGCACAATATGTCATTATTTAGTATATTTGCCACTCTGTGCAGTATATCTCAATATATTTCAAAGTAAAAACCAAAAAACAAAACATATTCCTCCTGTCTGACTGATGCTTTGTAACTCTGACCATCCTTTCCCTCAGCCTCTACTAAAGACCATTCTACTCTTTGCTTCTTTGAGTCTTTTTATTGTTTTAGAGTCCACAAAGAAGTGAGAACATGCGGTATCTGTCTCAGTGTCTAGCTTATTTTACTTAGCTTAATACTGTCTGATTCCATCCACGTTGTTGCAAGTGACAATATTTCTGTCTGTTTTTAAGGCCAAATAGTATTTTATTGTGTATATATACCATATTTTCTTTATCCATAAATGTCTCTCAAAAGAAGGTGTACAAATGGCCAACAGATATATGAAAAAATGCTTAACATCACTAAGCATTAGGGAAATGCAAAGTAAAGCACAAGGAGATATGACCATACCTGTTAGAATGGCAATTATTAAGAAGACAAGTGTTGATGAAGACGTGGAGAAAGGGAACTCTTGTGTACTGTTGGTGGGAATGTAAATTAGAACAGCCATCATGGAAAACTGCATGGAGGGTCCTCAAAGAGCTAAAAATAGAATTACTATAGGATCCAGCAATCCCACTTCTGGGTATTTACCCAAAAGATTTGAAACCAGCATGTCAAAGAGATGTCTGCACTCCCGTGTTCACTGCAGCACTATTCACAATAGCCTGCAATGATATGAAATCAATCTAAGTGTTTATGAGCAGATGAATGCATATTAGATATTACCATTAAAAATAACCAGAAAATGGGAATAATGATCACAGGGCTGTTGAGAAGACTACACGTATAATGTGACCATCACAATGCCCAAAATGTCTTTGTTGTTGATTTTACAACAGGCTAGATTGAAAACCACATCAGAATCCAATGAGGATCTTTTAAGTCAGTTCTAGAGACCCATACAATGAAATGTGAAAGAGCCATTAAAAAGTTGTTGTAGGAGGATATTTAATGAAAGGTGAACTTGGTTATTCTATGACATGAAGAGAAAAAAATCAGCTAAAAATGTATGTGTAGGGCCAAGCGTTGTGACTCATGCCTGTAATCTCAGCACTTGGGGAAGCTGAGGTGGGAGGATCACTTGAGGCCAGGAGTTTAAGACCAGCCTAGGCAGCATAGCAAGACCCTGCCTTTACAAATTAAAAAAAATAAATTAGCCAGGTGTGGTGGTGCATACCTGTAATGCCCCCTTCCCAGGAGGCTGAGGCAGGAGGATTGCTTGAGCACAGGAATTTGAGGCTGTAATGAGCTGTGATTGCAGCACTGCACTCCAGCCTGGGTGACAGAGAGAGAGTCTCTAAAAAATAAAACAATAAAACAGAAAACATGGCCTCAAATCCTTTGACCTTCTTCCCATGATCTCAACCCTTGAATCTGGACAGGCATGTGACTGCTTTGACCAACAGCTGCGGCAGAAATGACACAATGTAGCTTCCAAAACTAGGTCATAAAAGGCCATGGAATTTCCCTTCACTTGCTCAACCTCCATTCTTGGAGCCTGAGCCTTAAGGTAAGAAGTGCAACTACCCTGAGGCTGCCATACTGTGAGGAACCCTAAGCCACATGGAGAAGCCATGCATAGGCACTTGGGGCAACAGCCTCAGCAGAGTCAGCCCAGTTCATGAGCCAGACATATGAATGAAGAAGCTTCTAGAAGATTCTAGTCTCCAGCTGTTTGAGTCTTTCTAGCTGAGGCTTCAGACATCACAGGAGCACAGATAAGCCATCCCTTACGTGCCCTATTCAAGTTTCTGAAGCACAGAATCTGTGAGCATGATTAAATGGTTATTCTCTCCCAGCAAATTTGGGGTGGTTTGTGATATAGTGCTAGATAACGGGAATGGGAGATTTTAGGATTTTTTATTCTTTTAACTCTACATTTCTGAAACTTTACTTTTTTATGGTGAGTGTATGTTTTTATGACTAAGAAAATATTTATAAGGAAATATTTATTGAGTGAATAAAGAAAGAAAAAAATGAATGAATGAAAATGGGAGAGAGGAAGAGTGGGAGAAAGAAAAGAGGGAGGAAGCTGTTTTGTGGGAAGGCCCCGACTCCAACCCTCTCAGGAATTACTGACTTCAGATAAGTCTCCCTTGAACCTTTCTTTCCTCCATGTCCCATTCCTTGAGCCACTTTGTCCTCAGGCCATGACCAAAAGGCAGAGCATTCAATGACTCTGAGTGAGATAGAGCTGGGTTTCAGTCTGATGGCTCCACCTCTTCCTGCCTGTATGTCTTTGTACAACTCACTCACCCTCTCTGAGTGCATGTCAGAAAGTGGGGTGCACACAAACACTTGGACATGTGGGAGAAGCCTGATTCAAACCTAGAGCTGGCTGACTTTTGACAGAGCAGCCCCTCTTTATCCATTAAGGGGGTCCAGGACACTGCCTCGAGGGACATTGGGAGAGGGGGCTACCCTCAGCCAGCCACGTCCTGGGAGCCCTCTGTGTGGGCTGCCACTGGGCCAAGGTGCCAGGCACAGAGGGGGAAGGCTGGGGCCCAGGCAGAGGCCGGGGCTGCTCCAGCCCCTCCAGGAAGCCGAGCGATCCCTCCTGTAAACCTTTCACCCCTGCACGCTCTGAATGAAGCCATTCAGAGGAAGAAACCTGACCGGCGCATGTTTTATGCATGGTCCGGCTGTGCCAGCAGCAGCGGGTCTCCCAGGGTGGTATTATTTTTAGCTGGAGCATGTGAGGGGGCTGGGGACTTGAAAGAAGCAGGCTGGTCACCCACCTGTCCACCCTCTTCACCCAAGGACCCCCATCTTTGCTGGGTGACCATGGGCAGTGTTAGTGCGGTCTGTGCCCAGCACTGGGGGCTCTGCCCACAGAGCCAGGCTTTGGTTGGGGGGGGTCTTGTAGCCCCAGGCTGTCTGTTTTGCAGCCAATGAAAGCAGCTGGTCACCTCCACACCTGCATGCCCTTCCACCCCCAACAGGGGCTCGCTCCCTCACTTTCACAGGTGTTGACTCAGGGTAAGGCTAAACCCTTGGGAGGGGAACAGGCACGTTTCTGAGACTGTGTGAGAGGATGTCACCTTTGTCAGCCTTTCAAAAATCCTCTGTGGCTGCAACACGTAATCTGGCTGCTGGAGGTGGCTGGTTTTCAGCACTCCCAGTTTCTTCCTGGACAGCGGCCCGGGCGGGTAGAGTGTCCGCTTCAGGGGAGAGTGTCAGGGAGTCCTGGGTCATTAACATCTTTCACTGTCAAGTTTCCACCCTGTTTCCTGGTCTTCCTGCCTTGCTTTCCACCAAGTTTCCACGGCAATGTGGCTAGCATTTATTGAGCACCTACTGTGTGCCTGGTGTTTTCACACATCATCGCTGTCCACCTGCACCTTTGCCTTTTGGATGAGTACTGCTGTGGACCACATTTTTCCTAAGGGGAAACCAAGGCTCAGAGAGAGAGAGTGACTTACTTGGGGCGACACAGCAAGTTATGGCAGAGCTGGACTCAGACCCAACCCTGCCTGACCCAAGGAACACAGTGCACTTTGAGGTCTCTGACCTGGTAACATCTTTAGGTTAAGAGCCCAAACTCACAGCTTGGGGGTGTCTTCTCCTTGCTGTGTTCTCTCCTTTTAATGAATCATCAGAAACTTTAAAATATAGGCATGAGGATCTGTGCAGATCATATTTTTCAGTTGGAGAAACTAGATGGAGGCAACAGAGGCCCAGAGAGAAGAGGACACTTCCTCAAGGTCACTTGGTGCCCCAGGGCTGACCCAGAACTCAGGCTCCTTCTGTTTCTGCACAGGACTCCCCAGCTGCCTCACCTCCCTGGGCCTCCCTCTGCCCACCTGCCAACTGGAGCAGTCACTCAGCTTGGCTCCCAGGCCATTGCGGACAGGAAGGGGCTTGGGGAGTGGACAGGCCTGCGTTCCCGACACTAGCCATGGGAACCCTCTCTCCTGCTTGGCCCACGCTCACCACACACTCTGAGCCTGGTCAGCTCATGACCCCTAAGGCAGCTGCCTGTCTCCCTGCATTTGAAATGTCTAGGTTGTGGAGGGTCTAGCCAAGAGCGCTTGCTGAGTTGTTACTGCGTGGATGAATGGTAAATGCTACGCAGGTAACCGACGACCTTAGCCATCAGAAAACTCTCCAGGTCTTTCTTTATTTTCTTTTTGGAACAGAGTCTTACTCTGTTGCCCAGGCTGGAGTGCAGTGGTGTGATCTCAGCTCACTGCAACTGCTTCCCGGGTTCAAGTGATTCTCCTGTCTCAGCCACCCGAGTAGCTGGCATTACAGGTGAGCACCGCCACGCCTGGCTAATTTTTGTATTTTCAGTAGAGACAGGGTTTCACTATGTTGGCCAGGCTGGTCTCAAACTCCTGACCTCAAGTGATTCACCCGCCTCGGCCTCTCTAGGTGCTGGGATTACAGGTGTGAACCACCGCGCCTGGCTGGGTCTTTCAATTAGAGAGAATTCAGTGGAGGGAACTGATTATACAAGAGACATGAGGGCTGAGAAGCCAAGCAGAGAAAGGTAAAACAGCCCAGAGGTTAGCAACTGTGGGAAATTGCTACTACCAGGAGGCTGGAAGGAGAGAGAGGAGGTGGAGTTGTGAGAGCTTGAGAGCTAGGGCTGTGCAGCAGGAGGCTGAATTTGAAGGTTGGTGGGGGCTCTCTGCTGGGAGCTGAGAGCTGACACAGTGGTGTTGGGGACACCACAGGAAACACAGTGAGGGGAGAAACACTTTAGCTTTTCTCTCCCCTCGCTCTCCACAGTGCTGCCCATTGGCCAAACCAACCCAGAAACCAGGTGGCCAAGAAGTCCAGGGAACGTCACTCCTGGATACAGAGCAGAGCGTAAGGGCAGAGATAAGACCCGATATCAAACGGGCAGGTGACTGGCACAGGAAATTCACATCACTAAGGAGGATCCAGCACTAAGGGTGGTAACAGCAATCACTGATTAATGGCATCACTCGGGGCTTTCCCTGCAGTGGTGCCCTTGCACCCGGGAGAACTCGCTTACCGGTGAGGAAGTGAAGGCACAGTGCTGTCTGCATGGTCACTTAGCGGGGAGGGGAGAAGCGGCTGTCACCCTGCCTCCTGCTCTGGACTCCGCTGTCCCTTTCAGGCTGCAGATGCCCTCCAAGGCTGGTCTCCACTGGTCCTTAGGAGCATAGGCTCTGGGTTGAGTGATGCCTCCCTCTGACAGCACCGCACATGGAGTGTGGAGTTCTCAATAAAGGGTAGTTATTAACACGTCCATGGCCCCATCTTACGGCTGAGAAAATTGAGGTGCCAGCAGTTATGGGACACCCCCTCGCCCCCGCCAGGTTTCCTAGCTAGCTGGTGGCAGTGCTGGGAGCTTGAATCCATCACTTCTGGCTCCAAAGCGATTACTCTTAACTTCTGGGGCCCCTGCCCAAGCCAGGATACACCCTGGCACTCCTTCTTGTGGCCACTGTTGGGATCCACACCCAGGCCCCTCTCTGGCTCATTAACTCTGCCAGGACGGCTGGGCTGCCTGGGCTCAGGCGTGACCCACACGCCCAATTAGAGGGATTCAAAACGCCATTTACTTATCAATGACCTAAGCTCATTTGATTATGAAGGATGGAGCCCAAACTGTTCTCTGAAGCCACTGTCGTCCCTCAGCTGTGCCAAATCCTCCCTTGATCTGCTAATCCTGAGTTTATAAGGTTAGGAGATAAGCAGGCGGAACGCAATTCTTTTCTTTTTTGGTCCACCTAAGTGGCCATGAAACCCCTAACCATCATAGACCTCTCGGGCCCCTGTGGCCTCCCTGTCTGAATAATTCAGACGGTGTGTGAAGGAAGCCCCCACAGTCCTGGTACGCACAGGCCATCTGGGGCAGGCACTCCCCACCGATCAGCCTGGCTCTTCCTTCTCCTGCTCTTCCTTTTTTTCCCTCCTCTTTCTTGTACTGGCCTTTTTATGCTCACCTCAGGCTTGGGAAAGCCAGGCAGCCAGCCCAGCCGGTGACCCCGCCGAACCGTGGGGACCTGCTCCTCCTTGCGCCCCCTTTTGTCCCAGGCACAAATAGATCCCTCCGCCTCAAGCCCCATTGCGTGATATTCACCATGAAGAGGTGATAGACCCTGTCCCTAAGACATTTCCATTCTAGTGGGGGACAAGACTTCAGCCACTTGAGCCCAAACCATACTTAGGGTGTTCCTGTGGAGAAAGACCCCAGGTGTTTACAACACAATGCTCGCTGAAAGAGCTGAGAGACTCCTCAGCCGGACAATGGGGGTGTCAATCCCAGCTTTCACCAGCTGTGTGACATTAGGCAACCAGTTAGCCTCTCTGAACCTCTGTTTCTTCATTAATAAAATGGGGATAATGAAGGTACCTGTCATCACTAATTTAATTCTCACAATAAGAAGCAAATGGGGACACCTACAGCCTGGTACAGAATAAACCCTTAATAAAGGACATTGGTGATGACTTTTGTTCTCTATAACTACGAGGACAGCTTATACCACACAGCATTTCCCACACGCCCATTCTGCAGTGGATCTGTGGCTGCTGTCTGTCCTCACAGATCTCAGACACGAATTGGGAGGACCCTACCATGTTTCTCATGCCAATGATGGGAGAGAGATCCCGGGAAAAGGGATTGAGATCCATATGGTGGGTGGTCTCAGGGAGACATTGCCACGTGCTCTTGCAAACAGCTCTGGCTGTCACTCAAGCTACAGACTGACGAGGGCTACAGGGGAGAGCTCAGCAGGTCAGAAGAGGCCCGGGCCACTTTGAAGAGAAACAGTCTCATGGTTCAGCCCGAGCCTGACAGGTTGGAGAGCTGGGCCTGGAAGGCAGGTGGCCTGACCTATTTAACATGGAATTCATGCTTTAGATGCAAGAGGCTTTCAAGGGTAAAAGCTGGACCCAGGGGAGAAGAGAGAGGCTGAAGCAACATGGCCTGCTTGCCTTCCGCTGGGGGGTGGCAGAGAGGGGGTGAGGACAGGAGCACTGCTTTGGAGTCTGGAGGCTGCTTCTATCCTCATTCTACTTCCTACCAGCTCTCAGTCCTTGGCCGATTTGCCTCACCTGGATGAGCCCCCCTTGGCCTGGCGCCTGCCTCTCTGTTTTTCAACTTTGAGTTCCTTTGAGCTGAGATAGGTTTATTCATCTCCGTATAACCCACATGTCAGTAGAGATCACCCCATTTTTAAGAGGTTCATGAAATAGACATAAACTCTGTGTTCACATCTTGGGGTACAGGTGACTAGTGACCAAGCCAACCTGAGATTTCTGCCGATGTCTGTGTTCACGCCTTCACAGTCACTTTTAGCTCTGCCTGCTGCTCCCCTCCAGCCATCATCTCTCCTCCATGACTGCTTCTTTTCTCCACTCTGTACTGGCTCCGAAGTGGACCCACACTCTTTCCCCACATCTCCGTCAAACACCACTTGCACAAGTGATTCCGTTGCATGGTGGACCCTGGTGATGGTTCGCAGTTTCGGGAAGAAGATTATGCTACAGATGTGGACATGTTAGAATCAGTATGAGTCACCTCCTCTGGAAGAGCCCCTGAGCCCTTGCCCCATAGAAGTTCTTCACTCAATACCTTTCCATGTGGGCTCCTGCCATGCCAGCTCACTGATTTCTCCAGCTCACCTCACCTTCCTGCTAAACCCTTCTGCAGAGGGATGGAGTTTATCATTACCTTCAAACATGCCTTCAGGGCCCCACCAAATCATTTTTCTGAATAAATATTGTCTTTACTTATTTATTTTTTTTAGAGACAGGGTCTCACTCTGTCTCCCAGACTGAAGTGCAGTGGTGCCATCATAGCTCACTGCAGCCTTGAACTCCTGGACTCGAGCGATCCTCCCGCTTCAGCCTCTGGTGTAGCTGGGACTACAGGTGCACATCACAATGACCAGCTAATTTTAAAATGTTTTGTAGAGACAGGGTCTCACTATGTTGCCCAGGCTAGTCTCAAATTCTGGGCATCAAGTGATCCACCTGCCTCGGCCTTCCAAAGTGCTAGGATTATAGGCATGAGCCACCATGCCCCTCCTGCAAATGTTTCTCTCTAAATGGGACTTTGGAGCCAACTGTTAAATAGCTTAAAACAAAACAAAACCCCTTTGCTACATCTGCATGCCAGTACATTACCTTCTCTGAGTCTGTTTACCATCATTTGTAAAATGAGGGTCACCATCTCTGCCTTCCCATCCAACAAGCCTGTTTTGCGGGGGAGGTCAAAACAGAATAATGCAGGAGGAAGCAATAGGGCCACACACATGTTGGAGTCCTCATTCTAATAAATATTCCAGGATGATACAAATGGCGCTGTCAAACTTTGCAAGAACTTTGGTCTCTTCTGTTTGGATCTCCAAGTAGGAGGTTTTTGACCTTGCTAACAAAAGAGCTCCTTGCTCTCCCCACCGCTGAGGTCTGCCAATTGCAGGAAGGATTGCGTGGAAAGTCTGTTAGAGAAAGAGAAGAGATGTCTGCCTCCTCTCATTCAAGGCCTCTGTGGGGTGGGGGTCTGCTTTATTCTTCTTTTACCATACGTAAATCTTCCTCTTGGCTTCCCTCACAGCTTGATAGATGATTGGTTCTTGCTTTCAACATCAATAGCAAGGCATATATTTTTTTACTTATACGCAATTCTGTGTCTAAGTTCTCAGGCACCAGGAGAAAACGATATAGTTCTCCTGCAGGAGGTAGACTGTGTAAATATATATTAGTTTGGGGAGAAGAAATGAGGAATGATAAAATATTCAGAAAGCGGTCTGTTCTTGAGGGATGTTATTCTGCACAGCCAGGGAGCAGATTAATGACACCGTTTGCAAGGAAGGGAGAACGGCCCCATAAAATATGTATTAGTGGAGTTGGTGGTGGGATGGGCGGGAGTGCCTGGGGTTGGCCATGCGGGTCCATCTCAGAAGTTGGCACCCACCCTTGGTCTCCCTCATCAGGGGTCCCAACAGCTAGCTCAAGGGCCCTGGAGGGTGAAAGCTCCAAGGTGGGGTGTGCTGACCATACTAGCCAGACATAGGGGACTGAGTGGGTTCTTTGGCAGGAGTACTAGGTGGAAAGTCAGGAGGTCTATCCCTGTCTCTAACCTGCTGTGTGGCCTTCGGTTAGTCACTTACCCTCTCTGAGTCTTTGTTTCTTCTACCATCAAATGGAGACTAGATGATGATGATGATTTTTTGTTGTTGTTGTTGTTATTGTTGTTGTTGTTGTTTTGAGACAGAGTCTTGCTGTGTCTCCCAGGCTGGAGCACAGTGGTGAGATCGTAGCTCACTGCAGCCTCAACTTCCAGGGCTCAAGCGATCCTCCCACCTCAGCCTCCTGAGTAGCTAGGACCACAGCTGTGTGCCACCATGCCTGGCTAATTATTTTTTATTTCTCTAGAGGTGGGGTCTTACTATATTGCCCAGACTGGTTTTGAACTTCTGGGCTTAAGCAAACCTCTCACCTCAGCTTCCCAAAGTGGTGGGATAACAGGCATGAGCCATATCATGCCTGGCCTAGGTGATTCTTAAGAGGGCTTGTGTAAGTGATGGGTTGGGTAGCAGGGTCATTGGAAATGAAGCAAGATGGGAAGAGTTGTGTTTGCTGGGCCTCACCATCGGGGGTGTACTGGAAGAACACTTCCGTGGTTCTGGAAGAAACTCTTTGATAAGTCAGTTGGAGGTAGGGGTAAGACCCCAAGGAGCATGCATGAGTAACAAAGGATGGTCCCCAAGTTGTCTTCTAAGTTAGATGGTGCTGTTAACTTTAGACTGTTGTTTGGCTGAATGCAGGATGTGAGTTTGGGGCGAGAGCTGAATTGCTTGGAGAAGCAGCAGAAGAAGAAAGGCTGAGGGCAGTGAGCACAGGGTTTGGCTTTTCGAAGTTGGGAGTGAATAGATCTTTACATTCTATGAGCCTCCTGAGGGACCTGCACATCTTGGTCCAGTTCTGATTCCTTAGGTTACTTCTACCTCGAACATTGCAGGATTCTTTGTCTCATCCCTATGCACCCCTAATTCAAGCCTTTCCTCAGGCCTAATGCAACAGAACTTAGTTTTTCTTTTATAGGCAGCTTCATGCTACTCCTTCAGACCTCACACAGCAATATGAACAGTTTTTATAGCACTTACCATGTGCCTAGGCATTGTGCTACAGGTAGGATCTCGTTTCACTCCTAGGACAATGCTAGGAGGTAAATTTTATTATCCTATTTTACAAATGAAGAGGCTGGGGCTCAGAGAAGTCAAAGAACTAGTCCAGGGTAACACAGCAGGTAAGTCAGATACAGAGGCCAAGGCCTTACCCACTTATGATGCTATTTTGTCCCAAGTCTATCTCCTTTTTCCCAGTTAGACTGAAGCTTCTCGGGGCAGGGTCCTAGTTCCACTGGCCCCCATGAGGCAGTGCCCAGGCATGGCCAGCGGGGCTCGGCAGACACTGGTAATCCATGGGCTTAGCCATACTAGGCCTTCCCACCCTCCTCCTGGCAGAGTCCTTGTCAGCGTGTGGGTTTGGGCGAGTCTCGTGGGAGGATCCCCACCTGGGGTCATGGAGGCTCAGACATCTTGGGTTTAGAGGACTCCCCGCCAGGGTCTTCTGGCATTTTCATTGTCAAGGCCTCACTGATGATTGCTTCTTTCTCTTCTTCTTTTGTTTTTTTGAGATGGAGTCTTGGTCTTTTGCCCAGGCTGGGTGCAATGGCGCAATCTCGGCTTACTGCAACCTCCGCTTTCCGCGTTCAAACTATTCTCCTGCCACAGCCTCCTGAGTAGTTGGGATTACAGTCGCGTGCCACCACACCCAGCTAATTTTTGTATTTTTAGTAGAGATGGGGTTTCACCATGTTGGTCAGGCTGGTCCCAAACTCCTGGCCTCAGGTGATTCACCCACCCTCAGCCTTCCAAAGTGCTGGGATTTCAGGCGTGAGCCACTGCACTCGGCCCCAGAATGGCCCACATGGCCTTATCTGTGGTTTCCAGCAGCACCTGGTCAAACCTGAAGACTGGCGTGTGAGCCTCTGCTTTATGATGGAGGTCCCAGTTAGGAGCCCAGTTAGTCAGTCCCCACCTTACAGCTGAGAAACTGTTAAGACTTTATGTCAGGACGAGTGACCTCCCATGCCACAGAAGACGTTATCGACAGAACCGGGAAATGTTATTTGCATGCATATACCTGAAAAGCGTTCCTATCCATACTACTCAACTAACCTACCAAATGTGAAAAAGATGGCAAACAACTCCATGGGAAAGTAAGTGGGCAAAAGTGGGAAGAGGTGGATCCCAGGAGAGGCAGTGTGTAGGGCTGATGAAGGAGGATGGGTACCCGTGGGCACGCCAGGGCTGCTGCCTGGCTGGGTGTCAGCCTGCAGCCAAGGCATGAGGAGATGCTCAATCCACTGGTGATCAGGGCAAGGCATGCCCCAAACACGCTGCGGCACAGCTCCTGTTGAAGGAGGCCCGAATCGCTTAGAGTGTGCCGTAACTTCTGTCTTTTCTTTTTTTTTTTTTCTTTTTCTTTTTTTGAGATGGAGTCTAGCTCTGTCACCCAGGTTGGAATGCAGTGGTGTGATCTTGGCTCACTGCACCCTCCACCTCCCAGGTTCAAGCGATTCTCCTGCCTCAGTCTCCTGAGTACTTGGAACTACAGGCGCATGCCACCATGCCCGGCTAATTTTTTGTATTTTTAGTAGACACAGGGTTTCACTGTGTTAGCCAGGATGGTCTCCATCTCTTGACCTTGTGATCTGCCTGCCTTGGCCTCCCAAAGTGCTGGGATTACAGGCGTGAGCCACTGCGACTGGCCAGGTTCTCTCTTTACAAGGAGCCAGAAGACAGCCTGAGAATGGGGCCATTTCAGCATCCAAAGGTGGACAAGGCTGGGGATCGGTCTTAGCGCTGAGCAGAGGGGGAAAAGACCCCTCCCTCCACCTTGTGGGGATCTTGGGGAGCATGACGAAGCTGGCCCCTACACAGAAAATTTTCTTTGCTCTCTACTTTAGGAAACACTGGCTGCAGTTATTGAGAACAGGAACCCTGTCCCTTTCCCCTTGGGTGTAACAAGTGTGACTGGCACTCAGCTCTGAAGGCTGACCCTTTGGCCCCCTGCTACAACCTCTGTGGCTCTTTCTGGAGGCTTTGTTTGGCTGCTGGGACTTGCATAGCAAAAGTATGGAAGAGCCAACATCCCTGGGATCAGACTTCAACCAATGCCTGACAGCATCCCTACCCCTTGGTGGGACAACTCTCTTACAGTCCCCAGTGAGCCTCAGCCCCAGGGGCCCGCAGCGGTGACCTGCTCGTCCATGCACCCCGACTGGCTCCCTTCCCTCCCCCCATCTCTTGCCTCTTGCCAGTGCTTCCTAGAACCACCTCCCAGATAAACTCCCAGTTTTCAAATCCTTGTCTCAGGATGTGGTTCTGGGGAGCCTGGCCTCAGGCAATAGAGGTAGCAGAACTAAAACAATTATGGGCTGGGCAGTCTGATCTTCACGAGCCACTGCACAGTCTGAGGTGAGAATACTCCATTATACTGCCCTGCCCTGGGGCACCAGCAAATCTGGCCAACTTCTCCCTGGCGCAGGGCCTTCTATTTATTTTTTCAATTTGATTTTCTTGTATTTTTCACACCATAAAACGTAGAACTGTGGCTTGGGTTTCACAGTTTACTAGCTGATTCCATGTGCTTTTGACAGTTCTGATGTGTTTTTGACTGTCGCTATATATATATGTGTGTGTGTGTGTGTGTGTGTGTGTGTGTGTGTGTGTTCCCTTGAAGCTACACTTCCTCATGCTCCCCATTCCCCAGCCCAAGAAGCCTCTGTGAGAGCCAGGGGAGTGGCTCCGAGGAGAGGAGATGAGAAGGCAGAGGAGCTGGGAAGGTCCCCAGGTCTCCTCTCACAAAAACTGGGCTCACCTCCTCCAACCAGAATCTGCAGCCACATCGCGCTACTGTGACAAGGGGATGAGTTTGCTAAGTTGTCACTTGGTGGATGGATACCTGCCAGCAAATTCGACTGTGATTATGACGGAGTCATGTTGCAGCTGTGTAAATTTGGTTTCTGGTGGTTTGTCTGGAAGATGGTCCCAGGAAACGCCAGCAAAGGCATAGGTTGGTGAGATGGGGAAAGGAAGGCAGGCAATACCAGGCATGTTGTCCATCCAGGTGCCCATGTGGACAGCTGGAATGCAATCTTGCTGTGGAATCTGGGAAGCAGTGTGGAAGACATACTTCTGAGTTCTCCCACCTCACCAAGCAGGAGGGATCTGGGGTATTTAGACACAAGTTTGAGGGCTGCTCCCAGGGAGTGTTAATTTTCTAGCAGCTTGGGGCTCTGGCCATCAGAGAAGCCCTCGGGTAGAGAGATGTGGATGTTGGAGGGAGAAAGCCCAGACATCTGGGGAGGATGCCACCAGCACCTGCTCCACTCCTTTCTGGAAGCTCTCCACAGCTCATGCAGTCCTCAGTCTTGACCTTCCAGGCCCTTCACCACTGGTTATCCACCCACGTGCCAGCCTCGCCTCTCACCCCACAAACCATCTTCAGTGTGGGCTCCTCAGGCATCCCTTTCCCTTTCTGGAATCCTAACCTCATCCTCTCCATCTTTCTGAGTCAGCCTTCACTGATCAGCCCTGGTTCCTCTTCCTTTCTCTAGCTCTCGCATCCAGAAGGCTCTGGGAGCTCAGATTCTCAGTAACATCAACTTTGTCCATAACTCGGGCTGGATGCCATTGGTGTTCTCACTCCCAGAACATGACTTGTTTCTTACCCAGCTCTGATTCTCAGTGCCACAACAGAGTCTCACACAGCAGGTGCTCAATAAATGCCTATCATTATTGCTGATGATATGCTGATGGTAGCAAAGATGGCGAGGCCTCCAAAGAGCAGGTGATGGGTCTTGCACCTTAGCTAACTGCTCTGTTTCTTTTTCTTTTTTAAATTTTCATTTGTTTGGATTTAAACAAATGATCTCACTCTGTTGCCTAAGCTGGAGAGCAGTGGCGCAATCACAGGTCACTGCAAGCCTTGACCTCCTGGGCTCAAGTGATCCTCCCAGCTCAGCCTCCCAGGTAGCTGGGACTACAGGTGTGCACTCCCACACCTGGCTAATTTTTGTATTTTTAGTAGAGATGGGGTATTGCCATGTTGCTCAGGCTGGTCTTGAACTCCTAGGCTCAAGCAAGCTGCCCATCTTGGCCTCCCAAAGTCGGTTTCTTCTTGACAAGTCACTCGGTTTCTCTGAATCTGCTTTCCTGTTTTCACTAAGTGGTTCTTTTTCCTCCTGGGCACCACAGCTAAACCACACTTCCCTGCCTGCCATGTGACTGGCAACAAAATTTGGGCCGAAGGGAATCCCCACCCCAGGCTTGTCCTGGAAAACCATCTCAGGCACGACCCTTTATTGTCCTTTTCTGTGAGACTAAAGACAGAAGGAGCATGGCCCTTGAGTCACCACTGAAGAAAAGCCGCCCCAGGGAGCCCCACCCACAGACACTACCCTTATAGGCTACTGGGTGAACAGGAAATAAACTTTTATTGTTTTAAGCCACTGAAGTTTTAGGATGATTAGAGCATTCTGTCTAATCTGATGAATGTGGAAGTCTTTAAAGTGAGAATATCAACATCGGTGGGCTGTCACCAAGATTAATGACAGAAACTGTTTAAAAGATGCTCAGTGAGTGTTCCTTCTCTTCCTCTCTAGAAAACTATAAGACACTCCAGTCTTTAAGAATGATGTCCACAGCACACTCAGCTTGCTCTGAAACGTAGTGTCTGGGAATGTCGTGCAGCTCTTTAATTCAAAGTAGATCCTTATGGACCATGCAGCAGACTTGGCTGTGAACCATCCATCTCTATAGATGGGGGTGCTGGAATCATCAGAGGCATTCGAACCAGAGCGACTCCATCTTGAATAGAGGCTGGGAGAAAATAAGGCTGAGACCTACTGGGCTGCATTCCCAGGAGGTGAGGCATTCTAAGTCACAGGATGAGATGGGAGGTCGGCACAAGGTACAGGTCACAAAGAACCTTTCTGATAAAACAGGAGGCAGTAAAGAAGCTGGCCAAAACCAAGATGGCCACAAAAGTGACTTCTGGTTTTCCTCACTGCTCACTATACCCTAATTACAATGCATTAGCATGCTAAAAGGCACCCCTACTAGCACCATGACAGTTTACAAATGTCACGGCAATGCCAGGAAGTTGCCCTATATGGTCTAAAAGGGGAAGGAACCCTTAGTTCAGGGAATTGCCCGCCCCTTTCCTGGGAAACTCATGAATAATCCACCCCTTGTTTAGTATGTAATCAAGAAATAACTACAAGTATAATCAGTGAACAGCCCAAGCCACTGCTCTGCCTACGGAGTAGCCATTCTTTGATTCCTTTACTTTCTTAATAAACTTGCATAGACTTTACTTATGGACTTGCCCTGAATTCTTTCTTGTGCGAGGTCCAAGAATCCTCTCTTGGGGTCTGGATCGGGATCCCTTTCCAGTAACAGAATGGTCACTGTGCCTATCTGGATGTTGGTTACTGCATCGGTGACATCTCTGCTCATCTGCCACCTGGCTTGCTCTTTCTCCTGCCTCCAATCTGCGCTCGAGAATGCCAAGGCATAATCATGACATTAACCACAAACAACTTCTTGAGCACTTACTAAGTGTCAGTCATTGCACGGAGCACTACATGCATTTCGTCACTGAATCTTCTCTAAGTGGGTCCTCTTGTTATCTCTATTCTAAAGAGAGACTTAGAGAGGTTTGCCAACTTACACAACACATAAGAGGCAAGGATGGTGGTTGGGCCAGCAGCTGCAGGTAGGCTGGATAATTTGTTTGATAAAAGATGCAGGTGTTCCTTTTTCAACTAGCCAGCCAGGTGCCGACCACATCAACCAGGCTCGACCCTGACATTTTTATCCCTTGGCTTGGGCTGGAGCCCGCTCTCATCTGCCTTTAGGACAAGAAAGCCCCCTCCAGCCCCCTTCAGCATTCATCCTGAAGTCTGGCCACCCTCCCTGTCGCCGTGCCGGTGGCTGGGAGCTTTCATTTGAGTGGAATTTAGCCGAGGACTTTTGTAGCACTTCATTTACATGTATGCCAACAAGCTGAGATGTGCGGCAACCTTGGAACACTTTCAAAGGCGGGAATAATTCCTCTGAAATAGGTCTTCCGAAAGCTTTATCTTGTCCTTTCTCTTTTTGTTAATCTTGGAGCCCCTTAGCATGTCAAAGCAATTTTTCTAATGTCACTTCTCCTAGACATTAGCATGAAAGGGCTTTAAGAGATGATTTGAGAAAGAATAAATGTTGAATGAGCATTTATTATAGAGTCGTTTATGCTACATTTGCATTTTGACTCTATTTCTGCCATGCAGGATGGAGAAGCAGGCTGATTTGAAAGTCAATGGTGTCTAAACAGGCGACGCTACAACACTGTTTACACTCAGCTGTTTCCTCCACGAATTCATTTACAAAAAAAGATTTCATTAGGCTGATTTGTTTGCGGGAATGAGATTAAGCCAAATTTGCGTGCCTTAACACAGAGATGGAATTGACCCAGTCGTCAGGAGGCCGTGGGGCGAAGGCAGGGGAGTCTCATTCTGAGTCCCAATTTCTTTCTGAGCACCTCTAAGGAAATTAATTAATGGTGTCTGCCTCCTTCAGGAAGCTGGCCTGCCGCGTGTGCCATAATGTGCAGTGGTCAAGAGCCCAGCCTGTGAGCAGGGGCTGCTTGGGTTTGGCTCTAGCCTCGGCCACTTCTCTTTGTCTTGCAGTGTTAAATGGTGAATAGATAGAATGTGTCTAGTACAATGCCTGGCACGCAGTAGTCACTTTTAGCTGTTAGTCATATTTTCATTGCTTTTTGGCCTGTGAGACTTAGCCAGGGTTCCAGAGAGATGACCCGGAAGCCCTTGCTTTGGAGCAAGTATAGACTTTTCCATCTTTTCTCCTGGAGCAAGCTCATTCTATGGGTCCCAGACACAGGCAGGTGGATGTAAGTGGGTTCTGGAGCTATGGGTGTCTTAGGGATTGCTTCGGGCTCTGTGTGTATGAAAGAAACGGAGAGAGATCAGCTTCAAAAGCCAGAAGCCTGCGTCCCCAGCCCATGCTCCTCCCAGTCCTGGGTAAACCCACCACTCCATTTCCCTGGAAGTTTCTCTCTGTCTGTCTCCCCATCAGCCGAAAGCTCCTTGAGGGCAGGGATTGGCTCACATGCGTCTTCATTAGCACCTGGCACTGCATGGATGCTCAGGACATCTGTTTTTCATCAAACTTTGGGGCAGTTTTCAAACTTGCTCTTTTAAAGCCAGCACACACATGGGTTCCAGTGCACCCTGAAGCCAGGGCCCAATTTGTGCCAGTTCAGGGGGACTGCACTGGTTGCAGTTGAGGTGGGAGCCTGTTCCCTTGGCAGGCCCTTCCCCCAAGCCTTTTTGGGGCACAGAAACAATTCTCCATAAAACTAGAGCACCCCCTTCATTTCACAGGTGAAGGAAGCTGAGCTTCAGAGAGGGGTTTCCCTTGCCCCTTGGTCACACAGCAAGCCAGTCGGCTGAGCTGGGCCAAGCGTTGGGGCCTACTGAGGCTGGGCCCAGTAGCCCTGGCCACCCAGCCCAGTCCTCTCGAGCCTGTCCCATCTCCGGGCTGTGGGGCTCTGCTTCTCTTGGTCTTGCTGGGTTCTTTCCGGAACTGTCCTTGAAGCCATCCCCAGGTCAGGTGTGCTCCTGGCTCCAGCTACTCAGCTGCCCCGCCTCCCACCCCTTGCTCCTGGTCTCCAGGTCCTGCCCTCTGCCCGCAGCTCTGCCAATTGCTCTCCTGGCCCCAGGGACTGATACTCAGGCCTCAAACAAATCTCTGCCTCCCCTGTCCTGTTTTCCTGATTTTTTTTCAAGCAACAGCAGCTGTACCATTTCTCGAGCTTTCCCTGTGTGCTGGGTGCTGCCCGAGGCTCTTTTCCCGCAGGGCAGACGCCACTGCCCATTCTGTGGATGGCTGCCCGAGGTCAGGTGGCTCAGGCAGCAAAGCTGGAATTTGAACCCAAGTTCAGGCTGACTCTAGGGAGCCCGCTGCTGACATCGGGCCTGGCTGCTTCCACACATGCATCTCCTGCCTTCTGACGATAGGGTCTTCCCTGCCTGCTCCCCTCTCCTGGAGCTTCTGACCTCAGGGCCAGAGATGCTGCTCAGTCTCTCAATTCAGACTCACCGACTTGATTGGACGAGGTGATCATTTCCCCCTCCCATTCCTATTCCCAAGGGCCTGATCCTGAGGCACTGCACACAGTGTGCCTGTGAGGACAACTCAGGGCCAAAGGACAGGTGCCGTTTAATGTCCCACTGAATCAGGCAGAGCAGGATTCAAGTACCAGCTCTGTTACTAATTAGCTGTGGGACTCTGTGCAAGTTACTTAACCTCTCTGAGCCTCGCTCTCCTTCTCCCTCAAAGGAGATAATAATAGTATCTCTCCTCCAGGATTTTTGGGTCGAGTTTGATACTGTGTCAAGTGCCAGGCTTGTGGTACCTAAGTCCTGAAATGATAGCTATTATGACTCCTGTTGCTGTCACATTCCTGAAGACTGGGGCTTTGTTTTCCTTGGGGCATCTGCCATCTCCTCTGCCATGTGAATACCTCACACCTCAGGAGATCAGGTACTGAGATGCACTCCATTAGGCCTGGAGTTGCTGCCTTGACCTCCGTTTTCTCTCCATAGAGTGTGCCTCATAGTCTCAGGAGGGCAGGGTGCTCAGAGTTGGTTCAAAGGAACAGCATATAAATCCCATCCTTGGCCAGGCACGGTGGCTCATGCCTGTAATCCCAGCACTTTGGGAGGTTGAGACAGGCAGATCGCTTGAGGTCAGGAGTTCAAGACTAGCCGGGCCAATATAGCAAAACCCCATCTCTACTAAAAATACAAAAATTAGCCAGGCGTGGCAGCTCAAGTCTCTAATCTCAGCTACTCAGGAAGCTGAGGCATGAGAATCACTTGAACCTGGGAGGTGGAGGTTGCAGTGAGTTGAGATCATGCCACTGCACTCCAGCATGGGCTACAGAGCAAGACTCTGTCTCAAAACGAAACAAACAAACAAAATCCCAGCCTTGTTGACTCTCTCTGTAGTTTGATGTGTTTTCTTTTTTCTTTTTGAGACAGGGTCTCACTCTGTCACCCATGCTGGAGTGCAGTGGTGCAATCTTGGCTCACTGTAGCCTCCACCTCCCAGGCTCATGTGATCCTCCCAGCTCAGCTTCCCAAGTAGCTGGGACTACAGGTGTGCACCCCCATGCCTGGCTAATTTTTGTATTTTTAGTAGGGATGGGGTTTTGCCATGTTGCCCAGGCTGGTCTTGAACTCCTGAGCTCAAATGATCCACCCGCTTCGGCCTCCCAAAGTGCTGGGATTACAGCATGAGCCACCTTGCCTGGCCTGGTATATTTTCCCTATGGTGACTGGGTGTTCTGTGAGCAGCTGAAGCCTTCAGGTCTCCCCTGGCTCAGGGGCTTTCTCTGGGCACCAGGAAATAAAAGAACACTGGACTGGGTGTCAAGACACCTGGATTCAATCCTAGCTGTGTCCCAGCCTCTCTGTAAGCCCTAGGGCAAGTTGCTCTGCATCTGTGGGCCTCAGTTTCCTCTTCTATAAAATCGAAGTTGAATAATCTATCTCTAAATTCCCACTTAGCCCAGCAGGTCTCAGATTCCCTGGTGCCAGGACTGAAATTCACCCCTCCCTGTTACCCGAGTAGCTAAAAATGATTCATCTGCTTCCCAGAGGGGCCAACAGCCCTACCTAGGCTCCCATCCCACATGAGAGCCCCAGCAGTCCTGCAGCAGACCTGCAGCCTGGGGCGAATCCCACTTGTTCTGCAGAGAAAGTGAGAGGGAAAGGTTGCTGATCAGATGCCGCTTTAAAATGTAATCATAAGTTTTGGCTCAGGGAGAGAGAGAGAGAGAGAATGAGAGAGAGAGAGAAACAACAGAAGAGAGAGGGGAAAAAAAACCACTTCAAGGCCAGCTCCCCTCCCTGGCTGGAAACCTGTGCCTGTGAGGATGAAGGGACCAGAGCAGAGACAGAGGCTGGCCTTCTGAAGGAGCGTGTGGTGCCCACTTTGAACGTGTGGCCTTTGTGCCTGCCTATTCAGGGCGGCCTCAGGACAATGGGGGGCAGGCATACAGGGGAGGACAATGACAGGGACATCGCTGCCGCTTTGCATTCCCTTTGAAGTGGCTCTGCCCTGGGCCCCCGCTGGCTCCAAAAAGAATGCTTTTGTTGCCCGCTCCAAAGATGCTGTAAGATGCTGCGGAAAAAGTAACTGGAGGGGATCTGCCCGATTAAAAAAAAATTAAAGATAAGAAACAAATCAAGCTGGCTGCGTGGGGACCAGTGGTAGCTTTGAACCCTGAGAAGAGAAGGGATGCAGTGATCCAACCCTTTCTCTCCCCAGGGGAAGGGACTGGCTTGGGCCAGGGCGGGGGCCACTCTTAATGGGAGCAGAGGCCTGAGGAATGGGAGTCGGGGGTGGAGTGAGGATTCCTAGCCCATTGGGTTGTCCTAGAAGGGCCTGCAAAGCTGGGGCTGGGACTCTGAAAGCCAAAGTCCATTCCAGTCCTGGGGTTTGGGCAGAAAAATGCTGGAGGCAAAATCAAAGTCATAGGTACTATTTACCAAGTTTGCTGTGTGCCAGGCACAGGGCTAATGTCTTGCTTTATTGCCTGTGTGATGACCTTAAAAGTGCCTCACTATTAACCATGTGATGAATATGTGTACACAAGATTACATCCTAGAGATGGACGTTAGCATCTGAACTACTGAAATCAGGAATCCAAATTGTTGGGTTCAGGGCTGAGGGAGCATATTGAACAAGTTGGGCACTAAAAAGTTCCAAGGAGTGCCATTTATACTGTGGTTTTTGTTGTGGTACCTCCTGGAGTTGTGCAGTGTACAACCTGTGCATCTGTACATGGTGCCCCTGCCAGGGATGGTAAAGTAATAAATGAAGGGTTCTCATCAGGAGTCTACACTCTCCAACATTGTTAACAAAGGCAACACCAGGGTTTGTTAATTAGCATGAGGATTGTTAGAAATAGTTTTTTTTTTTTTCACTGGGGACATGAGTGGTATTCAAGATAGGTGTTTGGGTGGTAAGATTGTACAGGCCCCACTGCCTGTGAAAAGTGAGGTGTAGGGTCCTGGGA
The DNA here is from genome assembly GCF_000001405.40 of Homo sapiens. Lineage (NCBI taxonomy): Eukaryota > Metazoa > Chordata > Mammalia > Primates > Hominidae > Homo > Homo sapiens. The sequence goes on from NC_000016.10 coordinate 50,464,383, forward strand.
AGCCCAGCAGTCTCACAGCAGCTCAGCATGGTGTCTGGCTCACTGTAAGTACTCAGTGATGGTCATAACTATCCCCATCCTACTGCGGAGGAGGCTAAGGCTCAGAGAGGTGAAATATTGATCCCGGACACACACAGCTGGTACATGGTGGGACCAGGTTTTTTGATACCCTTGGGCTCTCAAGCCCTGGTCTGTCCTGACTTCGAGAGGGAGCCTTTTTCAGCTGGGCAGTCACTTGGTCAAATTATGACTTTGTGAACCCTCCTCGCAGGCCACATGTGCCAAGGCCACCTGGTGGAGGCACCAGTACCCTGACAATGGGCCCTGGGACATTTTGGACCTATCTGTATACCTAGCAGGACATTTTGGACCTATCCGGAGCGTCTGTGAACCTGTTGGTGGCCGCCACACCTGCGATTGCCTCCAGGGGGCTATTTTCCCGGAAAGTGTTCCAAGGGGTACGGCCAAAGGAGATCTTGGATGGGCTCCACTGGTGGACCTTGGTCCTCAGCCCAGATTCCCTGGGACTCTTTTTTCCATTTCTGAGCACCCCCACCCCGCTTCTGTGTGCTGTCAAGGGCTAGCACCAGCAGCTGGTTTTTGGAGGACTCCCCAGGGTATTGCAACTCGCTTTGTCCACACCGCAGTGGGGTTCACCTTCCTCCACTGGTGCAGGAGTATGAAAGCCCACTCCCTTGCCTCAGGTTGGGACAACTTGAGGTGTAACTGTTCCCTCCTGAGAGTCCCTGCAGGATCAGGTTGAAGCTGCCTCTTGCAGGACTTTGCCTGAGCTCACACCCTCGCGTCCCAGCCTGTTTCTCCCATTGTCTTGCCTGTCTCCCCTGGGCGCACTCCCTGAGCACATCACATGCCCTTGAATCCTCACCCCAGTGCTTCTTCCTGGGGGTTTCAACTGGTCAGTTGCACCCACAGAAAGCCCACGTGGTAGAGAAAGCTCGACATGAAATCAAGCTCCATCTTGCATGGGGACCAAGCATGGTTTTCCCTTGGGGAGTGAGAATGCAGGGTGTGTTTGGAAAAAGTGGTGGGAAGTCATGTGCTCTGCCTCGAGGGATGCCAGGAGGACCGGCTGCCACACCTGGGATGCCTTCCAGGATTCCGTCACAGGTCTGCTGAGGAGACCCCTCCATGTCCCCCAGCTAGTAAGGGACTAAGTCAGGACTCAAACCCAGGTCTTTTTTTCACAAGTCTACGTACAGCTTAAACACGTATCTCTCCCAACCCACCCAACACCCACAACTCATTTACTGTCTGCAGGCCTTATGCTTGGGACTTTTCCAAGCACCTCATTCTTCAGGCTCCTTCCCGCTGCCCCACAGGTGACCACAAGCCAGGAGAGACATGGAACCCGCAAGAAGGACAGAGATTGTGAGCTGGCCGGAAGCAGAGGACAGAGAGGAAGGGAGAGAGGACCTGAGGGCACAAGAAGGGTCATGACCCAGGGGTCCAGTGCTCTTCCTGCCTGTCTGCCAGTATCTCCAGGAATTGAGCCCCTTTCTGATTCACTCCAACCCAGGCTACTCCAGCCTGATGGTCTCCTGGACAGATGCTCTAGCTTCATTCCCCGAGGTTACCCTCTTTAGAGCTCCTGGGGCTTCCAAAAAGACTTCAGTGGCTCTCAAAGCTGAAGCCTGATGATACTTAGCTCTTGGGCATGAGACAGCCAGTAGGTTGGTATGGCAGGTGACTTGCACTCCCACCATCCTGCCTGTGTGTAAAACCCCTGCCCCTAGGCACCTCCTTGCACCTCTAGGGGACATAGCCCAGTACCTAAGCAGCCTACCTAGCCCCAGCTCCCCGCTGGGCAGAGCAAGGGCCTGAGAGGGACCCTTGGCTGCTGGATCCAGGGTGTTCAATGTACCAGGCATTGCAGGGGGAGAAAAGAGAGAGACATGGGGCCAGCTCCCTGCCCTTTGGAGCCTCGGGCCCAGGACACAGGCTCAGCAAGCCCCAAGCATGCAGGAGCAGCTGGATGCCAGCAGCCAGTGGGCTGACTAAGACTGGCAGGATCTCAGCAGAGGGAGAGGAAGCCTAGTTTCAGATCAGGAGGGCTTCCTGGAGGAGAGAGCATGAACTCAGCTTTCATTCCTGGAGCCAGAGGGCTGTGGAAACAATCAAGCAACCATGGCTACCTTCTACCAGGTATTTTGCCTGGGCCTGGCTTTGTGTCTAACCCACCTTGTTTTCCACAACCCTGCAAGGCCTTTTCAAATCCCACAGGAGAAAATAGAGCCACAGAAAGGTTATAAGAACCACACAGTTGCCCACTGACAGGGTCTAGATTGGGGCTGCCAGTTTGTGGGGGGCACACAGGCCCTGAAAAGGAATAAATCCCTCTCATTCAAGGCTGTGTATCCTTTAGTGGGAGAGAAGCACCCAGTGGGTGCGGAATGGGGACTGGAAAAGGTAGAGAAGGATTCACAAAGGAGGAAGTTTTTAACCTGGGCTCTTCAAGGATGAGTAGGAAGTTTGTCCAGGGCAGAGGAGGGCATTCCAGGAAGGAAGAACAAGTGCTGGATCTTGGAGTAGGCAAGGAGGAGCTGGTGAATGGGTTGGGTGTGACTGCGAGTGGGGAGGGAGGAAGATGAACCTGGGGGGCAGTAACTGCATGCAGTCAACACTAAAAAATTACTTATTTAAAATCAAGATGTTGCTGTTTTTTTCTTTTCTTTTTTTTTAAAATGGTTTATTGGCCTGGAACAGTGGCTCATACCTGTAATCCCAGCACTTTGGGAGGCTGAGGCAGGAGGTTCACTTTAAGTCAGGAGTCTGAGACCAGGCTGGGCAACATGGCAAAACCCTGTCTCTACAGAAAATAAAAAAGCTGGGCGTGGTGGCACACCTGTAGGCCCAGCTACTCAGGAGGCTGAGGTAGGAGGAGGATCACTCGAGCCCAGCAGTTGGAGATGGCAGTGAGCGGATATCGCATCACTGCACTCCAACCTAGGTGGCACAACAAGACCCCATCTCTATATTTTTTAAAGGTTTATTGAATGAAGGAAGGAATGACTGAATTGTGCCTCCCAGGGTCTGTTAGTACAAAACAGGAGTTCAACAAACGTTTGTTTAATGAATGAACAAAATGGATTTCCCTTGCCTAGCACATACCAGGCACTCAATAAAGATTTGCTGCACTAACCAATGCATTAATGAAGTAGTGATGCACCGCACTAACCAGTGAATGGATGAAGCAGTGATGCACCACATTAATTAGTGCCTCCGTGAAGCAGTGATGCACCACACTAACCCATGCATCCATGAAGCAGTGATACACAGCACTAACTAGTGCATCCGTGAAGCAGTGATGTATCATACTAACTAGTGCATCCGTGAAGCAGTGATACACCGCACTGACTAGTGCATTGGTGAAGTATTGATACACCACACTAACTAGTGTATCCATTAAGCAGTGATGCACCGCGCTAACTAGTGCATCCGTGAAGCAGTGATGTACTCCACTAACCGTGCACTGATGAAGCAGTGATGGCGTGGAATTAGCTGGGGCAGAGGACGCCTGTGGCCTTACAACTCGGATGGCGGTGACTGGCCGTTCCCCCACCGCCGCCCCTACCCCCAGCGGCGCGAGCTCTAACGCAGAGCAGATGGCGGGGGCGGGAGCCCGGGCGGGCGGGGCTCTGCGCCTAGGCGGCTGCAGCCGGGCCTGATTAGGTCCCCCTCCCGCTGGCGGCCGCTGGCGCTTTGAAGTGAGCCGCTGCCCGGCGGCTCCGGCCGCCTGGCCGTCCCTGCCGCCAGGCCGTCGGACCCAGGCTGGCGGCGGGGCTGGCGGCGCGTGTTGATCCAGGTGCGGGCTGGGGGCTGGGCGCGGGATCCTCTTTCCTGCAGGCCCATCTGGGACTTCAAAGCGCAGCGCGGGGCTCAAAGGCGGCCCGGGTGGGGGTGGGGCGGGGAGGGCGCTCTGGCTTCCTCCCAGGCAGCCGGCCCGGGGCCAGCGGGGGGCCTTCCACGTTAACCCCACCCCCATCCCGTGGAGCGCTTTATGGAGCGCCTACCGGGTGCCAGGCGCCGTGCGATCTGACCTCTCACACAGCTACAGAGGCAGGCGGTGCTGTGATCCCCATACTGCAGGTGAGGATCCCGGCTCAGAAAGGCCAGGGACTCGCCCGAGGCCTCAGGGCCTCTTGACACCCGGGGCCTCTCTGCAGCCCCGCCTTTCGCTTCGTTGTGGCTCTGTCTCTTGACGCTGGCATCTCCCTCTGGTGCCTTTGGGCTCTCCAATCCGAGGGCACAGCAGTTAGTTTAGTATAAACGTAGTGGCTGGCATGTCTTGAGCCCCTGCCGCATGCCGGATGTGATGGATCTGGTCACACCACCCTGCGAGGTGGGCACACCCGTTGCTGTCCTCACTTCAGAGAGGTCAAGAAACATGCCCAAGGCCACACAGCTAATAAATGCCAGAGCCACAGTTTTAAATAGGGCCTGCCGGCTCCCTAGTCCTCTCTCTGCGCATCTGATTCTGCTACGCTTCTTCCACGGAGCCCTCCTTAGGGCCCCAGCTCAGGGCTGTTTCCATCAGCAGAAGAACCAAGAGAACTCTGGTCTGCACCCTCACCAGGTCTGCACCCTCCCCACGTCTCATCCTGCTACTCAGGCGCCTGCAGCACCCCCATCACCCAGGATCTCATTACTGCACTAACCAATGTGTCCATGAAGCAAAAATGCAGAATCTCAGGCCCCACCCCAGGGCTGCGGAACGAAAATCTGCTCTTGTAATGATCCCTGGTGATTCAGTTGCAAAGTTAAAGTCTGAGGAGCACAGGGCTGTCAGGACACTTTGGCTGAAATCCCTTCATTGCCCCTGTGTGGCAACCTGTCTTTGGGACGCTGTGCCTCCTTCATCAGACTGGGAACTCCCCAAGGCAAGAGCTGAGCCTTCTCCATCAGATCAGGAGGGCTTCTAAGGCTGTGGCTGCACTTGCCCCAGCAGGCTGGGATCTCCCTAAGGACAGGGTTTGAACCTCCTTCTCCACACTTGGCCTGTAGCAAAAGCAGAGATGGTTCTAGGGCCTGGACCAGGGGCTTACCTAAAGCCCATGGTGCCTCCTCCGTCTGAATGGGAGCCTCCACAGCCAGTAATGAGTATCCTTCCTCAAACCTGGGATCTCCTATGAAGTCTGGCTGCCTTTGGGGTAGGAAGCCACCTGCAAGGAGAGGTGGCTAGTGTCTTTGCTCTCCTGTGTGTGGATGGAGCAGCACAGTGGGGAGTGTGCACCCAGCACACACCACCCTGGCACCTTCTTGACCCCCTTCTTGACCCCCTTCTTGGCCCCAGGTGTGCCTGTTAGAGGGACCTGGAGGGGTGAGGGTGAGGGAGAGGGCAGATGCCACAAGCTGGACCATGTGTGCCACCTGACACCAGGCCTCTCTGGGCACACATTTGTCCTTGTGCGTCACTGAGGGACCATTCAGGCAGCAGAAAGCCCGCGGGCGGGTGCAAGAGTGAGCCTGCTGGCAGCGGGAGAGTATTTTTAGAGCTTTGACTGACACTGACGGCCCTTTATTAAGCTGTCGCTGCCTCCACCCTGGCCCCAGCCCCTTCTGGCCCGGACAAAAAAGAAAGCTCATTGTCATTTTGTTAAGAACAGGGTCCTGGCAGCCCTTTTGCGGTCCCTTGCTGACTGGATAGGTTATTTCTTGCCGTGTCTGGGGTCCAGGCGCCCCTGCTGGCACTCCCAGCGTGCCCCGCAGCCTGACCCTTCACACATCTGGCAGTGATAAATGGCTTCAGCGTTGCTGCCATCACCTTGCACACTCTGATCCCGCTCACTTTGTTCTCCCTTTAAAGCCAGTGGGCGGATGGGGGAGGGGGCCTCTCTCTCTTCTTCCCTTTCTCCATCAGCCGTCTCCTGGATACTTGCAGGCCTGTGCTCTGATACCACTTGAAAGGGACCGAGACACTCAGTTATCTGGTCTGGGAAGTCCAGCCTGAGAGTTGTCTGTGCTGACTGGTAGAGTTTGGGAGGGTGGGAGTACACGCCTATGTGTGGATGTATGTGCACGTGCATGAGTACTGTGTGCATGTGTGACTGTGCTCGTGTGTGTGTGTGTGTGTGTGTGTGTATTTGGGGATGTATCAATATGTGTTCCTTTTAACTACTATAGCTTTATAATTTATTTTGATCCCTAGTAGAGCAAGACTGACCCGTTTGTACCCACTACACAAACATCTTCAGTTCTTTTAAAAAATGTGTTTGTAGTTTTGGGGATATGCCCAACAAAATTTGTGCACAAAGTCTCGTAGTTGTCTCTTGGTCTACATTTGTGTCTTTTGGTGCACAAATGAAAAGACACAAATGTAGACCAAAAGACAACTACCAGAATTCTATCTGTAACTTCTCCAAGCTGGAAGCTACCCAAATACCTGTGAGCAGTAGAATGGATAAATATATGGGGAGATAGTTGTATATTGGGATATTACACAGAAATCAGAATAGACGATTGACAACTCAGGCAACAATATGGATGGATTGCACAATCATGATGTTGGGTGAAAGAAACCAGATGCAAAAGAGTACATATTGTATGATTCCATATATAGAAAGTTTAAAAATAGGCAAAACTAGTCAATTAAGATAGAGGCTAGGGGAGTGTTTATCTTTAAACGGGGGAGTGACTGCAGGGAAGTTACAAGGGGGGCTTCCGGGGCAGTATTCTATTTATTGATCTGGATATGTATTACCTGGGCATGTTCCCTTTGTAATGATTTATTGAGCTGCACATTTATGATTGTGCACTTTCTGTGTGTATGTTATACTTCATCAAAAGTTTAAAAACTTGTATTTTTTGTATGATAGTCCTTGTATGATAGAATTTTTAGAATCAGCTTATTGAATTCAATGAAAAATTCTGTTGGGGTCTTGACTGAAATTGTGTCATATTATAGATTAGTTTGGAAAGATTTGCCTGCTTTATGATGGTGATCCTTTTTCTCCATGGACATGGTATACCTCCACTTATTCACCACAACTTTTACATCTCAGTCAAGTTTTAGGATTTTCTCCAAGGTCCTGTGACTTTCTGGTTGAGTTTATTCCAAGGTAGCTTGTGGATTTTTTTTTTTCTTGTAAAGGGGATTTTTTTTTTCTTTTATGTTTTCAAATTGTGTGTGTTTTTTTAAATGGTGATAAAACATAAATAACATAAAATTTACCGTTTTAACCATTTTTGATATACAGTTCAGTGGCATTAAGTACATTCACATTGCTTTGCAACCATCACCACCATACATCTTCAGAACATTTCATCTCCCCCAACTGAAGCTCTATACTCATTAAATAATAAATCCCAATTCCCACGTCTTCTCAACCTCTGGAAACCACCATGCTATGTACTTTATGTCTCTATGAATGTACTTAGTTTATGTATTACATGTAAGTGAAATAATGTACTCACATGTAAGTGAAATATATAATATTTGCCCCTTTCTGACTGGCTTATTTCACCTTGCATAATGTCCTCAAGGTTCATCTATGCTGTAGCATGAGTGTGAGAATTTCATTCCTTCTTAAGGCTGAATAATTCTATTATATGTATATACCACAGTCTATTCATTCATCCGTCAAGGGACATTTGAGGTGTTTCCACCTTTTGACTATTGTGAATAATGTTGGTATGAAAAAAGTGTTGTGATATTTTGCAATACATATATGGTCTTTGCTCCCATTTCCTGGTATACAGCTCCTAAAATCCTTGGAATCTCCAAAGTGATATCTTTTTGTATGCTAATAATTGACTGGAAGCTTCAGGATTGGGGCTGGTCACCAGAAAGACCAAGGCAAGATTAGAGGGTTGGGACTTTCAGCCCTGCCCACCAATCTCTGGGGAGGAGAGTGGGGCTGAAGGTCAAGTTGATCACCAATGACCAATGGTTTAATCAATCATGCCTATGTAAGAAAGCCTCCATAAAAACCCAATAGGACAGGGTTTGGCTTCCTGAAAGCTGATCATGGGGTGGCTGACAGGAAGGTGAACATGAACTCATCCACGTGTCAGGAGAGTGATGCACCCCAACCCTACGGGGACAGAAGTTCCTGCTCTCAGGACTCTTCCAGACCTCACCCTGTGTATCTCTTCATCTGGCTGATTATGTGTATCCTTAAAATATCCTATAATGAGCTGGTGAATGTAAAAGTGTTTCCCTGAGTTCTGTAAGCTGCTCTAGCAAATTAATGGAACCCAAGGGGGGGTGTCATAGGAACCCCAACCTGAAGCCAGTTAGTTAGAAGTTCCAGAGGCCTGAACTTGTGACTGATGTCTGAAGCAGGGGGCAGTCTTGGGGACTGAGCGCTCAACCTGTGGGATCTGATGCAACTGGAAGACAATCAGCTGGTGTCTGCTGCAGAATTGGTTGCTTGCTTGCTGGTGGGGTGAAATCCCCACATATTTTGGGGTCTCAGAAGTCTTCCATGTTGATGATTATTGTTGTGTTAGTGTGAGAACAGGGGAAAAACAGTTTGTTTTTTTTTCCCCAAAGAGATGTACATTTATCTGTTTGAATTTCTGCTTTCAAATCTTTTGGGCATACCAAAAGGGCGAATTGCTGGTCATATGGCAATTCTATGTTAAATTTTTTGAGAAACTGCCATACTGTTTTCCACACTGGCTGTGCCATTTTACTTCATTAGTTTTCTGCTGTTGTGTATAAAAGCTATTGGGTTTTTAAAAATTGGCCTTGTGTTTGTGTGCACACTCCTGAGTGTGCATATGCACAAGTGTGCATACGTGTATGGAGTAGCCACACTCACAAGAGCGTGGATCACTTGGACTGCTTCTGACTGTACATCACAGAAACCCCATCTCAAGCTGGCTTAGATGGTGAAGAGCTTTATCATCTCATCCACCCTTAACATCAGAGGTGGCTGCGTGTGACAAGAGGGGACACAGGCTTCCTTGACCACGTCCAGCAGAACAGAGCGAGCTCATCTCCACACATGGATGGTAGCTCTCTGCCTTTCCAAGCAAATCGCTCCATTGGCCCAAAGGCAGGGTTCTGAAAGAAGTTTCAGATGTAGGCCATTGGAAACAAAGCATGCAGAATGGAGGACAGCTGCTTGGAAAGGTGCAAAGCATCAAGGGGATTGTCTCTGCAGTGGTGTTGATTCACTCAGCAGCTGCACTTTGTCATGACTCAGAATCCTACTTCCTGTTCATGTGCCTGCTCACCCTAGCTACCTTCTCTCCCACAAGGTAGCAGTCACAGCTCCCGGGTCACTTCCAAAATATGACACTATCTGACCCATAGTGGAAGGCTGCCACTTCCACTACATCTCATTTTATCCATGAGGAAACTTCACAAAAGCCCCGCCTGCTTTCCCTCATTGGCCAAATAGCATCCAGGCGGATCCTGAACCCCGGGGGAGTGAGCTTACTATGGCTGGGTGGATTAATCTAATGGGAGGTGGGGAGAGGAATGCCACCCTGGGTTTGCAGTGGCATGGAGGAGGTGGATGCCAGTGGAGACAGAGGTTAGGAGGAGGGCGGAAACTCTGAGCCTTTCCTTCCAGTCTCTCTGTCCTGATCTCCAAGGCTCACAATTGCTCTTTGGGGAACAGAGTGTGTGGGGGTATGCACACTTGTGCACGTGGAATTGTGTAGTCAGGGAAGACCTCCTGCAGGAAGGAGGGAGAGAAGGAGCATGTTCTCAACTGGGGGGAAATGTGGGCAAAAGGGAGGAGCCAGAATGAGCAGCCAGAGTGCCACATCTGCAGAGAAAATGTTGCTTGCACCAGATGTGTCTTTCATCTGTACATTTCTTGAACAGAGAAGTAGACCTTCAAATATGACTCAAGTCTGAATCCAGTGATTCTCTTTCATTCACTCAACAAATGAAATGTCTTTTGAGCACCTACTCTAAGCAGGACCCCATGCCAAGCACAGATGATTCAGCAACAGATAAGACAAATGCCAGGCCCTCGTGCACTCCCATTCAAGAGGGCAGGGCCACCTCACTCTATCCTCTGTGTGGTGGCTGTGTGCCCAGCTCAGATGGTTCTGTGTCTCCACCCAAATCTCACCTTGAATTGTAATAATACCCATATGTCATCGGAGGGAACCTGGTGGGAGGTAATTGAATCATGGGGGAGGGTTTTTCCCATGCTGCTCTCATGGTAGTGACAAGTCTCTTTTTTTTTTTTTTTTTTGGAGACAGTCTCACTCTGTCACCCAGGCTGGAGTGCAGTGGCGCAATGTTGGCTCACTGCAAGCTCCGCCTCCTGGGTTCACACCATTCTCCTGCCTCAGCCTCCCGAGTAGCTGGGACTACAGGCACCCACTACCACGCCCGGCTAATTTTTTGTATTTTTTTTTAGTAGAGACGGGATGGTCTCGATCTCATGACCTCGTGATCCTCCCACCTCGGCCTCCCAAAGTGCTGGGATTACAGGTGTGAGCCACTGTGCCTGGCCAATAGTGAACAAGTCTCATGATATCTGATGGTTTTATAAATGGGAGTTCCCCTGCACATGCTCTTTTGCCTGCTGCCATGTAAGATGTCCCTTTGCTCTTCTTTCATCTTCCACCATGATTGTGAGGTGTCTCCAGTCATGTGGAACTGAGTCCATTAAACTTCTTTCCTTTATAAATTACCAAGTCTCCAGTATGTCTTTATTAGCAGTGTGAGAACAGACTAATACAGATGGGCAGAGCCATGTCTGCCTTCCATGCCACTGTGGCCCTTGAGGGCAGAGACCCTTGGCATGAAGTGCTCGTAGCTGCTGGCTCAGAGGAGTCCCCCTGCCTGCCAGGGATGTCTGCCCATGGCTACACCTCCTCTCTGGGGCCATCCACATTCAAGGAGTTGTTGAGGTGCAGTACAAAGATCTGGACCCTCTCAATTTGGGACAACTCCAAAGGGCCTGTGGGATTCCAAAACTCCCTGTGGGGTTAGCAGAGGCCTCTGCTCTAATGACACCTCTGCCCAACTTCTCCCCCTGCTCAACCTCGACCCCCTCACCCCCAGGTGTGGGTCCTGAGAGTGCTCCCTGACAGTCCTCCTGGGCGCACATCTCCATTTCATTGCCTGGATCCCAGAGACCCAGTCTAAGAGAGATCGGTTGTACTACATATAAATGAAAGAACAATTTTAGAATTTTCAAATTTCTCCTTTTGCACATGCACATGTGTCCTTTTGCACACACACTCACAGATACACATTTATATATACTTGGGGGGGTTAAACTCTTGCAGAGAGAGGAAGAGGTATTTTTAATTCAGGCGACAAGGGATCAAATTAGGGATATTCAGCTATTTTCTTTCTTTCTTTCTTTCTTTCTTTCTTTCTTTCTTTCTTTCTTTCTTTCTTTCTTTCTTTCTTTCTTTCTTTCTTTCTTTCTTTCTTTCTTTCTTTCTTTCTTTCTTTCTTTCTTTCTTTCTTTCTTTCTTTCTTTCTTTCTTTCTTTCTTTCTTTCTTTCTTTCTTTCTTTCTTTCTTTCTTTCTTTCTTTCTTTCTTTCTTTCTTTCTTTTTTGACAGAGTCTCGCTGTGTCTCCCAGGCTGGAGTGCAGTGGCGTGATCTTGTCTCACGGCAACCTCTGCCTCCCGGGTTCAAGCAATTCTCCTGCCTCAGTCTCCCAAGTAGTGGGGATTACAGGTGCCTGCTACCACGCCCGGCTAAGTTTTTGTATTTAGTAGAGACAGGGTTTTGCCATGTTGGCCAGGCTGATCTTGAACTGCTGACCTCAGGTGATCCACCCACCTCGGCCTCCCAAACTGCTGGAATTATAGGTGTGCACCACTGTGCCTGGCCTCAGCTACTTTTTTTCTTCCCCAGTGTTACACAGATAAATGCACATATCCCACTTAAAAATGCTGCCGTTTTATAACAGATGGCATTTGTTGAGCATGTGCTAGGTGCCAGGCACTCTGCTGGGCACTTCACATGCCCATCTTATTTTCACTATAACCATATGAGGTAGGCACTGTCATGGGCATTTTAAGATAAGGGGAGTGAGGCTCAGAGAGGTTAAGTAACTTGCCTGAGATCACATACAGAGGATGTCAGTTGAGGATTGATTGGAGAAGCGCAGCCCATACCACAGATACAGCGAAACAGATTTATTATGGAGGTTAGACCTTACATAATTGTGCAGGTGGTTGCCTCTGCATCAGGTAGAGCCTGGAGTCATGCTACGTCAGCCTCCTGAGGAAGGAAGGCTGTAAATGGACGAGGGCAGGGCGGATTGGAAGCAGCGTCTGCCTGTCTTCACTTTCTCCAGCTTCGATGCCCTGGGTGAGCTGGAGGAAAAGCTGGTGCGCTTCCCTATGGAGCTGCACACACACTGGCCGGGACTGGGAGATGCTGAGGGAGACTTAGGAAAAGGTGGAGAAGCCAGGTGCTGTCCCTGCCAATCAGGCGAGCCAGCAGGTCAGGGATAGCAATGTGTGAGCTGCCCCAGGGCCTGGGACCCCATGCTGACTTTGAGCGTAAAAACTATATATATATATATATACATATATATATATATATACATGTATATATATATATATATATGTATATATATATGGCTGCTGCTTCACTTCCGCCTTTCAGCTTTCACCAAATGTCTGTTTCAGCCAACATGAACTTAGAACCATATGGAAATTCTTGGACAACGTGGTTCCAGCTCAGCTACGTTGATGCAGTGCCAAGGCATCGCAGACACAGGGAAGAGCCCAAATCTGGGCTTGTCTGCCTTGTGCCAAAGCCCATGGAGCCTGATTTTCACTTTGTCCAGCAAGAAGTGGGTGGGTAAGGAAGGGGCTGATGGGGACATGGGGCTGTACACATGAATGTGACTTCGGGACTGGCTGGGTAATATAAAGAGGGTGAAGTGACCTGGGTTAAGGGTATGGAGTGGTGGGGACAGTGACAAACTGAAGAACACATGCCCCGTCTAAAGAGGGTGGCCACTGGATTGTTGCTATTCAAAAACGTGGGCACAGTGTGGTTGGATCAGCTGATTTTTTTTTTCACTATAAACTGGAGATATGAAGTTTGGTGTGTATGGGTGCATAAAATCTGCCCATTTGAATATGTTGGCAACCAATTTGAATTTTCTAGATATCACTGTGCAAGCCAAACAAAATATGACTGTGGATTGAATTTGCCCCTGGGCTCCCAGTTTGTGACCCTTGACCTTGGAGACTTCTCTCCTGGCAGACCCTCCTCAGCATGTTTCCCTAACCTCTGAAATGCTGCTGACCGAAGGCCCCTCCATTCTCCCAGAAGATGTGGTGGCAGCCCCCAGCCTCTGGCTCCAGCCCCCATGCCAGGATGGTCACAGGAACCTTCTTTTCCCCTTGTTTCTGGCCAAATCTCAATGGGGGAGATGTCCAGACCAGACGCAGTCTACAGAAAGGCATTACTGGATTTGAGGCAAGGACAGGGTCTTCTGCCTCCCCTGTTGGTGCTTGCAGTCCCCTGTCCTCTGCATCTGTCAGGGATGTGAATGCTTTTTTTCTCCCACAATAAAGAAGATAGGTTTCGTTCTTCAACATGAAAACATTTTCATGTTTACATCTGTACAGTCATAAATGCAAACATGTGCTCATGTAAACTATTTTTGTTGATGTACTTTCTCTACCTTATTGCTTGGCCCTTCTCTACTGTTTTTTCTCCCTCTCCCTCTGAACCCGCCCTAGCGAGCTAGTAGCATTGTTATGAGATCTCTGAGGTGCCGATTTTTCCGGCTGGAAACCTCTGTGGCCACAGCGCCTTTGTTCAAGTTCTTGTCCTGCATCCAGGAAGAATGAGGTACGCAGAAAAGTGAAGGGTGAAGAAGAGGACTTTTATTTAGTTTAGAACAGCTCAGAAGAGTGGGCAGCTCCTCTCTGTAGGCAGGTGGTCCAGCCGAGCGTTCAGCTCTTAACAGAGAGGAGGCCCTGAAGAGGGTGGCTCCTCTCCACAGGCAAGTCATTTGGACGTCTCTGCCGGTCTCTGATGTGCTCAGCGGAGAGGGTACTCCTCTCTGCAGCTGGTCGTCCAGTCCTGTCCTCTCTCTGCCCTCTTAGTCCTCTGGCCATCCTCTGCCTTGCTCTGGCTGAGCACAGGTCTTTTATAGACCTCAGAGGGGAAGAAATGCATACTGATTGGTTCATGGGCAGAGACAGGGTGGGGAAGGAGCGGGGGCCGGGTGGAAGAGGCACCGTGAGTCCCCACTCCAGTCTGCGGGATTGGCAGCCCGGCTCCTAGCCTTCATGCCCTACCTGGCCTGAAGGTGGGGCCTTACTGAAGACCCCCCCGCTTCCGCCCAGGACCCTGCCTCCGCTTCCATTCAAGGCCCAGGGGCTTGGCCCCAAACCCCCAACGAGATCGGAGCTGGCGCCAGGAGAGGAAAGAGGTCAGGCTGCAGGAAGAGACACCCCCGAGCCAGCAGGGACGGTGTGTGTAGGGGGGCCTTCCAGGTCCCCCAAGGGTGCAGGCTGCAGAGACACCCAGGTCCTGCACCTGGGAGGGCAGCTGAAGCCGCACCTGGGGAGGCGGATCCTGCTGCTCCTGGCCCTCCTCCAAGAGCACAGGGAGGCTCGGAACCACAGCTGCAGTTTGGGCAGCTGTAGCCCCGCCCAGGAGGGTGGGGCTCCTGCCTGCTCCCAGGAGGCCTGGGTCTGCAGCTGCAGTTTGGGTGGCTGCAGCGCACCCAGGGAGCTCCCTTCCCAACTCAGAAGGGGCGGGGCTCCCACTGGCACCATGGAGTGTGCAGCCCCAGCCAGGCAGCCGTCGTGATGGCAGCAGCCACTGCCATCAGCATCTTCCCATGTTCTTATCCCTTCTTATGTAATCGTATATACACATACATATATACTTTCATATTTTTTCTTCTTTTAGAGAGCGGGTCTTGCTCTGTTGCCCAGGCTGGAGTGCAGTGGAGCAATCGTAGCTCACTGCACCCTTGAACTCCTGGGCTCTAGTGATCCTCCTGCCTCAGCCTTCTGAGTAACTGGGACTACCGGTGCACGCCACTATGCCAGGCTAATTTTTAAATTTTTGTAGAGTCGGGGTCTCATTATGTTGGCCAGGCTGGTCTCGACCTCCTAGCCTCAAGCCATCCTCTCACCTCAGCCTCCCAAAGTGCTGGAATCTCAGATGGGAGCCCCCATGCCCAGAAAGTCTTTCTGATCATTGTTTAGAATGCCCGGATGAAACATTATATACGATCTTCTGCATTGTGCTTTTCTTCTCCTACATTTGGCAACCCCGTGGTCCAGGTCTAATTCATTCTTCGTGCTGTCTGTGTAATATTCTTGAGTGTGCTGTGCCATCATTCATTTAGTCATTTCTTACTGAAGGACACTTAGCCTGCACATTAATTAACATGAACCAAGGCTATGCTGTGGCCACCAGGAAACTCTGAAATTGTAGCATCTTAACAAAACAAGGGTGTTGATTTCTTGCTCCTATTGTAATGCAGTATATTTGGGCAGCCCTTGGGTGGTCTCCTCAGAGCTTTCATCTCAGGGATCGAGCTCCTTCCATCTCCATCTTGGGGTCTCGGCAGTTGCCACAGAAGGGGAAGAGAGAGAAGGAGCATGAGGCCGTGGGCTTCATGGCCACACGTCACTTCTTCGCCCCAGTCCCTAGCCAGAACCCAGTCACATGGTTTCAGCCAAACTGCCAGGGAGGCTGGGAAATAAGGTGTTCCCTGTGTGGCCCATCTCTGCCATACTTTGTTTCAAGGTTGCTTTTCTTGTCATTATGAAAATTGATTCAATAAACACCTTTCTTTACTTGTCCTCAGGACATGGTGGTTTCATTTCTATCATATTTCCAGGGTTAGAACTGTTGGGTTAAAGGGAATATTTTAAATGCAAAATTTGTATTTTAAAAGTGAAATTTTTCATGTAACTCCTCAAGCTTTAATTGAAGTTGCCAGATTCCTTCTCAAAAAGTCTGTAACAATTTGCATTTTCAGCAACAACGCATGAGGGTAGCTTTTTCCTAAATCTCTGCCAGCCCTTGTGTTATTGTTCTTTTCAAGTTTCCTCTGTGATATCTCATTGTCAGTTTCATTTGCATTTCTCTGACCACTAATGAGTGTGAGCATCTTTTCATTTGTCCGTGGTCATTTGGCTTCATTCTTTGGTGAATTGCCTATTCATGTCCTTTGCCACAATTTCTTTTGGGTTGCTTGCCCTTTTCTTTTCAATTTGTAAGAGCTCTTTGTATATTATAGATGGTAACCTTTCGTCCACTGCATCACAAATATTTTTCCCCAAATGTATTGTTTGTCTATCACCTTTGCTTATAGTATGTTTGTCTTTCAGAAGATGAACACGTTTGTGAAGCCAAACGTGTCTTTTTTATTTATTTCTTATTTATTTCTTTTCTTTTCTTTTCTTTTCTTTTTTTTTTTTTTTTTTGAGATGGAATCTCTCTCTGTCACCAGGCTGGAGTGCAGTGGCGTGGCGTGATCTTGGCTCACTGCAGCCTCTACCTCCTGGGTTCAAGCGATTCTCCTGCCTTAGCCTCCCAAGTAGCTGGGATTACAGGCACCTGCCACCACGCCCAGCTAATTTTTGTATTTTTTAGTAGAGATGGGGTTTCACCATGTTGGCCAGGCTTGTCTCAAACTCCTGACCTTGGGTGATTCGCCCATGTTGGCCTCCCCAAGTGCTGGGATTACAGGTGTGAGCCACCATGCCTGCCCTATCTCTTTTATTTTTATATGCTGGATTTTCACCCCTGGAGGGTCTCTCCTTACTTGGGTCTTTTAAGAAGCTGCTCTCCATCATGGGCTTTGAACTGTGAGAGGCTTCACTCATAACCTCTCCTGGGTATCTGCTGTCACCCTTGCTACCTGGCCATGTGATGTCCAATGGTCCCAGACCTGATTCCTACAAAACTTTCCACGCATTTGAGAGCTGAGCTATCAAGGTCACACAGAGTGTCAGGGAGGCAAGTATACCCCGGAGGGGCCCTGAGCTTGGAGTCTGAGATCTGAGTACTAGAATTGGCTTTGAGTCACCTGTGTGAGCTTGGCTGAATCACTTGGCCTCTTTGGACCTCAATGGCCTCATCTGAAACATGGGCATAACCCTTGCTCAGCTGACTTCCCGGGGTGCTGTGAATATCAGGTGATACAACAGAGGTCCAGGTACTCTGTACAAGATTTGCAGCCCTGTAAAGATTTTGAGATGCAACAATATTGTGACAACTGACAACTTCTGAGTCTTGACAGTGAGTGACTTTACATGCATGGTCTCATTTAATCCTCAGCAATTCTAGAACATAGGTATCATTACCCTCTTCTTAGAAATAAAGAAACATGGGCTCAGAGTGGGTAAGTTAGATGTCCAAGGTTGCACAGCAAATAGGTGGCAAAGCAAAGATTCCAGAACCTGAGTCACCTCACCCGTAGTGTGTGCGTGTGTGTGTGTGTGTGTGTGTGTGTGTGTGTGTGCGCGCGTGACAGAGAGAGAGAGAGAATAGGGAGCCTGGTGAGAACTTTAGTTTTTTTTTTTTCTTTTTTGAGACAGGGTCTCCCTTTGTTGCCCAGGCTGGAGTGCAGTGGCACAATGACAGCTTATTGCTGTCTCCACTTCCTGGGCTCAAGCGATCCTCCCACGTCAGTCCCCCAAGTAGCTGGAACTACAGGCACATTCCACCACGCCTCATTAATTTTTGTATTTTTTTTGTAGAGATGGGGTTTTGCCATGTTGCCCAGGCTGGTCTCAAGCTTCTGAGCTCAAGTGATCCTCCTGCCTTGGCCTCACAAAGTGCTAGCATTACAGGCATGAGCCACTGGGCCTGGCTGAGGACTTTAGATGTTTTTTTTTTTTTTTTTTTTTTGAGAGAGAGACTATGTGGAGCTTGAAGGTTGATATGAGCAACATGGGACATTTTGCAAAACAACTTAGGTGTTTCCTGAGAGGACTGAAAGCTTTCAAGTGGATAGGGGTGACCTCCAAGCAAAACTGGGGGCACGGAAGGTACACAGAGCATCTGATATAACATTGTACCAGGCAGAAGGAGGCAGGACCAGCGGTGGGGACTGGCCCTTGCACCAAGAGAGTGGAGGATTGGCCATGACAGGTGTTAAGGGCCGTGGGTCTGGAGCTCATGGAGCCAAGGTAGCTCTGAAGAGTAGAGGCAGAGGTTCTGCCAGACTCACGCTGGGCTGTGGCTAAATTGCTGATGGGTGGACAGCCAGGGCACCTTGGGATATGGCTGCTGATTCCACAGACTTGAAGTCCCCAGTGGCAATGGCAGGCACTGTGATCATCTCCCTACAGCCTGACCCCCTTTCCTTGCTCATAAGACCCCAATCCCATGGCCACGTCTTCAGAGGAGACTGATCTTCTCCCTGTCATGGAGGTCAATTTAGACCAGAACAAGCCAACCCCACATAGTGCCATTCTCTTGAACAGAAATGGGCCTGTGATACAATTCTAGACAATGAGAAGAGAAGGCAGAAGAGGGGGACTTCTTGGCTTCTAAAATGAAGCTCAAGGATGGATGCTTCTTTTTCCAGCTTTGGCTTTTGTTGTGTGAGGACGTGATGCTTGGCACGGCTGCAGCCATCCTGTAACCATGAGGAGGACGAGCTCTCAAAGGGTAGCAGAGTAGCAGGAAGCAGAAACACAGTGGTTGGAAGTGACAGTACACTTGACCCAGTGAATTAACCAAACCCAGGAGGCCCAGCCCTTGGGCTTGTTTTGTGAGATGATATGTTTCTCTCATTTAAGCCACTTTGATTTGGGTTTTCTGTCAATTGCTGTCAAATGCAGCCTATCTTGGCTTATTTTTCAGGGTAAAACCAGAGAGTCAAGGTGGGATGTGAGAGACATGATCTAGTTTAGCAGTTCTCAAGTGTTTTTATCTTATAACCACTCTATGCTCTTACATTTTTTAAGGACCCCAAAGAATCTTTGCTCACGTGGGTTATGCTTATCAATATTTACTATATGAAAAAATTAAATAGAGAATTTGAAAATACATATATTTAATAATTTTTCAAAAGCCCATCTTATATTAACATAAATAACATTTTTAAAAAATGAAAAAAACCCTCAGATTTTCCAAAACAAAAAACTTTTGTTTGAAGAGTGGCATTGTTTTTCATTTTAGCAAATCTCCTAATGTCTGGCTTAATAGAAAACAGCTGGATTCTCATATCTGCTTCTGCATTCAATTTGTTCTAATACCACATGTCGTGTAGCCTCTGAAAAACTCCACTGTACACTCAGGAGAGGATGAGATGAAAATGGCAAATGTCTCAGTATTTGTAGTAGTTTTCTGGGGGCGGCCGCAACAAATTACCACTAAGTTGGTGACTTTCAACAACAGAAATTTATTCTCTTATGGTTTTAGGGGCCAGAAGCAAGGTCTCAACTAGATTGTACCTTCTCTAGAGAACCTAGGAGAGTTCTGTTCTCAGCTTCTGGTACCTGTCTGCATTCCTTGGCTTGTGGCTGCGTCACTTCAATCTCTGTTTCTGTCTTCACATCGACTTCCCCTCTGTGTTCTATCTTGTGAGGACACTGTCATTAGATTTCCAGATAATCCAGAATGACCTCTTCATCTCAAGATCCTTAATTTAATTGCATCTACAAGGATGTTTTTGCTGAATAAAATCACATTTACAGTTTCTGGGGATTAAGACATGGGCATATCTTTTGGGAGCCACCATTCAATCTACTACAGTATTATTATGAAAGTAAATTTGACTGTGGAACTTCTGAAAGGGACTTGCAGATTCTTGGGATCCCTGGATCACACTTTGAAAACCAAGGATCTAGTTCAATAGCTTCCACACATGCACAGGTAGTTTCCAAGGCAAACAATGGAAGGAGGCCAAATATTCTTTGCCTAGTAAACTGGTGAAAATAAATTTTCTAGGTAGAATCCTAGGGGAAAGAGCCCAGAAAAGTGGGAGGAGAGATGTACAGTGTGTGAGAGAGGACTAAGACTAGATGGAAGACTGGAGGTTGGGAGAACAATGGCGGATGGAGGGATCTTAAGTATAGGGATGCATAATTTGGGGTTTGCTGCATGCTGCTGTGACATAATCCCCTCCATCTCCCTACAACTGATCAAGGCTGATGTTCACAAAGAGCTTCATGTGAGTGATGCTGGTGGAGAGAGGAGCATTCAAGGGAAGCTGCTGGGGCTCCTCTGTGAAGCAGGACATAAAACAGGACCTGGAGAATAGAATGAAATGACCCCCCACTTGGCCAGGTCAGATGGGAATTTGGAGGGTAGGAGTGATGAAGAAAACCTAAGAGAGCCCCACAGACTGTGAGAGAGGTGGGGTTCCCATCCCTACACTCCTAGGATTGGTGGAGAGATCAGCCTGGTTTTTTGGCAAGCAAGGCAGTTGGGCTTCACATCTCAAAGGACAGGTACCCCAACCAATGCCCCAGTTACCTAGTTCAACCATAAGTGGGATAAGGAATCCAGACAGCTCAGACTCCTTTGCATGACCCACCATCCCATGGTGCCCCTTGGGAGACTCGGGACCCCCTAACCCCTAACCCAGGCATGTGGATCACATTTAAAACATCCAAGATGTAGTCCATCCCCTCCCCATTTTACAGACAGGGAATCACAATGAAAATGATTGGTGATCAACACATCAAAAAATGCCAAAAAAACCCCTTGGAACCCCATAAACTCCTTTATGTCACAGAAATCAGCTTTAGGGTGGGAAAAAACAAAACCAGAAAATGTCTGCCATGTATATGAAAGATGAAAGCCTTTAATATGCAAAAAATAAATCAAGTGCACTCAGTAGAAAGAAAAATAGGCAAAAGACATGAACAGGCAATTTAGAGAAGAAATACACACAGCAAATAAATATGAAACAAGATGTTCAGTCTCACTGCTATGGTCTGAATGTTTTTTGCCCCTCCAAAATTCATATGTTAAAATCTAATCACCAATGTGGCGATAGGAGATGGGACCTTGGGAGGCTCTCCTCTCATGATCAGGGTTAGTGCCCTTAAACAAAGGGCCCCAGTCAGCTGCTTTGCCCTGTCCACCTTGTGAGGACACAGCAAGAAGGTACCATCTGTGATTCAGGAAATGCGCCATCACAAGATGCCAAATCTGCTGGTGCCTTGATCTTGGACTTTCCAGCCTCCAGAACCATGAGAAATAAAGCTCTGTTGTTTGTCAGCCACCCAGTGTATCATATTTTGTTATAGCAGCCTGAATGGACTAAGACACTCATTAAAAATGAAAGAAAAACAAATATCTATAATGAGTTATAATTTTTCACATATCAGTTTGGCTATGACTGGCAATTAAAATAATTGATAGTATCCAGCATTGGCAAGCGGGGAAGGGAAATTGACCCTTTGTACTGTTGAGGGTAGAATTAATTGGTACAGTCATTTGGAAGGCAGCTAGAAAGTGTGAATCAAGATGCAAAATGTACTTGTCCTTTCACCCAGCAGTCCCACTTCTGTAAAATGGGGACAGTAAGAATCCCTATTTCATTGGATTGTTGAGAGGCTCAAATGAGCTAATCTGTGAAAGACACATAAAAAAACACAGTGCCTAGCAGAAAGGGCTTGGGAAATATCAGCTACTATTCTTAGGAATTTATCCTAGGATGTAAGCCCCCATGTACAAAATGATGCATGTACAGGAGATGTTCTCTGCCACATTGTTTTCAATACCAAAAAATGGAGACAAATTGTTTGCTCACCAAGAATGAAGGAGGCTAATTTCAGTAGGGCAGTGCTCTCCACTAATGCAGGATGAACCAGAAAAATCCTGAAAGTCCTTGGCTGACACTTCTGTTTTGCTGCCTGGGTGTGATCCCCTCTCCTTAATTTGCCTTAATTCCTTTCTTCTTCTTCTTCTTCTTCTTCTTCTTCTTCTTCTTCTTCTTCTTCTTCTTCTTCTTCTTCTTCTTCTTCTTCTTCTTCTTCTTTCTTCTTCTTCTTCTTCTTCTTCCTCTTCCTCTTCCTCTCCTTCTCCTTCTCCTTCTTCTTCTTCTCTCTTCCTCTTCCTCTTCTTCTCTTCTTCTTCTTCTTTTCTTCTTCCTCTTCCTCTTCTTCTTCCTCTTCCTCCTCCTCCTCCTCCCCTCCTCCTCCTGTTCTTCTTCTTCTCCTTCTTCTTCTTCCTTTCTTTCTTCTCCTTCTCCTCCTCCTCCTTCTCCTCCTTCTTCTTCTTTTTTTTTTTTTTTTTTTTGAGACTGAGTCTCACTGTGTTGCCCAGGCTGGGTTACAGTGGCACAATCTTGGCTCACTGCAACCTCTGTCTCCCGGGTTCAAGTAATTCTCCTGCCTCAGCCTCCTGAGTAGCTGAGATTACAGGTGTGTGCCACCATGCCCGGCTAATTTTTGTATTTTTAGTAGAGATGGGGGAGTTTTGCCATGTTGGCCAGGCTGGTCTCGAACTCCTGGCCTGAAATGATCCGCTCTCCTTGGCCTCCCAAAGTGCTGGGATTACAGGCATGAACCACCATGCCTGGCTGCTGCTGCCTTAACTTTTACTCAAACCTTTTATTGTTGACTTTTTATGTTGATTCGATATTTCCTGAGATGCAAGGATATCTATCACAGCATTGTTTATAATAGCAAAAAATGAGAAATGACCAAAATGCTCACAGTAGGAGACTGGCAATGTCAAGAATGATTCCTTCATGAGAGAAGGGGGTAGTAGGGGAATAATTAAAGATATGGGGACATAGTCAGACTATAGGGAAGTTAGAAAAGCAGGTTACAAAATGCTATTTGCAGACAAAATGCTGAAAGAAGCCTAAAACTGAAGAGCACTCTATGTGACTCAACATAAGGTTGAAAAACAGGCCATATTAATCTATGCTACTAGAAGTCAGGAAGGTGGTCACTTTTTTGGGGAAGTAATAATTGGGAGGGCCCCAAGCCACCACCTTGTGAGGGGCTAGTAGGGTTCTGTTTCTTGAGCTGGAAGCTGGTAACATGGGTGTGTCCACTTTGTGATTCCTCAAGCCGCATCCTTGTGAGGTGTGCCCTTTTCTGTACAGATGCTCTATTTCAATAAAGAATAAAAGATACCCACTGGCATTAGAGTTTGATCTCATCTAAATAGCCATGTACATGTACATGCATAGAAACAAGACTAGAGAAGCATTTCCTCTATTATATCTAAAATTGTTTCTGGGTGATGAGATTAGGAGTAATTTTTATTTTCTTTTGTGTGCTTATCAATATTTTTTTACTTGTCTCCAATGAGTATGTATTACTTTTATAATAAGGAGAAAATATGCATCATTGAGACTTTTTGATTGTAAGAGTCAGACACTCAACTCAATCTTATATAAATAAAAAATGTGTAATTAATTGGTACAAGTGACTTGAAAAGTCTGGAGATGGATTTAGTTTCAGGACTGGAGTGCATGTAGTGACTTAAGCTTTAGTCGAAGCTCTTTAAGTTTGTATTAGTCCGTTTTCACGCTGCTGATAAAGACATACCCACGACTAGGCAATTTACAAAAGAAAGAGGTTTAATTGGACTTACAGTTGCATGTGGCTGGGGAAGCCTCATAATCATGGCAGAAGGCAAGGAGGAGCAAGTTACATCTTACATGGATGGCGTCAGGCAAAGAGAGAGAGAGTTTGTGCAGGGGAACTCCTCTTTTTTAAACCATCAGATCTTGTGAGACTTATTCACTATCATGAGAATAGCATGGAAAAGACTTGCCTCCATGATTCAATTACCCCTCACGGGGTCCTTCCCACAACACGTGGAAATTCAAGATGAGATTTGGGTGGGGACACAGCAAAACCATATCAAAGTTGCAAGTGACAGACAGTCAGTTTGAATTGACATAAACAGCAGGGTGCAGTGGCTCACACCTGTAATCTCAGCACTTTGGGAGGCCAAGGCAGGAGGATCACTTGAAGCCAGGAGTTAAAGACCAGCCTGTACATTCTAGTATAGCGAGACCTCATCTCTACCAAAAAAACAAAACAAAACAAAACAAAAAAAACAAAAAAAAAAACAGTAAAAAATTAGCTGGACTTGGTAGTATGCACCTATAGTTCTAGCTACTTTGGTGGCTAAGGCAGGAGGGTGGTTTGAGCTCAGGAGGTTGAGGCTGCAGTGAGCTATGATGACATCACTGTACTCTAGCCTGGGCAACAGAGTGAGATTCTGTCTCTAAAACAAACAAACAAAACCACATAAAACAAATTGACATACATAAAAATTAGAAATTTATTGCCTCTGACATAATTAAAAGTCTCCGGGAGCATTTTGCTTCAGGTATGGCTGGAGTCAACTGCTTAAAGGATGCCATTAGGTCTGTCTCTGGCACCCTCCATCTTTTTTCTGTGCTTTCTTCAATTTGGTCTCACTGAGAGACTCTCCCTGTATGAGGTGGCAAACATGGCCTCTGCACCTCCAGACTGACATCCTCCCAGCTTGGCAATTACCAAGAAAAGCAAATACCATTCCGTAACAGTTCCATCTCAAGATTCTGCAACAGAGTCACATTGGCTCAGACCCACACTGGACCAATCACTGTGGCCAGGGGATGAACACTCTGATTGGCCAGACTAGGTCATGGGTCCTTCCCAAGGGCTACAGATGGATGCGGCTGGTTCCCCAAAGAAGATCAAAGTTACTAGAATAATGTAAAATGGATGTTATTCAAGTCAAACTAACAGGTGTGCCCCCTGCCCAGGGAATGCTTGGGACTGTCCATACTGATACCTTGCTTTGGGGTTTCCCTGGCTTTGGGGACCAGGCAGAGCTCAGGCAGTAGCTCTGAGCACACATAAACACCCTTTTAGGAGGGTCCCATGGCTTCTACCTCCAGAGACTCACCCAGAGTGGGGCGGTAAGAGGGAAGAGTAGGGGAAATCTGGCCATCCTTCCCCTCTGGGGCTGCTGGTGCCAAGTTTCTGGCTGGAGCTTCTCTTTAGAAGACTGGATCACAAAGCTCTGGAAATGGGCGTTTGGGATGGAAACACAGACACACAGTTAATTACAGCATCATGCTTGGCGCCACCCTAATTAAGGCAGTTCCCTGGTGGAGGCCAAGATTTAAAGTTCTCTCTTTCACAGTGCCTGGTGGCAAGCAGGCAGCCCTGTCTTCTCCCCTCCCTCTGAGGATCCCCTTCTTCCTGGCTGGGTGGGGAGAGCACCCGGCTTGCTGGCAGGCAGATGAGAAAGGCTGCCTAGGCTCTGTGAGAGGAACACATCTGCCCTCCCAGAACATGGGATAGGACAAGTAGGGACAGTGTGAGGGGCAGAAATGTCAATCCTGGATCTCTCCTGCTGGGAGATGGTGGGCGGGACAGTCATGTTCCACCTCAAAGAAAAAGGTTAGAATTATCTTGGCTCAGGACCTTCCTGAAAGCACGAAATGGCTTCCAGAGGGCACTGGTGACCTTGGAGGCCAGGAACACCATCAGATTGCCGTGTTTGGCTTCGTAGGGGATGTGGAACCCAATATGCTCAGCCAGACTTCCAATGTCCTTGGATCCCACCATGCTCTGACCCAACCTAATTTAAATAGAATAGGAAGGGCAGATTTGCTGCCAAAAATTATATTAAAAACTGCATAGAATTTCTCTTGAAACCAACAGAATTTCCTTCCATTATCCACAATGTAGAATTGTCTGGTTCCATTAGGAATTCACAAGATCACAGAGCTGGCAGGAACATAAAAATCACTTCATATTTAGAGGTGAAAAAATTGAGGCCAAGAGAGATTTCCCTATGATCCCAGGCTGTGTTAGATTAGTGTAGATGACAGCTGGCAAATAAATCTCACCTTGAGTGCCAATGCTGAATGATTGGACAGCTGGAGGCTGTGCTGTTAATGATTCTAAGGTCTTTATCTTGCTCAGTGGGAAATAGACTCTTGATTGGTAATGTCTGCCATGGGCACTGGAGGGAGGATGGTGGTTCATGTGCCAGGCTTTTGCCATCTTGTCTAGATGTCAAAGGGGTACTTGGACATTGACCCTGAAAGTAGGCAATCCTGGAGGTTTTGTCTGTGTGGATAAACTGAAACCCAGAATAGGTTTACCAAGAAGGGCATAAAATCCATGAAACTCTTCATTGAAGGGTCACCAAATTGCTATGAGGGGTTGATGGCCAGGATTACAAAGTGGGAATTCTCAAGGTTTTTCACTTTAATACAGTGCTTGGGCTTCTGATACAGCTTGGGCTCTGTCTCTGTGGCCCTCCCCAGCCTCCAGAGCTGTGTGTCCTCTAGGCCTGTGCTCCTTCAGGGGCTGTGGTCAGTGGTCCTGCTGGGATAGCAGGCCACAGAGGATGGAAAGCTTGAGTTGAAAGGCCAACGCTGAAGGCCTGAGTATTAGGAGATCTAAGTTCTCCTCCTGCATCTGCCATCATCACTGTGTAAACAGAACAAGCCTCTTCCTTCCTAGAGCCTCGTCTATACATTGGATGAAGGTCCCAGTGGTCTCATGGATTCCAACAAACTGTTACACTTGACCCATCACATAGTCCAGTTTTAGTTTTTTAATTGTGGTAAACTATACATATCATAAAATTTACCATTTTAATCATTTTTTGGTATGCAGTCCTGTGGCATAAATATATTCATATTGTTGGGCAACCATCACCACCATCTATCTCCAGAACTTTTTCATCTTCCCCACCCGACCAAAACTCTGTACCCATTAAATAACAACTTCCCAATTCCGCTCTCCCTAGCAACTGGTGATGGTCATTGTGCTGTAAATTGGGGACTAAGTCCCCCTTGTGGGGTCTTTAAGGATCACTCCAACATGGCCATGAAAATTACACCCAAGAGGTATAGAGGCATATGAAATTAGGGGGTTTATTATACTCACAGGTCTTAGAGAGGGAGGAACAGGTCTGCCACTCAGGTGTCAGCACTGGAGGAATGACAAGGGAGCCACTTCAACCAAGCAGGTGGGGAGCAAGAAACACAGAGAGAGCAAGCACGGGAGAGGTGTGGCGCACACAAGCAGAAGGCATGGGGAGATGTCACTGGTGCATTTGCAGTTTTTAATTTATTCTTTATTATCTTATTTATTTGTTTTTTTTGAGACAGAGTCCCACTCTGTCTCCTAGGCTGGAGTGCAGTGGCGCGATCTCTGCTCACTGCAACCTTCGCTTCCCAGGTTTAAGCGATTCTCCTGCCTCAGCCTCCCAAGTAGCTGGGATTACAGGCGCCCACCACCATGCCCCGCTAATTTTTTATATTTTTGGTAGAGATGGGATTTCATCATGTTTGACACGCTGGTCTCGAACTCCTCACCTCAAGTGATCCTCCCGCCTCGGCCTCCCAAAGTGCTAGGATTACAGGCATGAGCCACTGCACCCAGCCTATTTTATATTTTTTGTAGAAATGGGGGTCTCGCCATGTTGTCCAGCTGGGTCTCCAACTCCTGGCCTCAAGCAATCCTCCCGTTTTGGCTTTCCAAAGTGCTAGGATTATGGGTGAGAGCCACTGTGCCTGACCTCGTTGGTGTGTTTGAATGTCACCAGGTCACAGTTGGGAAGGTCAATAGGGGAATTGTGGCAGGGACCAGTCTGATCATACTGATTCACCTGGTCATGTGGTGGGTGCTCACAGCCTGTTTGTGGGGATGTCAAGGCATCAGAAAAATAGGAAGTTTTAAACATTTACAATATAACCATATTATTTTCTGTCTCTATGAATTTGCCTATATTAGTTACCTCATGTAAGTGGAATCACACAGTATTTGTCTTTTTGTGACTGGCTTATTTCATTCAGCATAATGTCTTTAAGGTTTATGTTGTAGCCTGTGTCAGTATTTCCTTCCTTCTTAAGGCTGAATTATATTCCATTGTATGTATAGACGACATTGGGTTTATCCATTATCCATTGGTGGCCACTTGGGTTGCCCCCAAATTTTGGCTACTGTGAATAATGCTGCTATGAAGAGAGGTGTACAGATATTTGAGCCCCTGCTTTCGCTTCTGGATATATACACAAAAGTGGAATTGCTGGATCACATAGTAATTCCATGTTTAATTTGTTGAGGAATGACCATGCCATCTTCCATAGCAGCTGCACTGTTTTACATTCCCAGCAGCAATGCACAAGGCTTCTGATTTCTCTACTTTCTCACCAACACTTGTTATTTTCCGTTTTGGTGGATTTTTTTTTTTAGTTTGTTTTATAATGGCCATCCTAACAGGTGTGAAGTGATTTCTCACTGTGGTTTTGACTTGTCTTCCACTAATGATTAGTGATGTTGACATCTTTTCATCTGCTTCTTGGTCATTTGTATATCTTCTTTGGAGAAATGTCTATTCAGGACCTTTGCCCAATTTTAAAAATTGGTTTATTTCTTTCTAGATTGGTTTTAATTTCCTAGCAAGGCCTGAAAGATTGAAATAGTACTATGGATGGGTAATTAAAACAAATTTTTCTTTTGAGATGGGGTCTTGCTGTGTTGCCTAAGCTGGCCTTGAACTCTCGGGCTCAAATGATCCTTCTGCCTCAGCCTCCCAAGTAGCTGGGATTAGAGGCATGTGTCACTATACCTGGCTGACAGGGTCAATTTTTTTTTGTAGGTTAAATGAACTTTAAAAATAATTTTATTTTAGATTTGGGGGTACATGTGCATATTTGTTACATGGGTATATTGCATGCTGGTGGGGATTGGGCTTCTAATGTACCCATCACTCAAATAGTGAACATTGTACCCAATACGTAATTATTCAACCTTTGCCTTTCTCCTGTCCTCCAGGCTTTTGGAGTCCCCAGTGTCTATTATTTCTATCTCTATGTCCATGTATACTCATTTATTTTTTTTTTGAGACGGTCTCGTTCTGTCGCCCATGCTGGAGTGCAGTGGCATGATCTTGGCTCACTGCAACCTCCACCTCCCCAGTTCAAGCCATTCTCCTGCCTCAGCTTCCTGAGTAGCTAGGACTACAGGTGTGAGCCACCATGCCCAGGTAATTTTTGAATTTTTAGTAAAGACGGGATTTCACCATGTTGGCCAGGGTGGTCTTGAACTCCTGACCTCAGGTGATCTGCCTGCCTTTGCCTCCCAAAGTGCTGGTATTACAGGTGTGAGCCACCACACCCGGCCAGCCATGTGTACCCATTGTTTCACTCCCACTAATAAGTGACAACGTACTTATTTGATTTTTTGTTTCTGAGTTAGTTCCATGGCCTCCAGTTCAATTCCTGTTGCTGCAAAAGACACGATTTTAATCTCTCTGATGGCTGCTAGAAGGGTAGTTTTTTAAATTATTTTTTCTCTTGGTTATTTTCTTTCTTTTCAATATAATCTATAGGTTCACAAGAAGGATAACTTTTGATGGAAGAAGGAATACAGATGGAAAGGCCTAAGGCTGAAGCCATGTGGTAGGTCTGATTTCTCTCCATCTGAGTGGTCTCTTTTTTCTATCTGGCACCACGTGGGCTTCATCCATGAGCTTCCAATAGCCCTGCCTTGCCCTCATTGCTCTAGGGCCTCCTCTTGTGTTGCCAAAATAGAGGGAGTGGGAATGTCTTCACCTTAACTGAGCATCTTTACAGCACACTCTCCAGAAAAAGAGTCTTTCCCCAACTGTCCTGCCAAGATCCAGGGCCTGGCTCCCACTGGAATCCAGAAGCCAGGGATGGAGCCTGGGCAGACCCCCTTTCCTAGCATGAAGCTGTTCTCAACCCAAGGAATGGAGCCCCACAAGTGACCCCAGCAAACCATCTGAGACTCTGAGAATAAGGATGGTCATTGTGACCTGAGTGACCAAAATAGACACCCCTTTATCAACTAACACAGACCCAAAGTTAAGGAAACAAAGTTACCTACAGATTGAGGGTTCAGGGTCCTCCTGCCTGGCAAATTTCTAAATTCCTACACTGAAACGCTCCAACAAGAGGAGCTGTCAGCTCTGATTTGGAGAGGATCAGCCTTCCAAACATTCTCTTCTGATAAGCGAGTATAGTCTATGGCCATCCCACACTGAACATGCCCAATGTTGTCTGATAAACTACTATAGACCGTAGGCCAGTTTCCATGGCCTACAGAGGCTGTGCAGAAACTGACCTTGTGTCCTATAGCTTCCCCTTTGATGTAAAGAGCCAATTCCACCTCATTTTAATGCTAAAACCTTTCCCCAAGGTGAACATGGGATGTATGTCACATACATGTTTACCCATGATACACAAGCTTGGCTCCCCTCATAAATATGCATAACTTTTCCCCCAAATCTGCTGAATATGTATGACCCCGGCCCTGGGAGGCATAAAACCCAACACATCCTTCCTTCCTCTCTTGGAAGAGAGAGCACTTTCAGTCCACGATGGAGACTCTCTCTTCCCAGTGTGTAAGCCAATATCACCAATAAAGCTCTCTTTCTACTTTTTAGCCATCCTGTCAGAGGCATTTGAACCAGCCCAACTCCATCTTGAATAGGGGCTGGGTAAAATAAAGCTGAGACCTACTGGGCTGCTTTCCCAGGAGGTTAAGTCATTCTCAGTCACAGGATGAGATAGGAGGTCAGCACAAGATCCAGGTCATAAAGACCTTGCTGATAAAACAGGTTGCAATAGAGAAGCTGGCTAAAACCCATCAAAACCAAGATGGCGACAAGAGTGACCTCTAGTCGTCCTCACTGCTACACTCCTACCAGAGCCATGACAATTTACAAATGCCATGGCAACATCAGGAAGCTATCCTATATGTTCTAAAAAGGGGAGGCATGAATAATCCAGCCCTTGTTTAGCATATACTCAAGAAATAACCATAAAAATGGGCCTCCAGCAGCCCTTGGGGCTGCTCTGTCTATGAAGTAACCATTCTTTATTCCTTTATTTACTTTCTTAATGACCTTGCTTTCACTTGACTCTATGGACTCGCCCTGAATTCTTTCTTGTGCTAGATCCAAGAACTCTCTCTTGGGGTCTGGATCTGGACCCCTTTCCAGTAACAATCCTGGTGGTCTTTTGGATGACATCACTCGGAATGCCAGCCAGCTGTCCCCACAGGGCCGTTTCGCTGTCCCCTCAGCGGGTGTGCCGTTGGGCTTGTCTCCACCTCACTTCGACTTTCTCCTAACTTCTGCCCACTCTTTCCTGACTCCTTATGGCCCTCTCCCCTTCATAGCCTCTCAGCTTCTGCTCCTTCTCCTCACAGACTTTCCCCTCATGTTTCCTGGTCCAGAAGAGGAGCTGAGGGTGCAGGAGGTTTACCGCCCTGTGGAAGGGCAGGACGAAGGCAGCCCCAGGCAGAGCGAGAGTGAGTTGTGCCGTAGTCTCAATGAGGAGTCCTGAAGCTGGGAGAGCCCTTTGTAGCTGTCCTGGGTAGGGACGAGGGGTTGGGCCTTTATGACCTTGTGCTTCCCAGTTATTAGACGCAGCTGCCCCAGGAAGGAGGTGTGATGTGGGGCGAGGTGACTTGCTTCATAAAAGCAATTCCAAAGGGGGCTGGCAGCTGGGGGCCGTCTGCCAGCTGCACTTCCAGGCGCTGAAGGGCCTTCAGTCCTTCAGTTCTGAAGAAGAACCCCCTGTGCCTCCTTCTCTGCCCCAATCCTTTCCCCTCATTCTTGCTTCCCTGGGATTGTGTCTACCAGGAAAGCATCAGCAGGTGAGCTTTGACTCAGGCTCTGCTTTCTACGGTGATAGGGTTCAGATGTTTGTCCCCTCCAAATCTCAGGTTGAAATGTGACCTCTGGCTGGGCGTGATGGCTCACGCCTGTAATTGCAGCACTTTGGGAGGCCAAGGCAGGCGGATCACCTTAGGTCAGGAGTTTGACACCAGCCTGGGCAATATGGGGGAAACCCCGTCTCTACTAAAAATACAACATTTAGCCAGGTGTGGTGGCGCATGCCTGTAATCCCACCTACTTGGGAGGCTGAGGCAGGAGAATTGCTTGAGCCCCAGAGGCGGAGGTTGCAGTGAGCCGAGATCGCGCCATTGCACTCCAGCCTGGGTGACAGAGCAAGACGCTGTCTCAAAAAACAAACAAACAGGCCGGGCGCGGTGGCTCACGCCTGTAATCCCAGCACTTTGGGAGGCCGAGGTGGGCGGATCACGAGGTCAGGAGATCGAGACCATCCCGGCTAAAATGGTGAAACCCCGTCTCTACTAAAAATACAAAAAATCAGCCGGGCGTAGTGGCGGGCGCCTGTAGTCCCAGCTACTTGGGAGGCTGAGGCAGGAGAATGGCGTGAACCCGGGAGGCGGAGCTTGCAGTGAGCCGAGATCCCGCCACTGCACTCCAGCCTGGGCGACAGAGCGAGACTCCGTCTCAAAAACAAAACAAAACAAAACAAAACAAACAAACAAACAAACAAACAAAAAAACAAACCCAGAAATGTGACCTCTAATGTTGGAGGTGGGTCTGGGAGGTGTGTGGGTCATGGGGGTGGATCCCTCATGAATGGCTTGGTGCTGTCCTTGTGGTAATGAATGAGTTCTCACTCTACCAGTTCCCGCAAGAGTTGTTTGTTTAAAAAGCACCTGGAACCTCTTCCTCTCTTACCGTATAACATGGCTGCTTCCCCTTTACCTTCTGCCATGATTGTAAGCTTCCTGAGGCTCTCACCAGAAATAGATGTGGGTGCCATGCTTGTACAGCCTGCAGAACTGTGAGACAAATAAACCTATTTTATTTTTCTTTTCTGTATTTTTTTTTTAAGTAGAGATGGGGTTTCATCATGTTTGCCAGGCTGGTCTTGAACTCCTGACCTCAAGTGATTCACCCGCCTCAGCCTCCCAAAGTGCTGGGATTACAGATGTGAGCCACCTCACCCGGCCTATTTTCTTTATACATAACTCAGCCTCAGGTATTCCTTTCTAACAATGCAAAGCTGACTGATATGGAATCTGGGTTAAGACACCCACTAAACCACCCATCCTGGTTGGGAAGGAGATCTTTGTATCAAGATATACCATAGGATCTTGGCTAGCCTGTGACATAACTTCTCTTAGGTCAGGTGACTGACTCTCAACCAATCACCTCTGGACAGATATAAGCCACCTGGGCTCCAGGGACAGATGGTCTCTTCTTTTTTCAGGAGGAGACTGTGAGCATGACAAGCCCCAGGACTGGCCTGTCCAGTAGAATGGATGCCTACTATTTGATGGGCCTTGACTGGGCGTGGGGGACAGGGAGGGCAGGATGACTTAGACATGGTTTCTGTTTAGGGAGCCCCCAGTCCAGCAGAGTCAACCGTCTTTTCTTCTCATAGCCCATGCAGGGGAACCCTAATTAGAGGCAAACACCCCTGACTGTTCCCACTCATCCCTGCAGTCTCAGGGGGGTGAACTGTGAATGCTCAAAGCCCATTATGGTGGTCAATGATTGGTTTGGGTCTGGACATGAGATTCGGCTTGGTCAATGGCTCCAAGGGGAAGTCTCCAAGCTAGGATCTGGGAAAGGAATTCCTCACCAATGAAACAGCACATGAGAGGAAATGCCTCATTTTGCTGAACTGTGTGGGATTGTCTGCAAAGACTGCAAGTGCAGTATGACTAGCGGCGGGGGGACCTGGTGGACATGGTGAGGACAGCATCTTTGATGATGTCACCTGAACCACAGAACAAACCCACCCCACAACAGCTCTGTCTCTGGGCTTGCAGTTATATGATGTGACTAACATTCCTATTTTGCAACAGCTATGAAGGAGGTCTCTGAAGCCTAATTGCCTGCTGTGTGACCTTGGGCAGATGCTTAACCTGTCTTGCCTTGGTTTCTTCATCTGGAAAGTGGACATAAAATAAGACCCAACTCATAAGGCTGCTAGGAGGTGTAAACATGTTTATATATGTGAAGGGCTTATAACAGTGCCTGGCACGCAGGAAATGGTGTACAAGTGTTGGCTGTTATTGAGTTCCCCTTTAAAAATAGATCTTAGGTAGACAGAACTGGATTAATCATGAGCCTTGATTCATGACATGCCACTGGGATATTTATTAAAATAACGAACACCCATGAACCCATCACTCAACTCAAGAACTAGAATATTGCCAATAGTGATTACTCCTCCATATGTGCTCCTCTCGAACTGGCCCCATGACCACCTCCCTGCATTTGCCCCTAAGATAAGCACGGTCCTGAATTCTGTGTTTCTCATTCCCTTGTATGGGTTTGTATAGTTTTATCACATGTAAATGTATATCCAGACAACGTATTGCTTTGTTTTGCCTGCTTTTGAGCCTCACAAAAAGGGTACACTCTACACAGTCTTCCGGGAGCTTTCCTTTCTGCAAAGACGCTTTTACTGGGTTTTCTGCTTCTCGCGGCTAAAGGCACTCCAATCACATAGCATCTTCTAGAAGGGAGGAAGAAAAGCCTACTTTCAACAGACAGAAACGCAAGTTAGATCTTTTCTTCTTTCCTGTTTCTTGCACTTCATTTGGCTATGGATCTGTTCTGGGTCTCCCAAGGGTCACTGCAGAAATGCCTTCCTTCTGAATTAGTGTGTGAGGGGGTTCATGTGCTCCTGGCTTGGCTGCCCTGCTGGCACGGGGTCCAGGTATGAGAGACCCTGCTCAGAGCCCCAAGCCACACGGAGAAGCCTCGGCCCCTGAGGAATTTTTCTGATGCTTTTGAATCTCCCCTGGGAATCATTTTCCCCTTTCCATCCCAAATATGGGCTGAGGCTCTGGAAGGCGTGGGAGAACTAATTTGACGTGAGTGTAAACACTTCCATGCCAGTGGAACCTTGGCCAGCAGGAATTCCAAGCCATCCAAGAATTCTGCCAACCTAGAGTTGGACTTTGGCTGGGACCCTCTGGTGTAGCTACTTTTAGCTGGGAACATTTTTTTCCCAGACTCTGGGAGGCCACACTTGAAGGATTACAATTTCCTCAACAAAGACCCCACGGTGACAAGGGGCATTTCTGCATTGAGTTAACCATTTACATGCCTGCCTCCCAAATTTCCCTGTTTTAGGGGGTGGCATCTACCTAATTGCTAAGACCCAGGGCTCAGGAGGCAAAGAAACCTGGCTCTACTTCTGGGTCTACCTCTTATTGAGAGGATAATAATACCTGCCTCTAGAGATGCGAGGATCAAATGAAATAATAATATATATAAAAATACTTGCATATGGTAGTGCTTGTACCAGTCAGTCCAAGCAAGGCTGTGCTGCAGTAGCAAGCATCCCTGCAAGCTCAGTGGCTAATCACTACAGAAGTTTATTTTTCACTCCCATGAAGCTTGCTGTAGGTCCAAGACCACCCTCCGGGGCAGACTTCTTCTAGATGTGATACATAATCCAGAAGATCAAATTGCAGCTCCATCACTTCAACTCAAAGCCTCCATGTTCACTGTGGCAGAGGAAGAAATTAACTAAATAATTGGCCAGAACATTTCTGCTCTCAGTTAACTAGCCAAGACTAGCCCATGGTTCCACCTCACAGCAAGGGTACTGGGATATATAGTTTTCTGTATGTCCAGGAAGGAAAACTGAGCCTGATGTTGCAGAGCATTGTAACGTCAACCACAGTGTTTAATCAACATTAGTTTCCTGCCTTTATTTTCCACCCCCAAAGAGTTTAGAACCTATTTGAGGTGACAAGCATGTATAGATGAAAAGATCAACATATTTTCCTTTATTCCTTAGAAGCATGCCATCCTTTGCATCATACAGAAGGCTTTTTCAGCCTCATTTCCACAGTACCCTCGGCAGCATTTTCCTTCTGGAACCCTAGGGAAGGGAAGACAGGGAATACAGTGATGGAGGCCTAATCAATGACTTGACAGGCAAGTGTCAGAACAGGCTGGCTTTTCAGAGAATGGCCAACTGCCCCAAGCCTCCAAGGAGGATAGAACATGAGGCGGGTACCTCCAGGGTTCCTTGTGGACAGAAAAAACAATGACAACCTCTCCCGTCCATTGAATGTTTACTGTGTGCCAGACATCATGCTAAATGCTTCATGTGTCATCACTGAGGTGGTTATTATTAGCACCCCAATTTAACCAATGAGAAAATTGAGGCTCAGAGAGGAAAACTACCCTGCCAAAGTCATGCAGTGACAACCCAGGGAGGGAGGGTGGAAGGGCGGGGCAGAGGGAGTGGGACAGTCACAGTCTCTGGCTTAAGGAGGGGGTCAGGGATGCCTGGGTCCTCTCTCGTCCTTTCTGCTCATGCTGTAGCTGAACAGGCAAAGCAGAGGGAGTTGTTTGCAAAGCACCAAATGTGATAATATTCGAGAGGCCCTGCAAAACTCCAGGGTACTCACAGATAAAAAGCAGGATTTAACTTTTCAGGGTGGAAGCAAATATTTGCACCATTTATTTATTTATTTGTTTTGGTTTTGTTTTTTTGAGACTGGGTCTTGCTCTGTTGCCCAAGCTGGAGTGCAGTGGTGCAATCATGCATGGCTTATTGCAACCTCGACCTCCCAGGCTCAAGTGATTCTCCCACTTCAGCCTCCCTAGTAACTAGGACTACTGGTGCACACCACCAAGCCTGGCTAAATTTTTTTTTTTTTTTGAGACATAGTCTCACTCTGTGGCCCAAGCTGGAGTGCAGTGGCACAATCTCAGCTCGCTGCAACCTTCGCCTCCCAGGCACAAACAATTATCGTGCCTCAGCCTCCCCAGTAGCTGGGACTACAGGCGCGCACCACCGTGCCAAGCTAATTTTTTGTATTTTAGTAGAGACAGGGTTTCACCCTTGTTACCCAGGGTGATCTCAAAATCCTGAGCTCAGGCAATCCTCCCGCCTTGGCCTCCCAAAGTGCTGGGATTACAGGTGTGGGCCACCGCGCCCAGCCCTAATTTTTAAACATTTTTTGTAGGGGGGTGGGGCCTTGCTGTTACCCAGGCTGGTTTCAAACTCCTGTGCTCAAATGATCCTCCCATCTTAGCCTCCCAAAGCGCTGGGATTACAGGTGTGGGCCACCGTGCCCAGCCTCATTTGCACCTTTTGGAGAGAAGAAAGTTGAGGAGGAAGGAAAGGATTCTGCAGGTGGAGAGAAGGGTCTCTTCTTCCATGTAGGCTGGCCAAGATCAGGAACAAAGTCCCTTTTCCTTCTAAGTTGGGAAGTTGAGACCCAGGGCAGGGCAGGTTTTGCCCAGAGCTACACAGCCAGAAAGTGGCAGAAGCAGATGAGGACCTGGGTCTCCTGATGCCCTGTTTCCCCCAACACCAGTCCCCTCCACTGCTGCCTCTGGGACTGACAGAGAAAGGGAGGTCTATGGGCACAAAGTCAGCAAGCAGCTGCCATGAGCCCTGTGTGCAGGCAGCGCTGGCCCAGTGCTGGGGAGTTGCTGTCCCCTCTCCTCTAGGCCAGCCTGGTCTGTCTTTGTAAGCCTGGAGCAGCAGGAAGTGAGTAGGAGTAGTTACACCCCCACTGCACTTCGGTCTCTAAAAGTGTCCCATTTTCCCTAAAGGTGATAGGTAATATATGTTCATGGTGTCTATTAGGATTCTGATAAGATGGCAGAAAAATCAAGATCAAGAGAAGGTGAACAAATGGGAGATAGGTTTCGCTTTGCGTTTACTACCCCACCCCTGCCAAGCAATGCAGCAGGCCTGCCCAGTAGCTCCCAGTCTCACCCTCCTGACATTCAAATAGCACTTGCTCCCTAGTATGGATGTGACCTGTTCCCCAATCCCAGAACTTGATTTTGCCAGGAACTGAGATATGGAATCTTCACACTTGGATAGGCTGCTTGCAGGTGGAAGTGTGGGTGAGTTTTGCATCCCTGGATGTGCACAAGCTGGGGATGGTACAGATGTGGCATGCTGCAGGGGGGTGTTGCATGATGCGTGGGATGCTGGCTGCTCTCTCTTTGTCCCTCCAGACCCTGCTCCATGCCAGAGACAGCTCAGTCCCTTAACCTGCATCTTTCAGAAAATAGGACACTTTTGAAGACCAAAGTGCAGTGGAAGTATCACTACCCCTACTCCCTCCCTGCTGCTCCAGACTTGCAGAGACACACCAGGCTGACCTGGAGGAGAAGGGCCAGCAACTCCCCAGCACTGGGCCAGTGCTGTCTGCATACAGGGCTCATGGAAGCTGCTTGTTTGACTTTCATCTTCCTTGTCCTCCGGCTTTTGCTTGGGTTTGGCCAATAGGAGGCACCGCTGGGAGATGGGAAGGAGGTAGGAGAGAGCAGTGGAGCCATACATTTTCTAGTCCTCTCCCTGCCAGGCCACACTTTGGTGGGTGCAGTCTTTCTCCCCTGAAAAGCCACAGCTCTTATCAAGTGGACCTCTCACCCATCACCCTCTCTGGGCTCTGATCACTGCTTGGTCCCCTTGTCTTTCGGGTCTAGTGGCTGTAAGGGCTTCCCATGGTGCTAGTTCCCCGGATGCCCCACCTCCCCTTCTGGTTCCCTGCCCGCATAAATACCCCCATCATTAAACTCTCCTCAGTTACCCTTGGGAAGGTGCCATCTGTCCATCTGTTTCCTGCCAGGCCTGACTGATACAAACAGGAAGGATGGGACCTTGACCTCCTGGTCCTAGTCTTTCCTAGATGCCACGCTTCCCGGGTCCCCGTGGTCATCTCGCAGTCCCAGCATTTCCGACCACAGAGCCCCTCAGTGTGCAGTGTGCCAGGCCTGCGCCGAGCTCCCACCAGCCTTATTTATTTATTGAACAACATGCAAGCGGTTTCCTTTTGTGTTTAATGTGTCAGCATTTCAGTGTATTCGGACTTCAAGGCTTGGATTTTGTTGACAATAATGAGATCACCCAGACAATTATCGTTTGATTTTTCAGTTTGCCAGAGAGGGGAAGATTAAAGAAAAGTTAAGAAGCTTTGGCTGTTTCCTGTTATCCATTTGCTGGGAGGGGTGGGGGTGGGGTTGAGGGGCTGGAAGGAATAGAAAATCTAACTGCTTAAAAATGTCCACATCTGGAGACACCCAGACGGTGTGCATCCAAGCGGGCTTCACGCGTGTACAAAGGTGCCCTCGTGGGGTGACCCTTGAGGCAGGTAGAATGTTCCTGTCCCCAGACACTTTCCCATGTGAGGCCACAGGGTCTGAAAATCCATCAGTTCCAATATGCGGTCCTCCAATTTAAATCCTCGAGTGAGAGACAGAAGACTGGAATCCCACAATTGCTTATTATTATTATTTTGATAGAACTATTGTTTCAGCACAGCCATGAATTTGTTGACGTGGAATGGCTTCCCTCCTTGGCCCGGGTTTTCTCCTCTGCAGAGGGAGGGGTGATTGAATGAGACGGTTCAACCCTGCCTGAGCCCTGCCTTCTATCCCCCACTGCTCCGCCTCAGTGTGTGTGGCTCATTGAGACCCCAGGGAGAGGCCTGAGGTTGCCGAGGGAAAGGAGGGTGCCAGAGGGAACAGTAGGTGCCAGAGCCTTCTTGACTTCCATTGTATGCTCTGAATGAGTCCCCAGTCCTGGGAGAACAGGTATCTACTGGGGGCTTTCAGAGCACATCCCACAGGGCCCCAGGGAGGGGCGGGTGCCAGGGAGGACAAGGCCAGTCTACGGGGCTCGTCCGCCTTCCTCCATCCCTCCATCTGGGATTCCATCCTGTGACTGACAGGACACAGTATTTATGCTCAGAAAGACCCTCCAGAAATGC
Source organism: Homo sapiens (assembly GCF_000001405.40). Lineage (NCBI taxonomy): Eukaryota > Metazoa > Chordata > Mammalia > Primates > Hominidae > Homo > Homo sapiens. The sequence goes on from NC_000016.10 coordinate 50,503,832, forward strand.
CTCCACCTCTGGCCATGCCCTCGGCACCCCTTCAACCATCTCATGCCCTTTCTAGAATACCAGGGAGACCTTCTCCCCATCAGGGGCAGCCTTTCCCTAGATCACCTTCTCTCTGTCTCCTTTCTGCTCACCTTTCTAGACATGCTTGCCTTGGTGGTGTTGACTCTGTCCCTTCTTCCCATGCTTTCCAGCCTCATCACCTGGCCACCTCTCCCAGGTTGTCACACTGCCTGTCTATCTAGGTGTTGGCACTTTCAAACCACCTGCTGGGTGCGGATGTTGGAAGGTGACCAACTGGGCGTGGTGGCTCATGCCTGTAATCCTAGCACTTTGGGAGGCTGAGGCAGGTGGATTGCCTGAGCTTAGGAGCTCGAGACCAGCCTGGGCAACACGGTGAAACCTGATCTCTACTAAAATACAAAAAATTAGCTGGGTGTAGTGGTGTGGGCCTGTAGTCCCAGCTACTCTGGAGGCTGAGGCAGGAGAATTGCTTGAACCTGGGAGGCGGAGGTTGCAGTGAGCTGAGATTGCGCCACTGCATTCCAGCCTGGTGACAGAGCGAGACTCCTCCGTCTCAATAAATAAATAAATAAATAAAAAAGGGAAGGTGACCATCATTGGGACAAAGCTGTTTGTTACTGGGGGGAAAAAAAGGAATGATGAAGGGGGTGAAGGGGGAATAGGAATAGGTTTCTTTTTTGTTTGTTTGTTTTGAGACAGTCTCCCTCTGTCACCTAGGCTGGAGTGCAGAGGCTTGATCTCGGCTCACTGCAACCTTCACCTCCTGGGTTCAAGTAATTCTCCTGCCTCAGCCTCCCAAGTAACCGAGATTACAAGCGTGTGCCAACATGGCTGGCTAATTTTTTTGTATTTTTAGTAGAGACAGGGCTTCACCATGTTGGTCAGGCTGGTCTTGAACTCCTAACCTCAAGTGATCCACCTGCCTGGGTCTCCCAAAGTGCTGGGCTTACAGCTGTGAACCACCGCGCCCAGCTGGAAGTCGGAATCTTTATGCAAAAAGAATGCTAGACAAATGAGGAAACCAAGGCCCAATGAGAGGAGAAACCACTGCCTTCCAGCCTGGCTCAGAGCTGCAGCCCTTCATTGAGAGCTTGAATTCCCTACAGCAAGCAAGGGCCGCTTACTGAGTTTTTCACAAAGCTTTTATTTGCAGAGTTTTTCTGATTTTTGGTGTTCAAATGTCCATTCTTTTCTGAAATTCCAGTGATAAGGAATAGTTGCTGATTTCCTTTATAAATGTCCTTTCTTGGCCTAAAGCCCATTTTAAAAATTGGCACTATCATACGAATTCACCAAATCTGACTTTGACTTTCTGTGGTGGTCAATATCTGGGAGCATCTACCTCCGTAGCACACTGAGATGTGCATGGACCAGCATTTGCTAAACTCCTCTCTTGATGGGAGCTCCCAATCTTCCCTGGAATGTGGTATAGGCTTATGGTAGCTCCTGGCCCAGGTCAGAGACTGCAGGTGGACCCAGTACCGCCAAAGTGGGTGGACGTTTACATCCAAGCCCAGCCACCCTGGCTCCCAAAGCCTCTTTCAGCCTCACATCGCTGCAGGTCAGAAAAAGAAGGACAAGATATTTCCTGCTCAATCAGTGATTATGTGTGGTTTTTCATTTTCATTCATTTCTTGGGTATTGTCTGAATAGTTACAATGAGCAGAATAATTTTTATAACCACCTCCAATAATCATTCCCATATTTTAAAAGGTATAGGTCCATAAATCTTTACTCTCCAATTTCAAAAGTAGTAATGACTCCTGGTGCAAAATTGGAAAATGAAGAAAAGGATGAGAATGTCTTTCTCCCATAAGAAAATGACTGATAGCGTTTTGGGTCTTTCCTTTCCATCCTTAGAACCATTTAGAAATGAAGGGCACAGCTGGCTGCCCTGTGGAAGGGCGTTCATAGAGCAGGCGTCAAACACCTTTGCTTTGAGAAAGCAAAGTCCCTGGGGACAGGGATTAAGTACCGCTCCTCTCTGTATTCCCTCTCTTCAGAATGGCCTGCCCATCCCCCCAACCTCCCAGGACACTGATGTCAGCACAGTAGCAGCTTCCTTGACAAATATTTGTGGAGCTGAATAAAAAAGCAGCACAGAAGAGCAAACCCCTTGAGAGATGTCGGCCGACTCCCAGGCCTCCAGAACTTAGCTTGATGGACTTTGACAGACAGGGATTTGTTTCTTCGTGTTGTTTAGCTCAAACCAGAGCTAAACCTCCTCATCGTCTCAAATGACCTGAAATGGTTTCCCAAGCAACCTGGGCAGACCCTGGGGAGTCCAGAAGGCATTCAGGGGCCCTGGACCTCTGGGGCTGAAGATCTGCCTGCCGCTGTCCTGGAGGTCACAGGTTCCAGAAGGGCAGCAGATGCCTGAAGCCGCAGGGCTGCGGGAAGTGAGTGTGCACATGTGTTGGGTGTAGGGGAGGGTTGAGCCAGGAGCAGGGTTCCAGCCTGGGCCTAGGGCATTGTCTGCAGGGGCAGGGAGCAGGAAGTGGCCTTAGGTAGCTGGGGACAGGATGAAGGGGAAGAATGGGGGCCACTCTTCCAAAAGCTAAATGCTTGATCCAGGGTAACTCCCAGGGGTGGGGTCTGGCCACTATTTGTCCAGGGCAAAGTGGCCTGGGGGTCACCGCCAAAGTTTGGCTGGGGGTTCCTCGTAAGAGCGGCCAGTCCCAGAGTGGAAGAGGAGCTGGGGCTGGGACACCATGCAGTTCTGGGATCGGGGGCTTTGGGACCTGCAAGCCCTTCCAGTCATCAACAAAGTGGGGAAACTGAGGCCCAGACAGGAGCAAGGACTTTCCCATGCTTCCTTAATGAGTTAATGGCAGAGCTTAATAAGTTAATGGGACCGTAGTGAGGGTGACTGTGGAGACCTGGGTTTGAGTCCCAGGTCCACTTATTAGGGGTGTGTGTGAGCCATGGGGCTTCAGCTTCTCTATCTGAGAAATGGAGATTAAACACAGTCCTGCAAGGGGCTGGCATGGGAGCCAGGGCTGATGTGGGCTAAGGGACGTACCAGCACGCTGTTTCTAACTGACTCCTCAACCAGAGTCCTGCACACTCTGCCTCACCAGGCTCCATGCTCTTGGTTTGGCCTCCAAGGCTCCCACGGCCACCTCAGTTCTTTTCCCTGCTCCTCCATTTGGCTTCTTGGGTCCACTGGTTTTTCTCCTATCCTTGGTCCTTTGTCTTCCCAGTGGAGGACCAGCCTGGCTCCACACTCTCACTTTGAGTCGTCCCAGTTTCCCTTTCAGAGGACATGGTTGGGGAAAAGGTCTTTCTTCCAGGTCTGGGCATAGCTGACCCGCTAAGGAGAGAAGCACAGCTTCTTGGGGATCCAGATGACTTGTCACCTGGGTTAATGGCTTTGAATGTTGGGGGAGACTCAACAAGGAAACTGCCATCTCTGCACCCCAACCAGGTGCCCAGCACAGGATAGCCATTTAAGCCTCACAAAAACACTGTGATGTTTATGTTTTTGCTTTGTTTTGTTTTGTTTTAGAGTTGGGTTTCACTCTGTTGCCCAGGCTGGAGTGCAATGGCACTCTCAGTTTATTGCAGCCTCGACCTCCTAGGCTCAAGGGATCCTCCTGCTTCAGTCTCCTGAGTAGCTGGGATTACAGGTGCATACCACTATGCATAGCAAATTTTGAAATTTTTTGTAGAGACAGAGTCTCGCTATGTTGCCCAGGCTGGTCTCGAACTCCTGGCCTAAAGCAATCCTCTCTCCTTGGCCTCCTAACTGTTGGGAGTGGCATGAGCCACCATGCCATTCAGTGTTTGTGTTCCTTATCCCCATTATACAGATGTGGAAACTGAGGCCCAAGTTGTCAGAATCTCTTTCCTTTGGATGTTCTGCACTTATCTAGCCTGAATCCTCCAGGCCTGGAGCTAGGACTCTCTCCTGTCTTTCACTTTGATTGGTGGCCTCAGAGGCAGGGCCTGGGTGTCTTCTGGCATGAGGGCTGAGCAGGCATTTGCCTGCCACCAGCTCTAAGGGTCCCAGGAAGAAGGAGACCAAGAGGCTGGACATTCCTTGCTACAAACTCCAGCGTTCTAAGCACGGGGAGGCCTGGGGCGCAGCAGGGTGAAGGTGCCATTGCTGAGGGGTTTTAATGCTGTTCCCAAACAGCTCTGCCCTCAAAATGGACAGCCCTCAGTTTCCCTACAGAGCCTGGGTCTGGAGGTTACCCTTTGGGTGTTTCTTACCTCCCTGCCAGGTCTGCAAGGTCAGAGAAAACATAAACTCTTCTTGTCCCACCCTCAAGAAGGCAAGGTCTCTGAGAGCTCTGGGGCTGCCCTCACCTGTGAGCTCCCATGAAGTCTCACCCAGGATCACACGGTGGGTAGAGGCAGAGGAGGGCTCTTACTGGGGTCTTTAGACTGAAACCCGCCTTTGTTCCCAGGACACTTTTGTTTTCCAAAACATTTTAGGTAAGGAAGTCTCTGTTTGCCCAAGTGACATACTATGTGTAACCCTGAGAAAACAGAGAAAAGGGCCATGACTCGTGGAACACGGTTGAAAATCTTGCCTCTCTGCTGCTCAGCTCCTCAAGGGCAGGGGCAGGGGTGGGGTCATCCCATTTTTCCCTCTATCTTTCATGATGTCCAGTGCTGGCCAGGCCACCAGCTGGATTCCATTTGTAGTGCTGTGTTGTGTGGCCTACAGAGTGATTTTTATTTTACTTTTAATTTTTTAATAAGCTTTTTTTGCATAATTTACATACTGTAAAATGCTCCCTTTTTGGTGTACAGTTGTATGAATTTTGTCAGATCACCACCATAATCAATACATTAGATCATTTCCATCACTCCCCAAAATGTAACCCCCGCCATCTCCCTTTCGGGCAATCCCTGCCCCCATCTCCAATCCTTGTTAGCCACCATCTGTTTTCTGTCCCTATAGTTTTGCCTTTTCTAGAATGTCCTAGAAATGGAATCCTACACTATGGAGACTTTTGAGTCAGAGTGCCTTGACTTAGCAGAATGCATTTGAGATTAGGTATTTTATTTTATTGCATGTCTCGGTAGTTTATTCCTCTTTCTTGCTGATTAGTATTCTGTCATGGACATACCACAATTCATTTATCCATTCCCCAGGCAAGGGACATTTGGATTGGTGTTTACAGATAAAGCCATTATAAACATTCATAGATAGATTTTTGTGTGAACATAAATTTTTATTTCTCTTGGGTAAATACTTAGGAGTGGAATTGCTGGGTCACATAGTAAGAGTATGTTTAACTTTATATGAAACTGCCAAATGGTTTCCAATGTAATGGTACCATTTTGCATTCCTGCCAGCAAGGTAAGAGAGTTCCAATTGCCCAGCATATTCATTCACCAGCACTTGGTATTGGGAGTTTTTTTTTAAAAAAATGTAGCCATCCTAACAAGTGCACAGCATTAACTTATTGTGGTTTTAATTTGCATTTTCCTAAAGATTAATGTTAGGCATCTATTCATGGGCTCTTGTCCATCTGTAAGTCTCATTTGAAGAGTCCAACTCTTTTGCTTATTTTGTTTTTAATTGGGTTTTGAGAGTAATTTATATATTCTGGATACATTACAAAGTGTTTTTAAAAATAAGAATCTGTCACAGCCAAATAAATGAAGCAGTAAAAAAGAATCAGAATCTGTTTAAAATATTTAAAGGGACTCCTAGAGATCTCACGTAGACATGGATTTCTGGTTTCATTTGTTTTTAAAAAGGAAGATATGACAAGGCTGAGCTCAGCATCCCACGTGGCCACAATGGCAATGGCTGGTGGTGCTTGCACCCTTGCTGGGCTGTGTTCTCCAGTCTCTTTACATACCAACCTGGCTCCTGTGGGCATTTGCGTTTGAGACCCCCTGAATAACACATTCTTTGTTTGACCCATGATGTGTGTTGTCTGCATATAGAGCGCCCCCTGGGGCTGAGTTCAGGTTTTGCACTGCTTTTCTTCCCATCTTCCCAATTGCCCCTTAACGGGGACTGAATCCCTCAAGCCCACTTATTCAAATAACCACAAGATCCCTCTTTCTGCCCTTTGGTTCCTTGATGTTCCCACCTGTCCACCATACTGTGCCATTTGCATGGTAGTTTATGTGGGTAGCATCCCTTAGAGTTGTGCAGCGTGCAACCCTCACTGCCAAACATGCTGGTCCTCTTTGTTCTTCCCTAGCCCAGGGCTCTGGTGTTTGCTGTTTGCTCACCAGGTAGGAAGATGCTATGTCGCAGAGACCAGAACCTGATGTTGTCCCAAGACAAGCTCCCCTCTTGGCTTTTGGTTTTAAAAGTATAATTTCACTGCAAGGATTTTACTGGACCAGTGGTTCTCAAACTTGAGCACGCACCAGTATCCCTTGGAAGGTTTGCCGAAACACAGATTACTGAGTTCCACTCCCAGAGTATCTGGTTCAGTAAGTATTAAGATGGCGTAAAAATGAATGTGCATTTGAAACAAATTTCCAGGTGGTGCAGGAGCTGCTGGTCCAGGACCACACTTTGAGGATTACCGTATTAGATTATCCTGTCAGGGAGAGGGAGGAGGAGAGAGACTCTGAGTGGAGGAGGTTGACTTTGGGAGAGGAGGTGATGAGAGGAAAATTAAAGTCCCTGAGAGTGTGAATTCTATAATCCTTAAAGTAGTAGGACAGTACCTGGGAAGAGGGGGGTGGTGGTCCCTCCAAAGGAAACAGCTACACCTAGAGTGGCTGGACTGAGTTTCTAGGCCTTGGCAAAGATCCTATGCTCAGGTGTGGCTGGAGGCATCATAGCTGCAGCCTCTGAGGGACCCTGTAGTGTTGTGCAGCTCTGCTGTGGGGTGGGGACCCATCAACAGTGACCAGTCAGGCTGCTGGGAGGGTGCTTGGAGTCATATTTCTTTAGTCTTATTATTTACTATTTATTAAAAATATTTTCCAAGCTTTATTGAAGTATACTTGGCAAGTTAAAATTGTATATATTTGCAGTGTACAATGTGATATTTTTGAAATACATACACATTATGAAATAATTACCAACATCAAGCTAATTAACATGACCATCACCTTACATAATTGTGTGTGTGTGTGTTGGGAATATTTAAGATCTATTCTCTTAGTAAATTTAAAGTATACAGTATGACTTTAACTATAGTCACCATACTGTACCTTAGATATCCACAACTTATTCATTCTTCAAAGCTGAAACTTTGATCCCTTTGACCATTTCCCACAGCCCTAGCACTGACAACCACTATTCTATTCAATCTTCTGTGAGTTCAGCTTTTTAAGATTCCACATATAAGTGAGATCATACAGTATTTGTCTTTCTGTTTGGCTTTTTCACTTAACATTATGTCCTCCAGGTTCACCCATGTTGTCACAAGTGACTGGATTTCCTTTTACTCTAAGACTGGATAGTATTCCATTGTATGTGTGCAACACACACACACACACACAATTTTCTTTATCCATTCATTCATTGATGTAGTCTTAGTTGTATGGAACATGATGATGTTCCATATCTTGGCTATTGTGAATATTGCTGCAGTGAACTTGAGAGTCTATTTGAGATACTGATTTCACATCCTCCAGATATATACCTGGAAGTGGATTGCTCGATCATATGGTTGTTCTAGTTTTAACGTTTTGAGGAACATCCATAATGTTTTCCATAATGGCTGTACCAATTTACATTCCCAACAACAGTGTATGAGGGTTCATTTTTCTCTACATTCTTTCAAATACGTACCTTTTGTCTTTTTGATTATGGCAGTTCTAATAGGTGTGAGGTGATCTCATTGTGGTTTTGATTTACATTTCCCTCATTAGTGATATTGAGCATTTTTTAATATACCTGTTGGCCACTTGTGTGTCTTCTTTTGAGAAATGTCTACTTAGGTCATTTGTCCTTTTAAAAATTGGGTTGTTTCCTTGCTATTGAGTTGCTTGAGTTCCTTATATATTTTTGAAATTAATCCATTATCAGACATATTGTTTGCAAATATTTTCTCCTATCCCATAGATTATCTCTTAACTCCTATTCCACAGGTTGTTTCCTTTGCTATGCAGAAGCTTTGTAGTTTGATGTAATTCCATTTGTCTATTTTTGCTTTTGTTGCCTGTGCTTTTGAGGCCATATCCAAAAAATCATTGCCTAGATCAATGTCAAGAAGCTTTTTCACTGTGTTTTCTTCTAGTAGTTTTATTGTTTAGGCTTTGTGTTTAAGTCTTTACTCCATCTTGAGTTGATTTCTGTATATGATGTGAGATAAATGTCCAATTCCATTGTTCTGCCTTTGAATATCTAATTTTCCCAACATCATTTATTGAAGAGATTGTCCTTCCCCCATTTGTGTTCTTGGCACCTTAGTCAAAGATCAATTGACTGTAAATGTGTGGACCTATTCTGGGGCTGTCTATTCTACTCCACTGGTCTACATGTCTGTTTTTATGCTGGTATCAGGCTGTTTGATTACTATAGCTTTGTCCTATATTTTAAAATCAAGTAGTGTGATGCATCCAGCTTTGTTCTTCTTGCTCAAGATTTCTTGTCTGTTTAGGATGTATTGTGGTTCCATATGAATTTTAGAATTGTTTTTTCTATTACTGTAAAAAATACCGTTGGGAATTTTGAAGGGATTGCATTGAATCTACAGTTTGATTTGGGTAGGGCTATAGTTTGAATGTGTTCCCCCAGAAACATGTGTTGTAAACTTAATCCCCAATGTGACAGTGTTGGCAGATGGGGCCTAATGGGAGGTGTTTAGGTCATGAGGTCTCCACCCTCCTGAATGAATTAATACCTATTGTAAAAAGATTTGAGGCTGTGAACTAGATCTTTTGTTCTCTTTCACCCTCTCTTTGACTTTACACCATGGATGACACAGCAAGAAGGCCCTCACCAGATGACAGCCCCTCAATCTTGGATTTCCTAGACTCCAGAGCTGTAAGACATAAATTTCTTTTCTTTGTAAATAACCCAGTCTCTGGTATCCTGTTATTACATGCACAAAGCAGACTAAGACAGGCAGTATGGATATTTTAATAATATTAATTCTTCAAATCCAGGAACATGAGATATCTTTCCATTTATTTGTGTCTTCTTCAATTTCTTTCATCAGTGTGTTACAGTTCTCGATGTACAGATCTTTCACTTCCTTGGTTAAATTCATTCCTGAATTTTTTTGATGCTGTTGTACATGGGATTGTATTCTTAATTTATTTTTCAAATATTTTGTTGTTAGTATAGAGAAATCCCACTGATTAAAATTTTTTTTTAAGAGATGGGGTCTTGCTGTGTTGCCAAGGCTGGCCTCAAACTCCTAGGCTCAAGTTATCCCATTGTCTCAGCCTCTCAAGTAGCTAGGACTACAAGTGATCACCATCATGCTTGGAATCCACTGATTTTTGTATGCTCATTTTGTATCCTGCAACTTCACTGAATTCTTTTATTAGTTTTAACAATTTGTGGTGGAGTCTTTGGGGTTTTCTATATTTAAGATGTTGTCAGCTGAGTGCGATGGCTCACACCTGTAATCCCAGCACTTTGGGAAGCTGAGGCAGGCAATCAGATCACTTGAGCTCAGGAGTTAACCAGCCTGGGCAACATGGTAAAACCCCATCTTTACAAAAAAATTAGCCAGGTGTGGTGATGTACCTCTGTAGTCACAGCTACCTGGGAGGCTGAGCTTGGAGGATGGCTTGAGCCTGGGAGGCAGATTGTGCCATGGCACTCTGGCTTGGGTGACAGAGCCAGACCTTGTCTCCAAAAAAGAAAAGAAAAAAAATATGTTGTCATCTGCAAACAGTGACATTTTCCTTCTTCCTTTCTGATTGGGATGACTTTTACTTCTTTTTATTGCCTAATTGTTCTGGTTAGAACTTCCAGTACTATATTAAATAGAAACAGTAATAGTGGGCATTCCTGTCTTGCTTCTGATATTAGAGGAAAAGCTTTCAACTTTTCATCATTGAGTACCATGTTACTGGTGGGCTTGTCATACATGGCCTTAATTATGTTCAGGTACATTCCTTCTGTATGTATTTGTTGAGCATTTTTAATCATAAAAGGATGCTGAATTTTGTAAATTGTTTTTTATGCCGTCTATTGAGATGATTATGTAATTTTTATCATTCATTTTGTTAACGTGGTGTATCACATTTATTGATTTGCATGTTAAACTATTCTTACATCCCAGGGATACATCTCACTAGATTATGGTGTATAATCCTGTGCTCTTGGTGTATAATTCATGTGCTGTTGAATTCTGTTTGCTAGTATTTTGTTGAAAATTTTTTTCTGTTCATTAGAGTTAATGACCTATAATTTTCTTTTCTGTATTGACCTTATCTGGCTTTGGTGTCAAGGGATGCTGGCCTTGCAAAATTAGTTTGGAAGTGTTCCTTCCCCTTCAGTATTTTGGAAGAATTTCAGAAGGATTAGCATTAAATCTTTAAAAAATATTCAGTGGAATTCACCAGTAAAGCCATCAGGTCCTAGGCATTTTTTTTTTTTTTTGGTTGGGAATTTTTTGATTACTGATTCGATATCATTAGTCATTATTGATCTATTCAGGTTTTCTATTTCTTCATAATTCAGTCTTGGAAGTTTGTATGCTTCTAGGAATTTATCTATTTCTTCCAGGTTGTCTAGTTTGTTGGTGTACAATTTTTATAGCAGTCTCTTATAATCCTTTGCCTATTGGTGGTATCAATCATAATGTCTCCTTTTTTGTTTATAATTTTATTTATTTTAAATTATCTTTATTTTCTTATTCTAGCTAAAGATTTGTCATTTTTTTCAACAAACTAAGCATTCGTTTCATCAGTCTTTTCTACTATTTATTTAGCTGTTTCATTAATTTTGCTCTGATTTTTATTAATTCCGTTTTTTCTGTTAGCTGCTTTTGCTGCATCTCTTAAGTTTTGAAATGCAATGTTTCTATTTTCATTTGTCTCTCTCTCTTTTTTTTTTTTTTTGACAGGGTCTCACTCTGGTCACCCAGGCTGGAGTGCAGGGGCACAATCTCAGCTCACTGCAGTCTCAAACTCCTGACTCAAGGGATCCTCCCACCTCAGTAGCTTGGATGACAGGCACACGTCACCATGCCCAACTAATTTAAAAAATTTTTTTTAGAGACAGGGTCTCACTATGTAGCCCAGGCAGGTCTCAAGCTCCTGGACTCAAGAGAGCCTCTTGCCTTGGCCTCCCAAAGTGCTGACATTACAGGTGTGAGCCACATGCCTGGCCTCAAGATATATTTTATTTCCATTCTGATTTCTCTTTTTATCCATTGGTTGTTCAAAAGTGTGTTGTTTAATTTCCACATGCTTGTGAATTTTTCAATTTTCCTCTTGTTATTGATTTCTAGTTTCATAGCATTGTGGTTAGAGAATATATTGGACATAATTTTGATTTTGTTAGGTTTGTTAAGACTTGTTTTGTGGTCTAACATATCCTGGAGAATGTTCTGTGTGTGCTAGAAAAGAATGTATATTTTGTGACTGTTGAATGGAATGTTTTGTATGTTTGTTAGGTCCACTTGGTCTATAGTATTGTTCAATCCTGCTTTTCCTTATTGATTTTCTGTCAGATAATCTATCCATTGTTGGAAGTGGGATACTGAAGACCCCTGCTATTATTGTATTGCTCTCTATTTCTCCCTTCAGTTCTGTTAATATTTGCTTTATATATTTAGGTGCTCCAATGTTAAGTGCATATATAGTCATAATTGTTATATACTTTGGATGCATTGACCTCGTTATCATTATATAATGACCTTCTTTGTCTCTCATGACAGTTTTTGATCGAAAGTCCATTTTGTGTGAAATAAGAGTAGCCACCCCTACTCTCTTGGGTGGGATATCTTTTTTCATCTTTTTTCATCCATATCTTAGGTGGGATATCATTTGTTTGGAATATCTTTTTTCATCCTTTCACTTTCAGCCTATGTGTGAAGCCATAGCCAACTCACTTAAAATGAGTCTCTTGTAGGCAGTATATAGCTGAATATTATTTTTAAAATCCATTAAACCATTCTATGTTTTTTGATTGAACAACTTAATCCATTAACATTTAAAGTAATTATTGATAGGTAAAGGCTTATTATTGCCATTTTGTTAATTGTTTTCTGTTTTGTAGTTTATTTGTTTCTTTCTTTTTTCTCTTTCTGTCTTTTTTTGTGATTTAGGGATTTTTATAGTGGTGTGCTTCATTCCTTTCTATTTCTTTTTTGTGTATCTACTATGCGTTTTTCTTTTTGTTTATCATGAAACTTACATAAAACGTCTTACGTTATAACATCCTAATTTAAGCTGTTAACAATTTAACTTCTACAACATTCAAAAACCCTACACTTTAACTTCTCCTCCCCCCTCATTTTATGTTATTAATGTCGCAATTTACATCTTTTATATATTGTGTATGCATTAACAAATTATTGTAGTGGTAGTTATTTTTAATACTTTGTCATTTTATTTTTATACTAGAATTAAAAGTGATTTACACATTACTATTAAATAATTAGAGTATTCTGAATTTGATTATATTCTTATCTATATAGTGAGTTTTATATTTTCCACATATCTTCTTGTTGTTAGTTAGTGTCCTTTAATTTCAACTTGAAGAACTCCCATTAGTACTTCTTGTAAGCCAGGTCTAGCTGATGAACACCCATAGCTTTTGCTTGTCCAGGAGTCTTTTTCTCTCCTAATTTTTGGAGAACAGCTCTGCTGGGTATAGTATTTTTGGTTGCTAGTTTTTTTTTTCTTTCAGCACTTTGAATATGTTATCAAACTCTCTCATGGCCTGTAAGGTTTCTGTTGAGAAATCTACTCATCATCTTATCAATGTTCCTTTGTATGTGATGAGTCATTTTTTTTGCTTCTTTCAAAATTCTCTTTGTCTTTAACTTTTGAGAATTTGAATTTAACATGTCTTGGTGAAGATCTCTTAATATTTAATCTATTTGTAGTTCTTTGAGCTTCATGACTCTGAATATTCATTTCTCTCTTCAGATTTGGAAAATTTTCTGTAAGTATGTTTTTAAATAAGCTTTCTGTTTCTTTCTCTTTCTCTGCTCTTTCAGGGGTCCTGTAATGTGAATATTAGTTTGTTTGATCTCTCATTAGTCCTGTACACTTTCTTTACTGTTTTCTATTCTCTTTTCTTTCTATTCCTCTGACTAATTTCAAATGACCTGTCTTTGAGCTTGCTGGTTTTTTTTTCTTCTGTGTGGTTAAATTGGCTGTTTAAGCCTTCTATGAAATCTTTCAGTTCAGTCATGTGTTCTTCAGTTCCATAATTTCTGTTTGGTTCTTTATTATGGTTTATATCTCTTTGTTGAGCTTCTAATTTTGTTTACATATTACTTTCCTTATATCATTTAATGGTCTATCTGAGCTCTTTCGTAGCTCACTGTGCTTCTTTAAGAAAATTATTTTGAACTCTTTGCCAGGCAGTTCGTAGATCTCCATTTCTTTAAGATCAGTTACTGGTGCTTTGTTGGATTCCTTTAGTGGTATCTTATTTTCCTAATTATTCGTGTTCCTTGTAGCCTTGCATTGGCATCTGCAGATTTGAAGAAGTAGGCCCCTCTTCTAGTCTTCATGGACTGGATTTGGCAAGAAAAGTCCTTCATCAGTCAGCCATTCAGAAACTCTGGGAAGCCTATCTGGTAACGTCCATGGGCAGGTTTGCTGCTAGAGTTTGAGGACTAGGCATGGTCCCTGGTCACTGGACTGGCAGGTGGGGCTGGTGCCTGGGTCTATGGGGCAGGCCTGGTGCCAAGGTCCACAGGAGCCAATCTGGCACTGGGACAGACCTTGAGCTGGAGTCCACTGGCACCAGCTGGGTGCTGGGATGGGCTAGGTCCTGTATCTACAGGGGCTGGCCTGGCACCAAGGCCCCCTGGGAACGACTGTAGAACTTGAGTTCAGAGGAATGGGCCTGGATACTGGGTCTGTAGGGGTGAGTCCATAGGGGCAGGCCTGGAGGCTGGGTCCACAAGGGCTTGCCTGGTGCCTGGGCCTATAGGGCCAGCTTGGTGCTGGGGCAGGCCTGGAGCCTGAAGCTACAAGGGCTGGCCTGGACCCTTTGTCCATGGGACTGGCCTGGTGTGATGGTAGAGTTGGAGGCTGGGTCTTCAAGGGACAGCCTGGCCCTGGGGTGGGCCTGGAGCCTGGTGTTAAGGCATGCCTGGAGCCTGGGGCCATGGGTCTGGCCTGGGGTCACAGGGGCTGACCTGGTGTCATGGTTCACTGGGGCAGACCTGGTATTGGGGTCTATAGTGAAATCAGGTCTGTGCTGTGCTGCCCAGATTTAGGGGAGGGGTGAAGCTGTCCTTTCTACCTTTCTCAAAGTGTTTTTTCTTATTTTTGTGCTCCATCCAGGTACTGTAATGTTTCACCTGGATTCCTTAGCTTTTGTGAAGATATTTTTGTGCATGGATGGTTGTTCAAATGGATGTTTCTGGAAGGGAATATGTGCTGAAATCCTAGTCTCCCTTCATGCTGACATCACTCTCCAACCTTAGTTTGATTTAGAAAAATACAATAATGACTTTAAAAAAACACACACACCTAAGATGATGGAGTAAAATTCATGCCTGCTATACATGATTTAATTTTAATCATTTCTATCTTCACAACTGCAGTTTAGCCAACAACAAAATAATTCTATCTTTCTTGAGCATGGAGAAACTGATGATGGAAAGAAGTCAGTGAAGGATAAAATTGGTTTGTGGATTATCTGCAAAGTGGAATAATCAAGAGTTGGTTAAAATTACTGCTAGCTCTCCCCATCATCAAAATTTATAAACAACAACAACAACATTAACAATAGTGTTAAAAGCATTAGCCAGGTGCTGAGGATCTACTGTGTTAGATACTGAGTGCAAGGATCTCCAATTATGTTATTTAGTTGAATTGCCTGAAAGCCCGGTAAGGTAGGAATTTATTATTCCCACTTTATAAATAGGAGAAACTGAGGTTGAATAACTTTTTTGAAAGCACAGAGCCAGATCTTACTCTGCTTACATGGGGGATTATACAGCTGCAACAGCATAATCTCTCAAGTCAACCTGCACAGAAAAGAATGCATCATAGGCAAGGTACAGGGTGATATCAAATGGCCAGTGATAGAGGAGAAATGGACTTTGGGAGGGTCTGGATATAGAGAGCCAACTTTGGCCTTGGAGTCTGTTTCTCTCTGCACGTCAGCTGCATCTTTCTTTCCTTTCAGACATACCTCACTTGCCTGTGGTCCAGTTTGGATAGTCCCAGCACAGCTTTACAGGAATAGGCCCCAAACCGAACTTCCAAGGAGGAAGGATCTGATCGGCTCAGCTTGGGTAAAGTGTCTGCCCTTGGTCCAGGTGGCTGTTTCCAGGGAGGGTGGAGTAGGGAACTATAAATAAGGCTGTGGGGGAGGGGGACAGAGGTCAAGCCCCGAGTAGAAGGTGTGTTCTCTGAGCAGACACCTCCCTATTGTGTAGGGCAACCTGAGGCTCTGAGAAATAATTTGTCTAATATCACCCAGCTCACGATGGACCCAGAATGGAACCACTTCCTGAGGTTTTTGAGTCAGGCAGACCTGGGTCTCAACCTTGGCCATACTGTGTAACCTTGGGCAAGTCCTTGAGCCCCCAAAACCTTAGTTTTCTCTATTCTAAAATCTAGAAAATATAAACTGCCGCATAGGATTGTTGTGTAGTGTAGATAATGTCCACTCAGCTCCCCACACGTAATAGACTCTAGTGTTAGCATCAGGCATCTCTAGGTTATGGGATGGCAGCTCGTTGGGCTTTTCTTTCCCACAATAGCTATATTGACCATAATTTCAAAATAAGAGAGAACGAATAAGTGTTCATTCCTTTTGTCTTGTACTTCTTGCATCTTGAGTCTATTATTAACCTCTGTGTGACCACCCAGCAGCTATTTGAATGCCACAGGGCCTCAATTTTCCCATCTGTAAAATGGCACAGTCATTCCCCACTCCCAATCATCTCCAGTGGCAGAGGTGAAGTTCTGGTGGGCCCAGGGATATGAAAGAAGACACCTCAAGGGAAACAATAATTTATTGCAACAGTTAAGAAAGAAAAAAAAGCCTGCATAGGGCTGAAAACTGGTTGGCTCTTTCTCTAATAGAGGTCCAGTATTGCCAGACATTCCGATTTTTTTTTTTTTCTGGAGACAGAATCTCGCTCTGTTGCCCATGCTGGAGTGCAGTGGCATAATCTTGGCTCACTGCAACCTCCACCACCTAGGTTCAGGCAATTCTCCTGCCTCAGCCTCCTGAGTAGCTGAGATTACAAGCATGCAGCACTATCCCCAGCTAACTTTTGTATTTGTTTTAGTAGAGATGGGATTTCACCATGTTGGCCAGGCTGGTCTCAAACTCTTGACTTTAAGTGTCACCCGCCCCAGCCTCCCAAAGTGCTGGGATTACAGGTGTGAGCCATCATGCCTGGCTACATTCTGATTTTTGAAAAGAAATTAGAAAGTATTTTATTTCTTTAAGAAATATTCAAATATCTGATATTTTTTCTCAATCTTTTAAAGTGTTTGAATATTCAAATTGATATTTAAATTAAAAATCATCATGGGGGCAAATAAGGCATTCCCTGGGGCCACCTTTTGAGACAACTCTTCAAAGGGAGGCAGGGAAATTTGGGGTCTTGCTTTGAAAGCTGTTCCCCACTCAAGCTCTGGTCCAAGCCTCTGACCAGGCTACAGAATTCCTGACCTCCACCGTCCCCACCGGAAGCCTCCTCCCTGCCTGGTGCCAGGGATGACTTCAGCTGGAAGACAAAGGGGCCTTCATGTTCAAAGGCCGGCAAGACGGTTCATCCTCTATCCTCCACAAACAAACAGGGTGGCTTTGATCTGGGTGGGGGTGGAGGCAGCAGCTCCAATTAGGAGATCAGCCCGTGTCTGGGCTAAAGAATGTTTGTAATAAAATAAAAGATCTAAGTGGCTGTAATGAAGGGTAATAGAAAAATGGTGTCACTCGGGATTCTCTCTGTGTTGCTCCATTTGAAGTGGATTAACTGACTGGTACAGGAGAGGGGACTAGGGGCCAGTCCCCAGAGCCTCTCCAAGCCTTCATCCTGACCTCTGCTCTGGGGTTGAGTGGGCACTACTGGGTGCACTCAGGAAGGAAGCTAGGAGAGACAGCATGACCCTATTTTCTTTTCTTTCTTCTCTTTCTTTCTTTCTTTCTCTCTCTCTTTCTCTTTCTTTCTTTCTTTCTCTCTTTCTCTCTCTCTTCTTTCTTTCTCTCTCTTTCTCTGTCTCTCTCTTTCTTCTTTCTTTTTCTCTCTTGCTGTCTCTCTTTCTTTCTCTCTCTTTCTTTTCTTTCTCTCTTTCTCTCTCTCTTTCTTTCTCTTTCTCTGTCTCTTTCTTCTTTCTTTTTCTCTCTTGCTCTCTTTCTTTCTCTCTCTTTCTTTCTTCTTTCTCTCTCTCTCGCTGTCTCTCTTTCTCTTTCTTTCTTTCTTTCTCTCTCTTTCTCTTCTTTCTTTCTTTCCCTTCCTTCCTTCCTTCTTTCCTTCCTTCCTTCCTTCTTTCCTTTCTTTTTTTCTGAGACAAGGTCTCTTTGTGTCACCCAGACTTGCGTGTAGTAGTGCAATCATGGCTCACTGTCACCTCAACCTCCTGGGCTCAAGCGATCCTCTCACGTCAGCCTCTCAAGTAGATGGGACCAGGCATGCGCCATCATGCCCAACTGATTTTTAATTTTTTTGTAGAGATGGGGTCCTGCTATTTCGCCTAGGCTGGTCTTGCATTCCTGGGCTCAAGCGATCCACCCACCTTGCCTCTGGAGGTGTTGGGATTACAGGCACGGTGGCTCGTGCCTGGCCAGACCTTCTTTTCTGAAGCATGAAACTCCTCACCTTTGCAGACACAGCCACTTCCACCCTCCTTCACTTGACACATTTAAATCAAGGTGGTCCCCAGTGACTCTCCTTTGGGGAAAGATGTTCCTGCTGTTCCTGGCTTTTGTTATCCTGCTGTGAGGTTGCTTCACTCTTGGAGCCTACTGCATGGAGTTCAGTCTTGCATTACAGCAGGGCTTGGGCTATTTCCTGCTACAAACTCTTTCTTTGAGGGCAGGAACCCTTGTGGATTGAGGATGGCACAGTTCTTCCTCAGCTTTTACATCCACTGGACTCAGTGTGGAGGAAGCTTGCAGGAAAGACTTTGAGTTAGAGTCAACGGTTTGATATGCAAACTTACAAAAA
Source organism: Homo sapiens (assembly GCF_000001405.40). Lineage (NCBI taxonomy): Eukaryota > Metazoa > Chordata > Mammalia > Primates > Hominidae > Homo > Homo sapiens. The sequence goes on from NC_000016.10 coordinate 50,522,068, forward strand.
AGGAGGCACAGAGGTGGTATCTCCAACATGCCAACTGCTTTGTGTTCATTATCAGGACTGACACATATGGTTGCTCAGATTGTGCACTGCACAATCACCAGGTATGCCTTCTACAGCTTAGGGAATGATTCCTTTCATCATTCCATTTATCTTCATGATAATGCTGCGAGGCAGTCATTTGGCTCTCAAATGAGGAAACTGAGGCTCCAAGGGGCTGAATGATATCCCCCAAAAAAGATGACTGAACTAGGAATATGGAGCCTTCTGGACCCCCTGAAGCTCTCGTGTCACCACATCGGGCTGCAATGCTGAGTATGTATTTAGTGCTGAAATGCACAGTGCATGTGTACACTAACCCCTTATACATCCTGATGAGGTGGTGAAAGTCATTATTATCTCTGTGTTACAGATGAGGAAGCGGAGGGAGAGTGGACTGGAAGGAACTTGACCCAGGATGCTGAGTAAGCAGAGCTGTGAATATTTGAGTTCAAGCAGTTGGGCTCCCAAAGCCGGTGATGTTAACCCTAAGCACCTTGTCATCATTATAATAGTAATACTTCATTTCTAGCTACTCAGTCTGATATGTTTTTCTTCCTTTTAAATTGGCGATTGCATTCACTGGAGAAAGCCTGGGGAGACAACATTTATTCTGTCCCAGACCATATTTGTCCCTTCCAAGTGGACAAATAATAAGTCCACTAATTATTGTCCTGCTGAGGGACAAACAAGAAGTCCCTCTAGGACTTACCGGGGTGTAGGGTCTTCTCCCTTCTTGGTTCCCTAATCATCCAGCACCCCTCTCCCCAGGAGCCACCTGCAGATGAGTCCTTTCTGTTCTAGAGGCAGCAGGAGCCATCCCCACTCTCTCTCCCTCCCTGTGAGAGGGTCATGCTTCCAGGGAAACTCCCTGAGCACACACACACTGTCTGGATTTATCCACCATATATAGAATTGAGGGCAGGCCTTTCTTGACATGGAATTCTTTTATTTTTAATTTTTTGTTTCTAATTATTAGCTGCAGTTAATTTGGTATGACATAACATCCATTGCTTCTAAATTACCAGTGAGTAGATATAGTTTGGACATTAGCCTCATTCTTATCTAATCAGTGACACGAGAAGCAACATTTTAAAGACAATAAGGGACCAGGTATGATGGCTCACGCCTGTAATCTCAGCATTTTGGGAGGTTGAAGAGGGAGGATTGCTTGAGCCCAGGAATTTGAGATCAGCCTGGGCAACATGGCAAAACCCTGTCTCTACAAAAACTTTAAAAATTAGCTGGGCATGGTGACACTCACCTGTGATCCGAGCTGTTCAGGAGGCTGAGGCAGGAGGATCACTTGAGCCCAGGAATTTGAGGTTGCAGTGAGCTATGATCATGCCACTGCACTCTAGCCTGGGCAACAGAGCCAGACCCTGTCTCAGAAAAAAAAAAAAAAAGACAGTAGAGAGAATCCCAAGGAAGCAACCATCTTCCATCCTCCTAGTGGCTGGAAGAGGGAGACAATCCAAGGAAGGGCAGTTCTGGATTTGTGACTCTGATTTAGCTCTTGAAACAGGAGGTCACCGAGCCTAGGAGGTTGAACCAGTTCTTGGCTGAGCAAGGACAATCAAATCAGGAGGTCTCCCTGGAGGCACCTTTGGAGACACACATGTGTTTTTCTGGCCACAGACTTTTAAAATCCATCTTGCTTTTGAATTAGGTTCATGAAGTCATACCTCTGCCTCACTGAAGCACCACACACATGGCCGTGTTCACATCTGAGTAGGACCCAAGGCACATCGACGGGGAACCGTTGCCCTTTCCATCTCTCCGGGGTGGATGAGCCTCCTTTGTCAGGAAATGCCAGCTGGCATCCATCGGCCAGGGCTCTCTGGGTCTGCGGAGCACCTGTGTGCTCTCAGGAGCTCCTAGCCAATGACTGAGAACAACATGGTGCTAGGGCTGCCTCCTATCCTGGGGTGTAAGAGGCAGTGTGTGGGGGAATGAGAGGCCTCTTTTCTGAGTGTTGTTTTTCAGAGCTCAGGCTCCAGATCAGATAGACCTGGGTTGAAATCCTGGTTTCAGCCTCAACATATTGTGAGAATTTGGGCAATTCATGTGGCCTCTGTGGGCCTCAGTTTTCTCATCTATAAAAGGGGGATAGTGGTGAGGACTGACCTGTGCAGGGTCAATGTCATGAGTCAACGTGACAATGTATATAAGAAACTTAGCAGTCTGACACCCTGTAAGCTCACAGTGAATGCCACCTATGAGCATTGATATTAGAAGTATTTATTTATTTATTCATTTATTTATTTATTTTTGAGATGTAGTCTTGCTCTGTTGCCCAGGCTGGAGGGCAGTGGTGCGATCTTGGCTCACTGCAAGCTCCGCCTCCCGGGTTCGCGCCATTCTCCTGCCTCAGCCTCCCAAGTAGCTGGGACTACAGGCGCCCACCACCAAGCCCAGCTAATTTTTTTGTATTTTTAGTAGAGACGGGGTTTCACCGTGTTAGCCAGGATGGTCTCGATCTCCTGACCTCGTGATCTGCCCACCTCGGCCTCCCAAATTGCTGAGATTACAGGCATGAGCCACTGCTCCCAGCTGATATTAGAAGTATTATAGATGAGGCATGTTATATACATTCAACTCAACTATACATGCCTGACCAAAGCAGAAAAAAGAAGCAAAAAAGACATTCACACACACACACACACACACACACACACACACACACAATATGGCAGCCATGAACGTGTACCCCTTAAATCTCCCTTTAGGCAAAATTTGCCATTCAGCTACAAGAAGTGCAGTTGGCAGACAGCCTTCAACTTCAGCATCTTCAGAGTCTGCCTTGACTTTCAAGCTGAGGCCATGGACTTCTCAGGAGCTCCTAGCCAATGGCTGAGAACAACGTGAGTGCTAGGGCCAAAAGTGATATTCTTTCTTGCCAGTGTGGTGTTCCTCAGATGGGCAGTTGTTGATTTGGAGCTCCCTTTGAAGTTGGCCAAGTCTTTGTCAACTTTGGATCGCAGTCAGAGGCTCCTCCTGCCTGATCCTGCGTCCTCCCTCTTGTATCTTTCTCAGGCATTGCCCCCAAGAAACTGCACTCCTAACTCCATCTCAGCATCTGCTTCCCGGTCTGTCTCATCCCACTGACAAAGAGGTGAGACAGAGATGGGAATGACAGAGAGAGGAGAAGGAGAGGGAGAACAATTTACTTATTATTATTATTTTTCAAGTTCCAATTGTTTAATGGCATGGGCTTAAGAGAGATAACAATTTAAATGGGATGGGCAGAGACAAGTATGTGCTCCAGAGGGAATGCGACGACAGAGAGCAGCCTCAGTCCCCATTCTCCTGTGAGAATGGCTCCTGTCTGAGTATGATTTTCATGCATAATGTCACATGGCCTCTGTATTAGTCAGGGTTCCCCAGTAGGATATGTACATAGAAAGAGATTTATTATAATAAGGCATTCCCTCATGCAATTATAGAGGCTAAGTCCCTATATCTGCAGTTGGCAGGCTGGAGACCCAGGAGAGCTGAAGGTGTAGTTCTAGTCCAAGTCCGAAGACCTGAGAACCAGGAGAGTCAGTGGTATAAGTTTCAGTCTGAACCCTGCAGGTTAGAGACACAGGAAGAATGGATGCTTCCGTCCAAGTCTGAGACCGGAGAAGACACATGTCCCAGCTCAAGCAGTCAGGCAAGAGGAATTCCCTCTTAGCCTTTTTTCTGTTCACGTCTTCAATGGATTGGATGAGGACCATCTACACTGGGGAGGGTGATCTACTTGACTCAGTCTACTGATTCAAATCTTAATCTCCTCCAGAAACACCCTCACAAACACACCCGGAATAGTGTTTAGTCAAATGTCTAAGCACTCCATGGGCCAGTCAAGTTGACACACAAAACTTGCCACCCCAGCTTCCTACAGAAGCCAACTCCCTCAAGAAGAGATGAAGATTCGGCTCTATGTTGGTGGCGTGGCGTTGTGTACCTAGAACAATGGTAGGCCACTCTCTGAGTCCCTGTGGGGATTTTCTAGGGTAAATCAGACCTTGATTCATGTTCACTGTCCTTGCTGATGAGTCCTTATCACCCCCCAGACTGCAACTCCTACAGCCGTTAGATGTTATGCTCACTTTCACCCCATCCCTCAGACTCAGACCTTCGCATTCAATCCCAGGGCTTTGGTCATGGGTAGTTCCAGCTGTCTGCACCTCACAGTTGACAACCCCTCACCTCCTGCCTCCCCAAGGCCACTCTCTCCCCGTCGCACCCAGGCTGCCAGGGTGACTTTCAAAACACTCTTCTTTCACTGTAGACCCATAAGATGTGGGAACTGGCAGGGACTTTAGAGACAGTGCATCCTCTCTGATCTTCCTTGCAGGATTACAGCTGGGAAACTGAGTTCCAAAGGCAGGAAGAGACTTGCCTGGGGAGGCTGCTCTGGTCCTCAGGCCCTGGTCTTCGTGTGGGTCCCCAGGTGTGGTGGAAATGGCGGGGTGGTGAGAGAGGGCTGGGGTCATGATGGATGGAGAGGATGTGAGTAGAGTGATTGGGAGGAGTGGGGATGGGAGGGGGACTTGTGGGTGTGTGGCAGGTGTGTGTGCAATGTGCACACGTCTGCATATGAGCATGTGTGGCTCCTACCAAATGACCCCAGGTGATGGAATCTGGAATGGATGGGGAAAGGGAGTTGGGCAGGAGCCCAGCAGTGTCAGCTAGTTAATAGATAAAACCCATTCTTTGGGATTCTCATTAGGGCGCTGAGGTCTCCATCCACTTCAGACTCAACTTGTGTCCATACAGACCTCACTGAGGGCTTCCAGCAGGCTGTTCTGCTCCCAGCTCTCCTGGGAGGAGTGGGCGTGGGTTTTAATTCTTGCCCAGAGCCCTGCTGACAGGTGGTGCTCTGTCTGGAGGCGAACCTGGGGCCCAGCTCGGTGGAACCATTTTCAGCTGTGTACCCCAGTAAGTGCTTGGCCTTTCAGATCATAGTTTCTCTCATGTGCGTAAGAAGGGGTGGGTCAGGATGGAGGCGGTTTCCAAACACCAGTCTTCCATGCCAACATCTGCCCCCTAGACTTGGCAAAAACCAGAACAATAAGGACAATGCCATAAGTTGTTCATGAAACTAAATGCATCCAGTCTAATGGATTATCCTTTATTCTGAGATGACGTCCTTCCTTTTTTTGATATTCAAATGCCCTTTTGAAAATCAAATGATAGAAACTCTGTGTGTGTGTGCACGTGTGCGCATTTGTATGCTTGTGAATAAAGGCATGCTGATGAAAGAAAGGCAGTGCTTATCATAGTGTGGTCTGAGAATGCCTGGAGGTCCCCAAAACACTTTCAGGGGGTTTAGAAAGTCAAAACTGTTTTCATAATAGTACTAAGATGTCATTTGCCCTTTTTACCCTGTTGACATTTGCACTAGTGGTGCAAGAGCAACAGCCAGTAACCTGCTAGTCTGGTAGCACGCATCAGGCTGGGACGTTCTTGCAGTAAAACAAAAAAGAGAAAAAGAGACAATGTCACTTAAGAATGTCCTTGAAGCAGAAAAATTTATTAACTTCTTCATTTTTCAACCCTTGAGTACAAGACATTTTAATATTCTGTACAACCAAGTGAAGGTGTGCATGAAACATTTCTCCTGCATACTGAAGTATAATAGTTGTCTTAAGGAAAAGTACTTGTGCAATTGAGTTGTTAGCTGACCTAGCTGAACATCATTTTTACTTGAAAAAGGAAGACTAACAGAAAAATTATGGTTATGCAATCTCAAGTATTGGTAGACATTTTCTTGAAAATGAATAAAGTGTGCCAGTCACTTCAAGGAAAATAATGGACCACATTTGTCACCAATGATAAAATTCAGGCTTTCAAGATAATGGAGATAAATGCCTGGAACAGGGTGGCTGTCCAATAAAGTCTGTCTTTCCCCTCTTTCTTCTACTCCTATTTCCTCCTCTTTTTTTTTTTTTTTTTTGACAACGTCTGACTCTATCGCCTAGGCTGGAGTGCACTGGTGCCACCTCAGCTCACTGAAACCTCCGCCTCCCAGGCTCAAGCCATCCTCCCACCTCAGCCTCCTGAATAGCTGGGACTACAGGCACACACCACCACACCCAGTTTATTTTTGTATTTTTCTTTTTTTTGTAGAGATGAAATTTTGCCACATTTCCCAGGTTGGTCTTGACTTCCCTCTCTTCTTGGTAGAGGTTAGCTCCTTGGCCCTGGCTGGCAAAGTGTCTGAAAATTGACACTCTTCAGTGTCAATTTTCCAATGAGATGGGGTAGGAGGTATTGGTTTGGGCACGGAGTAAGCTGCTGTAAGAACAGTCCCCCAAATACAGCAAGTTCAACAAGATGGAAGATTATTGCTCTCATGGAAAACTCTAAGCAAGGAAGGGGTCTGGGAATGGAAGGCAGTTTGACTCCATGAAGTGGATCAGGAATTCAGGTAACTTCCATCCTGTGCTCTGCCCTCTCCATGGTGGAAGCTGGATCTCTGTGCTGTGTCTATGTTTCAGTCTGCAAGAAGGCAGGGAGAAGATGGGAAGGGCTAGCACACATTGCTTCTGTTCACATGCCATTCACATATGGCCACATGTAACTGCCTGGGAGGCTGGAAAGTAGTGTAGTTTCTAGTAATATGGCTATTCTATGACTAAAAAGAAAAAAGGGAGAAAGGATTCTAGGGGATGGATGACAGTTTCTGCCACAATATGAGTGGGGTAGGATCAGAGGAGAAAAATGTGGGAATAGCAGAAATGTAGCACCTATGAGCTCACAGCTTCAAAGAGATGCTCAGGTGAAATCCCAGAGAGGCCCACCTAGACTCAGCACCCTGCTGCTGCTACCTCTTCTCACCTCATCAGTCTGTGCATGGTATGTAGGCCACGTGTCTTTGCATTTCCTCCAAACATCTGAACATGGTGGATCTAGAAGGCACTTTAGAGATCCCCTTTTATTCTGTAAAAGGAGAGGCACAGCCCCAGAGACAGAAGACTCTTGACCAATGACACACAGCAAGTCAGAGTTGGGATTGGGACTAGAACCAAGCTTTCCCACTCCCCAGGCCCATAGCTCTCTTGCCATAGCCCACAATATCTCTTTGATGATGCACCAGGCCCTTTCCCTTCTGATACATCAGATGGCTCCCTCCCTGAGCTGACCACCTGATTCCTTATCCTCTGTTACCTTGAAAAGCATGAATATACGTTAAATAGGAAAGGAATGAAGCAAACATGTATCACACAGTCGAAAAGAAGAATAGGCATAGGCATGTAGTGTAAGAAAGGTTATTCAGGGAAGGGGCATTTCCATCCCTTTTTATTCATACACCACCCAAGAGTCTTTTGAATGCAGGTGCAAAAATCCCACTGAAACCTGCTTACAAAATTAAGGAGGATTTATTGGCTTATATAGTCTCCAATTCCATATTTTTAGGATGGGTCACTTTTAACACCCTACTCCTGATACCAATTTCTACATCACTTGAGATGTCTTGTTGACAAGCAGTAACAATGGGCTCTGACTAAACTGAGACTTTTGGGCATTTATTGGAATAATCCTGGGGTGGTCTCAATGAAAGGACTGAAGAAAGGGCTGAAGAACCAGATCTGGAACTTATATCTCAGAGGATATCAGCAGCAGAAGAGTCTGCTACCTTCCAACCCTGAGTCTGTATGCAGAGGCAAAGTGTGGGCAAAGGAATTCTGGTTGCATGCCTACCCTATCTGATACCAGAAGAAAATGGGGTAAACATGGGGAGCTATGACAGATAAAAACAATCACCATTATGCCTTTAATTTCCCCTATAAATGCATACTATCATTATCCACATTCGCTTATTAGATTTGTATTTTTTCTCATTTTAACTTAAAGAAATATGTATAGTTCTTATTGATGGCATCTTTCTAATGGGAGGCAGTACATGTAATACAACTTCTTGGCTTAATACTTACTAACTACATAACTTGGGCAAGTTACTCAACTTCTCTGAGACTTGATTTCTTCATTTTTAAGATGGGGATAAGAATTCCTTGTAGGGTATTTGAGATCATTAAGATAACTAATGCATGAAAGGATTTTAAAGTAGAGTGGTGGCCATTTTTATCATTTAAATTTTCCTCTCTCTTTACTGTCTTAGGCTGGATTCCCAGAAGCAGACTCTTAGTGAAGGAAATGTATAGGGGATGAGAAAGTGGGGCAGGGAAGGGAAGCAGATCCGGCAAGGATCCGATATCAAGCAAACTCCCACAGAGGGTAATTTTGGCTCAATTCCACATGTGAACTTTGGAGACATACGAGTCACAACTCAGAGTTGCATGAGCAGGGAACAAGGGAGCTGGGGTATTGATACTCCCATGTTGCCAATCATTGGTTGCAGTGTCTGGCAAGCTGTAGAAAGCATTCTGACAATGAGATGCAAGTGTTGGCTGTTGGGAGTCAAAGCACACTGGGGATCAGGAAAAGGAGCAGAGGAGGTATGGACGAAACATGCTACCTGTCCTCAGTGGTGCTCATTTACACAATAGACTTGAAGAGTGTTTTAACAAAGGGGCCAGGGTTAGAGAAAGCATGAAGGTGAGACTCAGCAGCCTGTTCCATCTGGGTCAGAGGTCACTCACTCTGACTCCAGGACTTTTTTCTTGGAGCTGCCAATTTGCAAAGTATTTCGAAATAGTAGGCTCAGCAAACTTGGAAAGGCAGGATGCTCAGCTCAAAAGCTGAGAGTAATTGTTTAAAATATGGGGTTGAGCAATCAGGGATTCTCACCTGGAAGCCTTTTGCACCATGGCATTTTGCCAGCAGGCCCTGTGCTGGATCAGGCTGCACGCACTGGCCCAGGCTCACAGCAGTGCAAAGAAATGAGTGGTTGTTCCCACGGCCCATGTTTTGAGGGTTTAGAGGCAGGCTCAGATTTCACAGTTGGCAAGAGGTCCCTCTGCTCCGGTATTCTACCCGTACTTCCTGATTACCTGTAAGACCTCAGGCATTGACCTCGGCACTGGGGAAAACCTCACGTCTCACAAGACCACAGATAACTCTAGCTCCTGCGCTGCATCAAGAAGGACAGGCAGATCAAGCGTGTTGGAGGCATTGAGAAAAGAAACATCACTTTCCACCTGATCAAGAAAGGTCTCTTGAGTTGTCCTTGAAAAGAACAATCAAAGCGTCTTATTTAGCCAATAGTCTAAAAGTTATATATTTAATATTTATTTTAAGAACATTCACATGGCATTTACTACATGCCAGGAAAAGTTGAAGAGCTCTACACATATCAACTCAGTTCCTATTTGTAGGGAATGTGAAGCTTACTGGGGATGTTTGTGGGGATCTTGGCTGCCCAATGTGGGACCCCTGTTCCCTTTAGGTGTCTAACACATGTTCTCTTTCTCTTTGATGGCCAAGGCATGGCTGGCCAATGGGATGCTTCTCTCTCCAAAGGAGCAGGGAGAGCTGGAGATACCCTCCTTGCAAACAGCAGCTTGAGGATCCAGCGCCTGGTGCACAGGTAACCAGCAGTGGTCTCTTTCTCCACCTCAACTATGCCTGTGACCTCTTCTGACCCTGGCCACACCTGCCTGACTTTCCCTGCTTTCCGTCCATTTTTTTCTCAGTTTGATTTTACAGCCACCTTGGAGTCCCTTTTCTGTTAGGGTTCATGAGCATTGGATTCTGTTTTAGCACCCAGAACCTTGATTGGTTCAGAAGAGGAAGCTGGGAGATGAGGCCAGATGGAAACAAGACCAAGGAAGGTCTCAATTGCCAGATGAATTGTTTGTGACTTTAGCCTTTGGTCTAGTGGTTCTTAAGCAGGGACATGCTTTAGGATCATCTGATACTTTGGTTAGCTATTACCACAATAATGCTACATAACAAGTGACCTCCCACCCCAACCAGGGCATACAACAACAAAAATTTATTTTTCTCACTACAGGTCTGCAAATCGCCTGGGGTGACTCTGATGAACTTGATTAGTATTGGCTGAACTTGGGCCAGGGTACGGGATGGGTTCAAGCCTGTTCTGTATGTTTGTAATTTGGGGACTCAGGTTGAAAGGGTAGTGTCCATCTGGAGCAAACTCATGGTGAAGAGCTGGAGTGCAAGAGATAGGAGTGGAAATGTGCAATGCCTCTTCAGACCTTGGCTTGGAACTGGCACAGCATCACTTCTACCCATATTCAACTGAGCAGAACGCATGACACAGTCAAGTCCAACATCAGTGGTGTGGGGTAGTCCTGTCTGCTCACAGTGAATCGTGATACAGGGAGACAAGGAAGAATTGTGGACTAATAATTTAATCTATCACACAGGGGGTGTTTTTTCACAACCTGATATCCTGATTCCAACCCTCTGAGTGGAATTTTTTTTTTTAATTTTTTAGAGACAAGGTCTTGCTCTGTCACCCAGGCTGGAGTACAGTAGTGTGATCATAGCTCACTGCAGCCTCAAACTCCTGGGCTCAAGTGATCCTCCTGCTTTAGCCTCCTGAATACATGAGACTACAGGCATGCGCCACCATGCCCAGCTTATTTTTATTTGTATTTTGTGTAGAGCTGTAGTCTTGCAATGTTGTCCAGGCTGGTCTTGAGCTCCTGGTCTCAAGTGATCCACCCGCCTTGGCCTCTCAGGCATGAGCCCCCGTTCTCAGCTGGAATATCTGTATTTTGAAGAAGCTGCCCTGGTGATTCTGATGTGCATTCTCACGGGGTAAGTACTAAGTACCACTATGGACAATGAGAAGCCATTGAAGGCTTGGGCAGAAGAATGACATGAGCAGTTCTGGGCTTGGAAAATAACCTTGGGAAATAGGTGGCGGTAGAGGCTGGCAGATCTGTTAGTTAGCAAACTTGCATATGACCCAGAAGGGATGATGAGGACTTGAACTTGGTGTTCCGGGCACCTACTGCTGTGTAAGAAACCAGCACAAGACTCCGTGGCTCAAAAAAACACCTGTTTTTTTGGTTTGTTTTTTTCTTTTTTTGAGATGGAGTCTCACTCTGTCGCCCAGGCTGGAGTGCAGTGGCGCGATTTCGGCTCACTGCAACCTCCACCTCCCGGGTTCAAGCAATTCTCTTGCCTCAGCCTCCTGAGTAGCTGGGATTACAGGCACGTGCCACCACACCTGGCTAATTTTTGTATTTTTAGTAGAGATAGGGTTTCACTATGTTGACCGTGTGGTCTTGAACTCCTGACCTCATGATCCACCCACCTCAGCCTCCCAAAGTGCTGGGATTACAGGCATGAGCTACCGTGCCCGGCCAAAACAGTACCTGTTTTATGAGCTCTTGTGACTCGGGGGCTTGACTGGGCTTGGTAGGGTAGTTCTGCTCCATGGGACTGCAGTCAATGGGGACCCATTTGGGCCAGACATCCTGGATGGTACACACCCATGGCTAGCAGCTGTGGCTGGCTGTCTGCTGGAAGCTCAACTGAGGCTGTCGACTGACACACATACATGACCTCTCCATGTGGCTTGAACTTCCAGCACAGAAGCTGGGTCCTGAGAGGGAATGTTCCAGAAGTGTGCATTCCAAGAGGGAGAAAACAAGAGCTGCTTGTCCTCTTAAAGGCTAGGGCCAGCACAAGCATGGCATTGCTCTACCACATTCTGCTAGTTCAGTGGCCACAGGGCCAGCCCAGAGGCAAGGGCTTCATGGGGAGAATGATGAATAATGTATGTCCACCTTTAATCACACCTGGACAGTAGCAGTGCTGAGGGAGGGATGCAGACTCAAGAGAGGTTTAGGGAGAGTGGACAGGACTTGGCACCTCATTGTTCATGGAAGAAAGAACTGGGGATGCCAAGAAGGTGTTGCCCTGAGCATCTGTCAGGATGATCACTTTAATCCCTAGAGCCAGCCATGGGGTTCTGACATGGGGCAGCCTCTCTGCTAGGCGTTGCATGTGTTCTTTGGAAGGGAAAGATGATCGGCACCTTTGCCCAGGACACTCACAACCCTAATAGCATCGCATCCTAGTCAGATGAGCCAGGCTTCTCATAGAGCACTAATGGAAGCGGGCTCAGGACAGGTAAGTTTTGATAGCAGACGAGATGGAAAAAGAAAAATACTGGATGCTCCTGGGAGTTAAGAGGTGTAGAAGCCAGGATGGGATGTGGTATGCACAGGTCAGGGAGATGGACAGAGACTGGCCTCTGATTACCCTGAAGCAGTAAGTTCTTGCAGATGTTATCAGAGACTGAACTATTCCCCTGCCAGGGTGGCACAGGCCTCCCCCAAGTGGTGTCAGCTGATCCATGTGGGAGTCGAGATGGCAGCATCATGTCATAATTTCCCTCCATCCTTGGCCCAGGGCCATCTGGTGAAGGGTGTCCTATAGTTCCGCTGAATGGGAGAGAATCCAAAAATCACCTTACCGAACATCACTAAGGTCAAGCTGAGGCAGTGTATGATATATATTTTTATTTCTTTTTTCACTAAAGTATTTTTTTTTCCCTCCAGCTCCCTGGCTAAGCTGGCTTTCCTTCAGATCTGGGGCTTCTGGTCTCGAGGTCACCTGTGTTTCCGGGCCAAAGATGGTTGTTAACTTGTTCCTCGGATTGTTCAGTTTCTCATTCCTGTGCTTTGACCAAGAGGCCAAGTCCATCCATTTAAAGTCATCTCCAAAGACCGGGCTTGGTTCCGGACATGGCGGGACTGGCTCAGGCAGGAGGCTGACTCAGCCGTGAGAAACATTAATGCCTGCCCATGGTCATTCTCTTCCTTCGGAATGCCAGGCTCCTGGGGATTAGATGTAAGGAAACTTATAGAGGCGTCCCAGGGCCACCACTTATAAATCATGTGACCTTGGGCAAGCTAGTCCATAAAATATGAGACTCGCTATCTCCATCCATAATGTTAGACTAAGACCTCTCAGGCAGACCCTGAGTTCTGTGCATTGGACAGACCCTGAATTCTGTTAGGAGGACAATCTGCCTTCCTCAAGTAAGATAATGTCCCGCATCCCTCTTCCTTTGGGCGACTTCATTCTTCCCATCCAGACTGTGGTTGGGGTGTGGTCACCAATCAACTCCATCTGGCCACAGGATTGGGCAAAAAACTCAATCATGTGGACTAATCAAACTCCCACAGTGATTGGTCCAGGAATAGACACATGACCCAAGTTCCACCAATCAGATTCCTTCCCTAGGACTTTTTTCACCTGAGCTGGGGAAGAATTATCTTTTCACTCTCAAAGCAAGGTTGTTAGGTTCTAAGACTGAAGCTGCTCTTTATCTCTTCTCCCAACACCTGGCTTACATGAGCCCATAAGTTTCCCTTCTTCTCGGACTAGTTTCAGTTGGGTTCTGACAGTGTACCTTACAATCAAAAAGTCCTGAAGAAAGCGTTACTTTTTGATGCCATTGTAATAATGATAATGAGAGCCGCTTTATTATATGCCTCCGGTTTGCCAGGTTCTGTGCCAAGAGCTTCCATATATTATCTCATGGCTTACCTCGACCTGTAGTTATTTGTGTGCCTGGTGGCACTCCCCGACTGCACCTAACCTCCTGGAGGTTGATTTCATCTCAACATTGCCCAGGGCACCCCGCTTGGTGCCTGTCCTGCACCTGGTGCATGGCAGCCTGACAGCCCCTCAGGGGGTCACCTTGGAGGGTCACACAGAGACGTGCAGTCCGTCACCACACGTGTTCCACAGGTCACATGGAGTTGGCCCTCTGGCCAGAGGTTGGCTGGGGACTGATCTTCATGGGGTGGCTACATAAAAGTGGGAGCCCTCCCCACTCCTGCCTCTCCTGCCGACCCCAGCCTCAGCCCCTTCTTTCCTAAGCAGCCTTTTCTATTATTATTTTAACAGCTGGCTCCAGAATTTTTTCTGGATACTGTGTAGAGGGTATGGGGAATAAGGAACTTGCTGCTCCTGCTAAGCCACCCGGGGTGAAGGTGAGATCTCCCTAGGGCTCCAGCTGGCTTGTGGAGGAAGAAGTAGCATCTATGCTGGGACTGACAGGTGGGCAGGAGTCAGGAGTTGGGAGAGCAGAGAGGGGAACCGCACAGAGAGGACCCAGGCTCAGGAGGCTGCGTGGGCACCTGAGGAACTGGCCAGATGGTGGAGCTCAGGGAGGCCTGGGGTGCGAGATGAGGAGGAGCCTGGACGTCCCAGCACTGGCTTTCATTATTCTAGCACATCTCAGGATTTTTTAAGAATAGAAAACCTGGCATTTATATTGGCAACGAAAAATGCTTGAAATCTAAATTATTCTCATCTGAAGCTAGAAATATCCATAATGGGCCAGGTGTGATGGCTCATGCCTATAATCCCAGCACTTTGGGTGGCCGAGGTGGGTGGATCACCTGAGGTCAAGAGTTCGAGACCAACCTGGCCAACATGGTGAAACCCCATCTCTGCTAAAATACAAAAATTAGCCAGGCGTGGTGGCGGGTGCCTGTAATCCCAGCTACTTGGGAGGCTAATACAAGAGAATCTCTTGAACCCAGGAGGCAGAGGTTGCAGTGAGCTGAGATCGTGCAACCGCACTCCAGCCTGGGTGACAGAGCCAGACTCCATCTCAAAAAAAGGAAAAAGAAATACCCAGAATGTTACATGTGCACTCAAGCACTGAATTGAATGAAGTACTGGTTTTGGTGGTAACTACAGCTTTCCATTGCTTAAAACCCTTTCAGGCTGGACGTGGTGGCTCATGCCCATAATCCCAATGCTTTGGGAGGCTGAGGTGAGAGGATCATCTGATCCAGGAGTTCAAGACCAGCTGGGGCAACGTAGCAAGACCCCATCTCCACAAACTTACAAAAAATTAGCTAAGTATGGTGGTGCATGCCTGTAGTCCCAGTTACTCCAGAGGCTAAGGCAAGAGGGTTGCTTGAGCCTGGGAGGTTGAGGTTGTAGTGAGCTATGATCATGCCACTGAACTCCAGCCTGTGTGACAGAGCGAGGCCCTGTCTCAATCAATCAATCAATCAATCAATCAATCAATCCTTTCAAAATATCTTATTGCTGTTTAGTTTCCATTTTCCAGGTTTTTAATGAGGCTAAGGAGCTTTTCAAAGGTTCACTCTTCCTGCCTAGCCATTTGGGCTGTGTAGTTCAAGAGGATCTGTAGCATCTTTTTACAAAGAAGAAGGTTAAGGCGTTAGGGGAGGAGCAGGGAGAACAGGAGGAAGGAGCTCCCAGGCCCTGTTTTCAGCCCTTCCTTCCCCTCCTCTTTTCTTTTTTGAGGCCTGCTCCATTCTCTTAGGGCCTGACCCTGACCTGCCAACCCCAGATAAGGTGTTGTGACTAGGCCCTCCTTCCCCCAGGGTTCCCCCTGGAGAGACCCAAGGCAATGGATGGAGGAGCATTGGCCCCACCCCATCTCCTCACCCCACTTAAGGGAACAGCATCTGAGGACAGGTGGCAGCAGGTAGTGTGGCCCCACCTCACTTCACATTGCAGGGAGCTCTGTCACTTTGCTCCTTTGTTGCAAATGCCATTGGAAAGGCCAGTGCTGTGCTGCCTAGTGAGGTCTTCAAGGTGTTGGCCGGATGCTTGAAGAAAGTGGAAGCCATGGAAGGTTGTATTCAGGAGAGGGGCATGGCCCCTTCTGAGCATGTTTCCACTGGTGGGAGGCCATAGAGAGAATGATAAGGAAGGAGAATGAGGCCACGTGGATGACAGCTAACCCCTGCTGAGAGCCCATTCTGAGCCGTGCACTGTATGCCATTTACTGGCAAAAGAGCATGAGTAGGTGGTCAAGGTCGCCCAGCTGACAAGTGACAAAGTCAGAGCCATCACATTTCACCTGAGATTCCTCCCCAGTTGTTTCAGGCATGTTCGATTTGTTTCCTAGCAATAACTTTGCAAGGATGGTCCTACTGTCCCCATTCACAGATGGGAAAACTGAGGGCAAATGGTAGAGCCAAGTAATGAATGTGTTCTGCTTGGTCTTTACTTCTCATGGATACTCAAGGAAGGCAGCAGGTCTGGGCAAAGAAGGAAGGTGTTTCTTCACCAGAAGCAAAATTTGTGTTGGAAAAGGGATCTTAGAAAAGCCCCAGCCTCGACATTCCTGAGCTCAGCCTCAGGGCTTTATACATACTTTGATGAACACTTAATATGTTGCAATTTTTCTGTTCTACCACAGGGTCAGCGCATACAGTTGTATAGGTTATGCACTGCACAACTCATGGAGTTCCATGGCCTAAACCTGAGGGACCCATCTTGCAGTCTCTGAGATGGTGTGGAGTGGCGTCCACAGATGAGGGCTTTGCTGACAAGTAGCGGGGTTTGAATCTAGTCTTGGTTACTGGGTCGAGGAGCTTTTTCTATTCTCCTTGATCCCATTTCCTCATCTGTGAAGTGGAGATGGTATCATCATCTCTTCTCCCTCGGGGACTGTCAGGATAGCAGGAGAGAACACACGGCATATGGCCCTTTACACAGGGCCTGGTACTAGTGGGGCCTTGGTAGAGTTCAGTTTCTCATACTTCTGTCTCTCTGAGTGGACTTGAGGGCAGGCAGAGGCCCTGTCTAACTCATTCCTGCATCCCCAGCGCCCAGCGCTGTCCTTGCACGTGGGAGGGACTAGGCACCCATTTGCTAAGGGACCAGAGAAATCATGCTGGAGGCAGAGAGGGGATTTGGGGAACACTGGGGCAGCAGGCCCCAGTCCGGCATCCCCACCCCACCTTTTCCCTCTTGGAGACAGCCTGGTCTGAGTTATTTCCCTTCCCGACACTTCCCTGCCTCCAGGGCACATTTTCTCCAGGTGAGTCCACCCAGGCAGAGGGCGAAGCCAGCAGGCACAGGCTGGATTCCTGCAGAGGCGCGCATTTCATTTGGCCTGCACCATGGCTTCACATTTTTAAAATTAGTTGCCGATATTTTACAATTTGGAGATTTCACCTAGAAACCTGGATTTCCAGCTATTCTTGAAAAATCAAAAGATCTAGCAGCCCTGGGCCTGCAGCTGGCAGCTGGTGTGCAGCAGCCACTGTTCCTTTGTGTTGGGTATATGCTGCTCAGTTTGCCACCAGATCCACCTGGTCCAAGTCCCCCTCCCTTATGACTCCTGCCCTTCCCCTGGTGAACCTGCAACCCCTGGCTCTATGGAGCGCCCGGGCCATCCCACTAACCTCACAGGTCTTGGTTTGGCAAATCATGACCGTGCCAGGGTCTTTGCCTGTGGAACGAGGATCTGTGGGGGTGCCTTCCAAATGTGCCAACCAATGCTCACGACCAAGCCTTCAGTGTAACGATCTGCCCACTTTCTCCTCCTCCCCCTGCCTCCGTGAGCCAGCGAAGCTGCTGCCCTGTTTGGGGACACAAACATACACACGTTATTAGAACCTCAGATCAAAGGCGGCGTCCTACAGCCTGCCTCTCAATGGTCCCTTTGTGCAGGCGGAAGCCTGCAAGAGAGTTAGAATCCAGGGAGAACAGGAGGGGCTGGAGGGGGGCTCAAAACAAAGATACTTGTCACCCTGAGAAGTCCGCAGAAATGATGTTAAAAGAGGCGCCAGGTGGAGGATGTACCCCGGCTCGCTGCTGGAAGATGCAAATGGAGAATTCTCAGTTCTGCAGAGGAGAAGAAAACACCCCTGTCCCTTGTGGTTTCAGAGGAAGGGGTGACAGTGGCTGCCCACCCCCTCCGCCAGCAGCAGCCTGCGTCTGCCTTCCTGGCCTCGCCAGGGGTGGATGTGATACTGGCAAGGGCTTCTTGGAACGAAAAGGTGACAGTGACCTTGTCTTGGGCACAGAGTCAGAAGAAACAAAATGATGTGGGGGGGGGGCCTGGGGAAGGCCAGGGGAAGCCGTGGGGGCAGCGTCACCTCTGGCCAGATGGGCCTGTGTGTTCAGCCCTTCAGGCCTACAGCAAAGCATTTCAAAAGCCCCTACTGTGTGCCAGCCACAGTGTGATGCGAGGCAGGAGCAGAGAGGATTAACTTGGGGTCAGGACCTCAGCGGAGGCAGAGAGGGCGACGCTGTTCTAACCAGGGCATCAGAGAGAGCTAGCATCTGCTGAGGTCCCCTCGGCTGGATGCCCTACGCATTTTACACACATTGTCTCATTTATCTCTAGGGTTGGTTTGAACAAAGAAGTGCTTTGAGAGTTCAGATGTGGAGCCAGGAACCCTGCCTGCCATGGGATGCAGGGAGAGGGGGTGGCGAGCAGGTATGGAAGAGAGGGTTTTCTAGGAGGGGAACAGAAGCCAAGAGGCCGCCGTGGTGCTGGGATGCGCAGGAGGCAGGCGGAATTCACCGGTGTCTGCGGCCTGCGACACTTGCAGACCTCTCATCTTTGCAAGGCCATGGGGCTCTCTCCTTGGCCCTCTTCTGTTCTCTGTCCACAGTCATTCCCCAGGGCATCACATCCAGTGTTGGGCTTTCAATTCCATCTGCCTGCTTATGATGCCTGGGCACATATCTGCAGCCTGCAGCTTGCTTCTGTACTCTGGGCTCATAGATCCAACTGGCCACTCAATCTCACTGCCAGGACACTCAACGGTCGTCTCAAAACAACGTGCCAAATGGAGCTCCTCTTCTTCCTTGCCTGGCAGACCAGCTCCACCCGCAGGCTTCCTCATTGCAGTTCATGGCAGCTCCATCCTTGGAGTTGCTTAGGCCCCGCATCTTGGCGGCTTCCTTAGTTTCTCTGTTTCTCTCCCACTCCACGTCCAATACATTTGCTAATGCTGTTGCCTCTAATTTCAAAATACATTCAGCGTCCAACTTCTTTTACCTCCTCCACTGCCATCACCTGGTCTAAGTCGCCATCATCTCAGGCCTGGCGCCCCACCATAGCCCTGTGACCCACACTTATTCTCAACACAGCAGCCCAGTTGCTCTGGTTACTACTCTCTCTTTTTTTGAGACAGGGTCTCACTCTGTTGCCCAGGCTTGAGTGCAGTGGTGCAGTCTCAGCTCACTGCAACCTCTGCCTCCTGGGCTCCAGCAATCCTCCCACCTCAGCCTCCCTAGTAGCTTGGAATACAGACATGCATCACCATACCTGGCTACTTTTTAAAATTATTTTTTGTGGAGACAGGATTTTGTCATGTTACCCAGGCTGGCCTCAATCTTCTGGTTGCAAGGGATCAACCCACCTCAGCTTCCCAAAGTGCTGGGATTACAGGCATGAGCCACCATGCCCAGCCACAACTCTCTTCTAGTAACTCCTGTCTTTCTCCAGGAAAGCTGAAGTTTTTGATGAGACCTATAAGGGTCTCATGATCTGTCCCCGTCACCTCCAACCTCATCTTCTCCCCAATACTCCCAAACTGTGGTCTCTCTGCTCCAGAGCCGGGGGCCTCTTTGCTGTTTCCAAAACATTCCTGGCATATCCTTACCTCAGGCCCTTTGCACATGCTGTTCCCTCTGTTTCTTCCTCATTTTCAAGTCTTTGCACAAAGCTTATCCTCTCTGACCTGTCTATCTAAAATCATTAGCTCCTGCCCTGGTATTTTTTCTTTCTCTTTATCACTTGAATTTTTTCTCCCATAGACACACCACATATTTCACTGACTTATGTATTTATTGTCTGTCTTCCTCTATGAGAATATAAACTTCATGAGGATGGCATTTTTGTCTGTTTTGTGGACACAAGAGCCTGATGTAAATTAGGCGCCCAACAAATCTTCACTGAATGACATGATAAATAAAAGAGAAGCACCCACCTTTATTTCTTGGTTGCCTCCTCCCTGACTTTGGCCTCTCCATCTCCTCCCCAGCATGGCTGCTTATGCGAGGCAAGGGCAAGCTATGTAACCTTGGTTGCTTCTGAGAAGGCTTAACTTTCTAGAGCCTCCAACTGTGTGTGGTCTATACACCAGCACCATCAGCCTCACCTGGGAGCTGGTGAGAAATGACTCTCAGGCTCCACTCACACTGCATCTCAACAAGATCCCGGTGAATTCATATGCACATTAAATTCCAGGGAGCCCTCCTCTAGGCTATTTGACCCTAGCTCAAGAAAGGGGGATTAAGAGTCTTACAGGGAGGGATCCAAGGTCAGCATATACAGTTAGTCAGGGACCAGTCTGTCTGTGTCTCTCTCTCCATGGGGTTTACTATCATTGCTTTCCCCTAATGGTTCTTACTCCTGCTTCTTCCTGCTTATTTTTCAGCCCACAGCGACCCCAAGAAGCTGCTCCAACCCCTGGGACTATGGAGCTCTACAGCTGTAGAGACCACCAGGAAGTGGACTGCAGGCCCCTGGCCTCTCCATTCAGATTCTGCAAAGAGATCCTGATGGGTTGGGCCAATGGGTCAGGCATCCAGTCAGCTCTGGCTAAGGGGTGAAGGAGTCAGGTGTTACCAACGTGGTGGCAGGGGCCACCTTGAAGCTGTGTTCTGTGCCATGGAAGAAGGAAGAGGAGGAGGAAGCTAAGCTGGAAGGGAAGGCAGGTGATACAGGAAAATTAACTATGAGCTTTGCTATAGTGACCACTTTTCCTTCACTCCTTGAGCTGTGGCCTTAAGAACTGTGTACCAATGGGAGGCACTTGCATAGTAAGTGTTCATTTGCTGAATACTTACAGAGGGCTATAAGTGGACAAATATGTCCAAAAACACATGAAACACACACCATCAACACTTGCAGATGGTCTCCTTCAGGGAACCTTTCCACACTGGCTCTCCCCTCACTGAGCTTTCCTTCCTATCACCCTCCCAGTCTAGGCTCCTGGAGTCAGTAGTTGGAATCTCAGATGGGAAGAAACCTTAAAAGTCATCTGGTCCAGTATTTTCCAAAGCATGTTCCATGAACTTGTTTTCCAGAAATGGTTTCCTGGTCTGGTGAGTTTAAGAAACCCTGCTTATGACGATGCTCTCCATTTAGAGAATCACAAAGCTTGGCTACTCAATGAAAGCTCTGACAAGTCCTGCAGGAAAAAACTTGTCTTCTTTTGGCTAAGCTAGGGCTGCCCAAAGTTTCTCATGGAGTCCTTTCTTGCACATAATAATAGCATCTCACAAACCAGTGGTCGGGGGAACCCATTACGGGAAATGCTAATCTTCTGGACCCTTCCTTCTATTTTATAGGTGGAGAGGCTGTGTGGTGGTCTGGTTGGCTGCATGTAACTGAAAAACAAAGGCTTAAAAAGATAGGGGCTTCTTTTGCTCTTTTGTTAACAAAGTCTGGGAATAGTCAAAGACTGGTACTGTGACTAGAAAGGCTTCTGATATGGTTTGGCTCTGTGTTCCCACCCAAATCTCACCTTGAGTTGTAATGATCCCCATATGTCAAGGGCAGGATCAGGTGGAGGTAATTGAATCATGAGGGCAGTTAATCCCATGCTGTTCTTGTGATAGTGAGTTCTCACAGGATCTGATGGTTTTATAAGGGGCTTTTCCCCTTTGCTCGGCACCTCTCTCTCCTGCTGCTATGTGAAGAGGGACGTGTTTGCTTCTCCTTCTGTCATGATTGTAAGTTTCCTGAGGCCTCCCCAGCCATGTAGAACTGTGAGTCAATTAAACCTCTTTCCTTTATAAATTGCCCAGTTCCGGTATGTTCTTGTAGCAGCCTGAGAACGGACTAATATAGCTTCTCTGCCCAGTGTGAAGAAGAGCAGAGAGGCAGGGCTGGGAGGAGAACAAGGCACCTGCCAAGGAGATGGGGAGGCTGGGCTGGCTTTCCCTCTCCTCCAGGCTCACCTGGGAAGCCTGTGCTCTAAACTTGCTCAAACATCCTGAACCCAGGAGGAGTTGGTGGTACACAAATTCAATTCAATTCAACCCCACATCCAGACTGTACTCAAGCAGCAGTCTTTTGGCCCAGTCATCTCCAACCTCATCTTCTCCCCTCTACTCCCAAACCATGCTCTCTCTGCTCCAGAGCCAGGGGCCTCTTTGCTGTTTCCAAAACATCCATGGCAGTCTCCACTTCAGGGCCTTTACATGTGCTGTTCCCTCTGCCTTTAGTACCCAAACAGAATGGCTTGGAGACCCCAGCCCTAGTTCTTGGGGAAGCCCAGCCTCCTCCATCTCATATCTAAGGCCTGAGGCCTCCTGGCTGCCTCTGGCTCCCATCTTTTCTCCTGCAGGGTATCTCCACTGTGAAGATTGCTGTTGGCCCCATTAATTACCTGTAGGAGTCATCTTTCTGATTCCTTAATTTTGTCCTGTGCCACTAACCCAGGAAGTGGCTAGGATTTTGCTGAGGGCTTGGAGTAACAGAGGAAGAAGAGAGCACTGCCAATCGCATGTTAGAGCTCACTGTCCCAAAAGTGAATTGGCCAGTCCCCACCTTGCTGGCTGTGCCTTCTTAGGCCCCATTATCACTCTCTTCTCATGCTGTTTCCTTTGAGATCTTTGTTTTCCCTTCCCTCCAAAATGCCTGATATTTTCTCAGGCAGAGTAGTCTAACTTTCCCCTCCTCACCCAAACTAGGCTTCCAGGCCCTTTAGCAATGCCAAAACTCACCAGGGAACTATAAAATAAAGCAACTCCAGGGATCCAGGAGGAACCAGTGGAGACTTGGGAACTGATTTTCTCCTTCATATATCCAAGATCGTATTATTGGCAGTACTCCCTCCTTATTGACCACAACATGCTCCTGGCTGAGGCTGGGCAGAGAGAGTTTGTCTCCTTCCACAGCAGGTGTGATGGCACCTGCTATAGGCAGTGCTGTGTTCGGCATTGCATTCAGAGATGCAAGTAAGGCAAGAACCCTGGCCTCAAGGAGCCCTGGCTCCAGGAGTGAAACTTAGCCTCATGCATAAAATAAGTGGAGATGGGAGGGGGCAGGGAAACCTTGGCTAATCAGAGCAGAGAAGAGCCCTTCAGGTTGGAAGGTCAAGGAGGGCTTCCTTTAGGAAATGGCATTTGAAGGGGCCAGATCAGATGGCTTAACTTCGGGGACAAGCTTTGGAGCAGCTAACTTGGGTGATGTAGGATTTTTTTTTTTTTTAAATCTCCCAGCTCTATGTCTGACAGATTTCACCTAAACCAGCCTTGTTAAATCTCAAGCCCCATGAAACCCGTTTCTGTTATAATCTCTCTCTCTTATCTCTTCCTTGCCTTCCTTTCCCATTCTCCTCCCCCAAAGGATAGGAAATCTTCAAAGAAAAAGATGTGTCACTGCAAGTATACAGCCCAAGAAATGGGCCAGATAAATTATTAAAACACACGAAAAGACAGTGAGTTATGGGGTGGGAAGCCCTCGGAGGCCGAATGGCCACCCCAGGTAGACAGCATGCTGGTGGCCCCTGGAGACCCCCTTCTCAGAGACCTGGACAGACTAACATTTTGCCACAAGGCCCATCTCTTGGGTTCTCACCCCAGATCCGGGTAAGGGTATCATGATTCCAATAGCAGTGAAGTCCCAGGCGCCTGCTGGGCTGGGAGGCACCAGGGTGAAGGTGGAGGGGGGCTTTGTGTCTGGGCTGGACATTTGGGATTTACTCCCCGCAAGACTCAAACTGCTAACTGCAGTTTTAGTTCTTGCTTTTATCTCTTTTTGAACTGTAAAAAGAAATTCCCAAGGGGAAGAGGGGATACTTTTTTCTCATGGAAGAAGAAAGCCAGGACCGGTTTAAGAAAGTAACCAACTTTCTAAGCACTGTGAGAAAGGATGCTCCAAGTTTTGCTTTGATTTAGAGGCACCCTGGTACCAGCAGGGAGGGGTGAGAAAGGCAAACAGGAATTCCAGACGAATTCCATTGCCTTTTGAGGGGTCTGAAAGAGGGTGCCCACTCCGACTCAGATGCTCAAACCCCTGCCTCCCTCCTACACCTGACCCCCGCCGTTCTGCCCCACTTTTTCATGTTCCTACAGCTCAGGGGTTCTTACTTCAGCATTACCCACATTTGATGCTGGATCATTTGTTCTGGTAGGGTGGGGGGGCTGCCTTATGCATTGTGGTATGTGTAGCAGCAACCCTGGCCTCTACCCACTAGATACCTCCAGGCATTACCAAGTGTCCCCTAGAGGGCAAAATTGTTTGCTGTCAGGTCCTTATGGGATGGAAAGAAAGAAAAATGGCCTGTTACCCCTGGTGTAACTTACTACACTGTTTACTAATTCATCATTTATTGTTTCTTGCCTATCTTCCCCCTAGGTGAGTGGGAGTTCGATGAGAGTGGCAGTTGTCTATTTTGTTCACCGATGTATCTTAGGTGACTAAAACAATGGTTGTCACATGGCTGGCCCTTCATATTTGTTTCCAGATGGAAGACTCTCTTTCTAGTGGTGGAACATTAGTTTTGCACTGTGTTGGGACAACCTGATGTAGTGAAAACAAGCCTGGGCAATGAAATCAACAGATTGGAGTTCAGTTCCTAATTGGGTCATGGATGAACTTTGTGACCTTGGGCAAGTGAGTTCACCTCTCTGAGTTGAATAGGTTCCCTCCTTTCTAGAACAAGTATGAGTCTGCATCAGAGAGTGGTTGCGAGGGCTACACATGATGGAGGATGAGGACTGGCACATCAGAAGTACTGAATGAAGAATTGTAACATAAAAATGACAACAGTAATATATTTTTGTGGTTTCAGCACTCTTCAAATGAAACCACCTGGCCAACAGGATTTTAGTGTACCTGCTTATAACATTAGCCTTCGTTTCCACCAAAAAGGGTGTTAAAAAAGGAAGCTTGGAACATGAAAGTAAGACACTTGGATGAAGAGATTTATGACTCTGGGGGGCTGTGAATTCCTAATGTCCTTTTGAGACATGTAGATCTTCCAGAGCGATGCTGCCCAATGCAGTAGCCACTAGCCAAGTGCAAATGGTCACTTGCAATATGGCTAGTCTTTGAGATGTGTTTTAAGTGTAAAATACACACTGAATTTTAAAGACTTAGCGCAATACAAAGAATGTAAAATATCTCATTATATCTTGAAATTATACTATTTTGGATATATGGTGTTCCCTTGGTGTCTTTGGGGACTGGTTCCAGGATCCTAGAGGATACCCAAATCCCCAGATGTCAAGTCCGCTATATAAAATGTCCTGTAGTATTTGCATATAACCTACACACATCCTTCTGAATACTTTAAATCATCTCTAGATTCCTTGTAATTCCTAATACAATGTAAATGTTATGTAAATAGTTGTTATACTATATTAAAAAGTTTTTTATTCTTTATTTTTGCTGTATTATTCTTTTTGCATATTTTCAGTCCACAGATGGTTGATGCCACAGATGTGGAACCTGTGAATAAGGAGGGCTGACTGTATTGAGTTAAGCGAAATATATTATTAATATTTCATCTATTTCTTTTTACTTCTAAAAGATGTGGCGACAAGAAAATTTAAAATTACAAATGTGGCCCACATTATATTTCTATTGGGCAGTGCTGCTCTAGAGAGTCGGCAAAAAGGGCAGAATGGAGCCTCCATTATACAGATCACAAAACTGAGCACAGGTAATTCACTCCAAAGGTCGGGGCTGGTCTCACTCTGAGCTGCGGGTTTTCTTTTCCCACGCCAGAGCTGCCTGGTGCCAGGACGAGCGTAACACGGACCCACAGTGTCCCCAGAAGGGGGCAGGCGTTCTGAGAGCCACAAAGGTGGGGTGGAATCCCTTGATGTCGACCGCCACCATCCCCCTCCCCCCGCGCGACCTCCCCGCAGAGACCTCCCCAGACAAAACAAACAAACCCTTGGGTCTGGCGAACTGCAGCGGGGAGCGGAAACCAAGGAAGATCAAAGACTCAGCGGTTACCCCCTTCCGGGCCGCGCAGTTTGGCAGCGCGCCCCGACCCGGGCGGGCACCCACGGGCCCCCGGACGAGGAGATCCCAGAGACTGGCTGATAACGGGGCGCTTTGGACATTTGTCGCTGCCTGGAGAGGGCTGGGCTCACACTGGCCCGGGGTGCGCTGGGGGCTCCTCCTGGACTCCCCAAATAAGAAACTAGAGGAGTGCGGTGGTGGGGGGCGGGTCACGGGGCGGGTAATGAACACTTTCTGCAGAAGGTAGGTCGTGGGAAGACTGGGAAAAGGCAGCGCTGCCGAAGCTTGCACCTGAGCAGCTAAGGTCTCCGCTCCCGACCTCAGTTTCCCCACCTGTAAATTGGAGCCGCCGAGTCCCGCCCTGCCCGTTTAGAGAGAACGTGGAGCGGAGGGAAGTGACAGTACAGTTAGCGATGGCCGGGCTGTTCTGTCCCAATACGCCTCCTGGACAAGCCGCCCCGCCGGGTCGCCAGCCCTGGAGCTCGGCCCCCGGCCCCAGACCGCGGCAGGGAGCGCGGACTGTGTCCCGCCCCTCCCGTCAGCGCCCCGCCCTCGTCCCCGCCCTGCCCCGCCTCCGGCCCCGCCCCCGCCGCAACCAGCCTTGCCTTTGATGCGCCGCACCGGCCAATGGGCGCGCGGGGAGGCGCGGGCCGCGGCGGCGGGCTGGGGGCTCGGCGCTCCCGGGCGTCAGTCGGGCCGCGGCGACGGCGGCAGGAGCGCGTCCCGGCGCCGCCTCGGGCTCCGCTCGGCTCGGGGGCTGCTTCGGGAGGAGGAGAGCCAAGGGAGGCGCCAGGCCCGCGGGCCGGGCGCATGGCTTAGGGACGCTCCCGGCCGCCGCAGCCCCAGCATGGGGAAACTTCACTCCAAGCCGGGTCAGTGCCCCCGCCCGCGCGCTCGCCCCGGGCCCCGCCGCCGTCGCCGCCGCGGTCGCTAACTCTCTCCCTTCCTTTCTTTCCTTCTCCCGCCGCCGCGGCTGCCGCCGCCGCCGCCGCCTCGCGATGTGCCTGCAGCCGCCGTGTGCAAGCGCAGGGAGAGCCCGGAAGGTAGGGGCGCGCGGGGCGCAGACCTCGGGGATGGACGCGGGGGACACCGCGGCCGCGGCAGAACGGCCCAGCCCGCCAGGTCTTATGACCAGGGCCACCCCGAAGCCCCAGTTCCGGCCACCGGCCCCCCAAGCCCGCTCCCTGAGCAGCCTTCGCGCCCCCTCCTCTGTCCCTCCTACCCGCTCCCCGCGGTCCTGCGCTCCCACCGCTGACCCTCAACCCCTCCCCCTCCCGCGTCCCTGCCCTCGGCTCTCACGGCACCCTCTCTTCAGACCCCCAAGCGCCTCCCCGCAAGACCCTGCCCCCTCTTCCTGCCCCCCGGCCCTTCTTCCGATATCCTGGCTCCTGCACCTACTGCGGCCCCTCTCCTGACCCCCAGCCCTCTCCTCCGCAGTCCTGGCTGCCAGTGCTCCCTGGTCTGATCCTAAACCCGTCCTCCTGGGGTACTGCTCACCCCTCTTGCCCCCTTCTGGCTCCTCGCTCCTAGGGCTTCGCTGAACCCCCCTTTACTTACCCGCGTCCCTCTCTTGGCTCCTGCCCCAGCCCGCGAACCCCCTCCTGGCCCCCGTGCCGTGGTCCTTCGCCTCCCACCGCGCCTCCTTCTTCCCTCCGCGGGGGTAACTTTTGGCACCTGGAGCCAGACTCAGGGGCTTCATGTCGTCCCCGTCCCAGGTGACAGCTTCGCCGTGAGCGCTGCCTGGGCTCGGAAGGGCATCGAGGAGTGGATCGGGAGACAGCGCTGCCCGGGCGGTGTCTCGGGACCCCGACAGCTGCGGTTGGCGGGCACCATAGGCCGAAGCACCCGGGTATGATTCCCCACCCCTGCCCCACCTCCTGGCCTCCTTTCAGCCTCAGAGATGGGTCCCCAAACCCATGCACCCCAACTTTGAGCACTTTCCTGCACAGCTTCTGGGTCTGAAAATCTCTTCTCAGCTGCCCCCTGCCCCACCAACGCGACCCTCTGCCCGCATGCCTTGGAGAACCTCGAAGTGCCCAGCTGGAGGCAGAGGGCTGCCTGGGGGAAAGGTCCTAGGTGGGGAGGTGGTGAAGGTCCAGTTGATGGGGAATCGTGTCTGTACCGGCGGGATTTGGGGGCCTGCTCTGACTTCTACCTTGTTTCTGCCACCAGCATTCAAAGGTGGAGGTGGAGTAGGGGCTAGAGAGAAGGGGGTATTAGGGGTGTCTGGGTGGAAGGCAGAGCTGTGCTGGCCCCAGGATCTGAATATGTTCTGATTGTCTGTGGCATTCATCAGTACCACCTGTACAGGAACCCCAGTAGAGCAGGCGGCCCTCTGGGTAGCAGATCTAGGGGGACTGAGACCTGGAAGACCCCTTACTTGGCATATGAGATAGAGGGCCTCATTCCACTGTAGCCTGGGCAGAGCCCTGAGCCTTCACCCCGTGTGTCTCTGAGGCTGGAGTTCCTGGAGGAGCACTAAGTGTGATGGGAATGAGTGAGTCCAGCCCCAGCTCCTGGCCTGGGACTTGGCGTTCACAGATGTCCTGTGAGCTCCGGAACTCTGCACGGGGCTTTCAGGCAGTCTGCGTGGAACTCGCGCAAGCCTAGGATCAAAGGATGAATCAACTTTTTGATGTGACATTTAATTTTTTTTTTTTTTTTTAACTTAGAGGGGGAATAGACTGAGTCTCAGGTCTGGTTAGTTCTTTGGTCTTATCCATGGGCTGGGGAGAGGCCAGTGGAGACTTCAGATGTGTTTGTATTTGGGTGGTGGGACCTGGCAGCTCGCTTGCAGTGCTGGTGTCGGGAGGTGGACCTGTGGATAAAGTCAGTTCCTGTGTGTGGATGAAATAACCTCTGGGCCTAGGAGAAGCTCCCCTGTCCTCCTCCACCGCCACTGCTTAGCTGGGGGCTTCTCTGTCTTCTGTTGGCCGGGTCGGACTTGGAGCTGCTGTCCCCTAGTAAAGGTCAAATCTTGGTGGGCGGGGGGCACTGCAGTTGGGGCCCTTTAAAAAGAGAACTACAAACCTCTCCTTCTTCCCCTGCCCTTTCTAGTTTTTGATCTACTTATTTATTTAAAGGCCAACGAAAACGGTCTAATTTAGCCGTATGAACAAATGCATTTACAGCTCCAGACAGAGGCCAACTGAGTGGATTTCCATTAATCAAGTTTTGGGTTTTTTCAGCCTGTTTATTTTTACAAAGTATTCCTGCAGAATGACATTTATTTGCAGTCCCTCCTTTTTCTTTTTCTTTTCTTTTTTTTCTAAACTGCCAGGCAGCTTGCTCCATGCTAGAGGGAAAACTTGAAATACAGCGAGGGCTTACTTCAATTGACTTTTATCTTCAAAGCCATAACAAATGTTACCCGCATGTTTTTGGTGGGTCTCCTTGGCATCCAGTCTGGGAGGATGGGAGGGAGGAGGAAAGAGGGAGAGGAAAACAAAAGTCTGTCGTTTTTAATTAAATAGTAGTGTTCCCAGCGAGAGGAATGCAGGCCACTAAAGTTGCCATTGGGGGAAGTGAGGGAGGGTGGGGAGGGGGCCCCAGCTTAAGTCTGTGGCTTTGGTGAAGTCACGGAATTCTGTTGCCTAGTTTCTTCCCCCAGCTGAGGACAGCATGGGATGGTGCCTGTCCCCCTCTCTCCCTCACCCCCTCTCTCAGAGAAATGCTGAGAGGTCATTAATGTTTGTTCAAAGTACTTTTGAAGATGTGAGGCTCAGAGCCGTTGGCATGACATGTGTCAGGTGGTTGGAGGGTGGGCCGCAGCCATCAAAGTTGTTATGCAGGGGGCCGGCCTCTGTCTCCTTGGGAGTTGTTCTTGCTGCTGGGGACCCAGACGCCTGGGTTTTCACCAACCTTGGCCCCAGATGGCCCAGCCAGTGTGTCTGCAGAGGTAGGGATAAGGAGTCAGAACTTCAGGGGGAGCCCAGGGTGTGGAACAGCACTCCAGGCATCCTCCAGGTGATTTCAGGTGGAATCTGGGGGAACATTTTAAATCTTAATAGTTATCTTTTTTTTTTTACCAGAAAAAAAAATAACTAGGACATCAAACCCATGATTTTGCAGATTTTATTGCTTAGGATGAAGCTAAGTTAAAAAAGAGTCTAACGTGAAGTCCATTCAGAGAAAAATATTAAGTACAAGTGGTCAAAATTGTGAATGTGGGAATGGAATGCCCCAAGTTTGGGAAGCACTAAGATATTGAACAGGACAGCAATGGGCAACCCTCAGGCTAGTTCATTTCCCTGATTCCCTCTGGTGCCGAAGGGGTAGCTGGTAGGTTCTTCCATGATATCATCAGGATGTAGGAGGGCATGGGCTCCAAAGTCTGCTGGTTTCCAAGGGCTGGCAGAGGTCCTCCCACCAACCCCAGGCCTGTTTTGGGGCTAGTCTCTGCCTCTAGTCCTTTACGTGGCCTGTCAACTAAGTGGCTGGAGACACAGTGGCTCATCCAACTAGTATTATTGTTATTGCAATGATAACTAGTATTTATTAAGTGCCTATATGTGTCAAGCACTTTGCTTACATTATCTTAATCCTCCCCATAACCTTGTAGTGTTGACAGCCCGCTGGTGTGGACTGTGTGTTTCTCCCTTTCTGGAGCACTTTCTAGGAGAAGCCATTTGTAGAGAAGCCCTGTGCCAGGGCATCCGCCTGGAGGGTGCTACATACAAAACTCCCAGAGAGGGGGTGCTTCGAGATGAGCCAGTCGTGGGGCAGGCAGAAGCAGGAGTGGCCCCTGTTTGCCCTCTTCCTTCCTGATGAGGTCTGAGGGGCTTGGGAAATGTCCCAGATGAGTCCAAGTTGCCTGCAGGGTCCTGAGATGTGAAAGGGTGACCATGCTGGCATTAAACTAAGCCTGCCCTCTTAAATACAGAAATAAATGAGGTCAGGCTCTGTCCTAGTGATTTGTCACCTGTGCAAACCATTTTGCCCTTGTATACCTTAATTAGCTCATCTGCAAAATGGGTGTAATAATATTTTCATCCCTGGCGGGTTATGATGGGATTATAACTGTTGAACCTGGGAAGGAAGGGAACCTACTGGGAGATTCACTGAAGACATTTGTAGGGTTGGAGATGGGGGCCTACAAACAGGGAGTGATAGGGCTGGGATAAGAATGCTAGAGGCTCTCTGCCTCCCCCACTGTCATGGCAGGCTCACTTGGAGGGACGCAGGCCAAGGGCTGGGCTTTTGCCCTTTCCATGGGGACATGAGCAAGTCCAAGGGAATATGGACTCATAGGAGAAAAGGAATGAGAAATGGGAGGCGCACGAGTACTGTGGAAGAGGAGCAATAAACTGATCAGCACACGCGGCAAAGAACACCATGTTAAACAATTAGAAAGCAAAATAAGCATCATAAACTCAGAGAGAAACGGAGGATGCTGGAAACATGAAGCAGCAACAGGCAGTTAGAGAAGAAAACCAATTGGAAACACTGGGTGTGGAAAATAGAATGGACAAGTGAAAAAGCTTAATAGATAGATTAAATAGTGCAGTGGACTCAGGTATCAGGTGGGAAACACTTGGTGAAGACCTGTGTGCCTCTGTATATGCTCACAGGCTGATTGTGAATATGTACAACCAGATTTAAAATAATCTCCCCATGGCCCCGGTTGGCCCTTTTGTTCCTTTACAGCAGAGCTGCCTGAAGAAATAGGCTGAGAGCCGTGGTGCAGGCAAGCCCGCCTCTGGATCAAAGGCGGCTGCCAGGCAGTTTGGTAATTTGACTGGGGGTACCTAGTGCACTTTGATATTTGGAGAAGATGAGGAGGGTGCAGGCTTACTTGGAGCCCATGGGGACGTGTGGGGTTGGGTGATGAGATTGGAGGCTGGCCCAGCTGTTGCCCGAGTGCCAGATTCCAAGGGAATTACCCTTGAATGATACCAGTTGGCACAATTAAAAGGCCCCATGTCTTTGCCATATGGAAAGTGTTAGGCTTCTTTACGTGGTTTCAAAGCTATGTGATGGGAGGTGGGCTTGACATTTGAGGTAGAGCATAAATTAAATATTTGGTGTTTCAGGATTAAAAGATGATTTGCTTTAAGGCTGGAGAAGGACTCAGGATGGAGGTGTTTGGGCCTTGTTCACTGGCATTTTCGAGTTCTCCAGGGAGGGTCCCCTCTGCTCATGGGCACCAGGGCCAGCTGCCTGGCCCAGCCTGGGCACTGTCTTTCCTCCTGGGGGATGGGAGGCAGAGGCTGGGAGAGCTTGGGCTGGGCAGAGTGCTGGGGAGTGGGGGGACCTTCTGGTTTTCCATAGGTCCCTCAGGATGGGTGGGTGGCGGCCATGGGTGTCATCTTCTTAGCGCTTTAATGGGTCTTTGTGATGTGGTCTCCGGTAGAGGCTTCGAGGAGTGTCTTGTCCTCACTTTGAGACTTTTCTTCTTGGGGAAGGAGGCTGGATGCCCCTGAGCCAGACTGTGCATGCCTTCTGTTCTCTAGAGCCCAAGAGCACCCTCTTCATTCACATTTTTGTAGGAAACCTGGGGGAAATCAAATCCAGGAGGCACCTGCTGTGGGTCCTGCAAGGTCCTAGAACTCAGGGGATGTTTCCTCTGCTCGCCCAGTGGGGATGTTGGAAGGTGGGGATGGATGGATCGATGGACAGTGTTGTTGTTTGTACCAGGAAGCTCAGGTACACTCTGGGATCAAACTGTCCCCGCGAGGGCAGGAAACATCAAGGCTGAACTGT
Source organism: Homo sapiens (assembly GCF_000001405.40). Taxonomy (NCBI): domain Eukaryota; kingdom Metazoa; phylum Chordata; class Mammalia; order Primates; family Hominidae; genus Homo; species Homo sapiens. The sequence continues at coordinate 50,554,409 of NC_000016.10, forward strand.
CAGCAGCAAAAAAAGAAGAAAGAAATGAAGATAGATTAGGTCACCCTCCCTGCCTCCTTTTTCCCCAGCTCCTCTTCCCTGGTCAGCTTCTTTCCTTTAATTCCTGCTTCCAAATTCCATCTTTTCCCAGGTCCTTCTGTCTGGAGTGGAAGGGTGGAACCAGGCTTTTTCTTTTAGGCACTCAGCTTAATGAATTAGTATAAATTATTATCAATAATTCTTTGTTTATTATTATTATTTTTTAGACACATAGTTTCACTCTGCCACCCAGGCTGGGGTGCAGTGGCGTCATAGCTCACTGTGGCCTCACAGTGATCCTCCTGCCTCAGCCTCCTGAGTAGCTGGGACTATAGGTGCACGCCACTGTGTCCGGCTAATTCATTTTTATTTTTTATAGAGATCGGGTCTTGCTTTGTTGCCCAGGCTGGATTGAACTCCTGGCCTCAAACCATCCTCCCACATCAGCCTCCCAAAGTGCTAGGATTACACATGTGAGCCACCACACTTGGCCTTGTTATTAATTATGAATTAATAAGTCCCTAACTGGGCCAGGCTCTGGGGATACAGTGGAGAATAAGAGAGATGTGGTTCCTGCCCTCCTGTGGCATCCAGTCTGATGAAGGGGACAAAGCAGCAGTGAGTACCCAGGCCCACTCCTAGGACCACACAGAGGCACTCTGGGAGGGAGGGGGCAGGATGGGCCGCTGAGGCTGAGGAGAGAGGAGGAAGGAGTTGGAGGTGGGGGGAAGAGCTGACCGAGGCCCCAGGCTCAAGCTGCCCTGGTAGGATGGGGTTGGGGATTGCCGGGAGGCTTCTGTGTGGAATCAAGCGGGTAATCAAGAAGGGAATGTGGCCTCCAAATGGCTCTGCAGCCTGTGGGAACTGGAAGTGGTTCCTGGCACTGTCTGTGGAAAGCCTCGTGCATTGGTGGCTCTTGGCACATCTGAGTTACCTGTCTGTCCCCCTGGACAGGTATGTTGGGTGGAGCAGGGCGGGCAGTCAGCGAGCGTGCTGCCCCTGTGTCATGGACAGGTCCTTGGGGGCTCAACCTGGCCTGTTGGGGTTGGTGGCCCTGCTGTTGTGTTGGGGGAGGAGGTCAGCTGCAGGGCTGGAAGCTTAGCTGTCAGGGCTGCGGAGGACCTGTGGGGTGAGGTTGCTGCTCAAGAAGGAGGCTCTTCAGGGACCAGGGAACAAGAGGGAGTGACCAGCAAACCCCAGAGAGAGCTAATCATGCCCCAGAACTGCAGCGCGCCTGTGCCTATGGAAGGAGGGTCCCCCATGTGGGCTGAGCAGGGCTGTCCGAGACAGGATGTGCAGCCCCCCGGTACTGGTGAGCTGGGGGGTCCTGCAGCCCCATGGCTGCGAATCACAAGATGCTTGGATTTAGACACTTTTGGACTTTTCACATCACTTGTTGGATTCCAAACCAGGCACTTCTGGCTGCCTCCCTGCCTTCCCTCTCTCTTGCCCACTCACACGTGTTCTTTTTGCCGCTCTTGTCTCTCACAGACGTTCTTTCTCTTCCTCTCCCTCCCCACGTCCCTTCCCCCCCACCCTCTCCCTGAGGAAGGAAAAAATTCAGTCTCTCACAAACAAAATATCTGCCATTCCATCGGAGGGAGAACTGAGGCAGGAGCCCAGAATATCCTGGAAGGAACGCAAGCGAGAGTTGAAGGCCTCAGTTGTTTAATCTGGAAGGAGGACTTTGATGTCACCCTGCTCCGTTTATCCTGGGAAGCTTCCCGCTGCTTCATGGCTTCGACTCTCTGTGTGAAAGATGGCTGAGCTCCTCCAGGGGCTGGAGGCAAGCCTGAGCAGCTCCGAAGGGCAGCCTGGTGATGCTGCGCTCCTGCCAAGCCCAGGTGGGGTGGAGAACCTTTTCTAAACAAGCACTTCCAGAGACATAAGTAATTCTTTGATAGCTTCCTGGGAAGGCAGAAGGGAGCTGTTTAGCCTTGTGGGCACCAGTCGTGGGGCTCTGGGAGGAAAGCCTCAGGTCTCCGCACTGAAGTCATCCCCAGCCTCAGAGCGGTGGCGGCTTGGCCCGCCGGGGTGGGTCCTGGATGTGTTTGTTTAGAGGGCTCTGAGGCATGGGTCTGGGCTTTGCTTTCCTTACTTGTTAAGTCACATGGGCTGTGGCGTGTGCGTGTGGCCGACGCCTTTCAGAGGACACCAGGGTACTGAGAGGGCTTCACATTGGTGTGGCCTCAGCCAAAGGCTCCCTGCCTGGGCTTCAGATTCTCCAGCTGAGAAGTAGAATAACATCATGATAATTTAGCACTATCTATTGAGTGCATTCATTCATGCATCTGCAGTAGGGTTTTTTTTTTTTTTTTTTTTTTAAATTTAGAGACAGGGACTCACTGTGTTGCCCAGGCTGGCCTTAAACTCCTGGCCTCAAATGATCCTCCTGCCTTGGCCTCCCAAAGTGCTGGGATTGCAGGCGTGAACCACTGTGCCCAGCCTTATATATATTTTTTAACTTTTATTTTAGGTTCAAGGTACATGTACAGGTTTGTTCTACAGGTAAATTGTGTGTCATGGGAGTTTCGTGTGCAGGTTATTTCATCCCCCAGGTAATAAGCACAGTACCCAACAGGTAGTTTTAGATCTTCAGCCTCCTCCCACCCTGCACCCTCCAGTAGGCCCTCATGTCTCTTGGAGTGGGCATTGAGTACCTGCTTTAGGCCAGGGACACCTGTGCTTGGTACCTAGAGTGAAGGCCTTGATTTCATGGAACTTACCATCTTGTAGGAAAACAGAAATATTTTCATAAACAAGTTGTGCAATTTAAGTTGTGATATGTGCCTCCAAAAAGTACTGGATGTTTTGAGAACATGTACCAGGGATCAGAACTCATCTGGGGTGTTTTTCATTCCACAAATATTTGACTGCTTTATCTATCCCACGTGCTGTGCTTAGGGTGTTGTGGAAATTGTGAGGACTAGGACATAGTTCTTGCCTCTGTGAGAGTGGAACTAAGCTCTCCCCATGGCCTTTCATCGATTTTTCTTCTCTTATTGCATTGGTTAGAATCTCATTGCATTGGTTAGAATCTCATACTCTGTTTAATAACTACCAAGTATGATACTTTTTGTTTAAGAAAGCTTCCTTCAACTCCTGGCTTTCTGAGCTTTGTAAAATCAGGAATAATTATTGAATTTTGTCACATGCTGTTGGGATGCAGATGGAATGCATCATTCTTTGCTAATGTGGTGTGTGATTTGTATGCTTGATTTACATTGCTGGATTTCCTAGTGCAACCTTCTTGGCCCTCCGAAATTCTTTGTCATGATAGATTATTCTTTTAAATGTGACCGCATTTGATAGGCTAATATTTTACTTTGGATCTTTGCATGAAGTACTCAGTGCAAGTTAACTGTTAAAGTTATAAAACCATAAGGGAAGCACAGGGCTGTGGAGGTTGGGGAGGGTTTTTTTGAAGGAAGTGGGCATGTGAGTAGGGATTTGAAGAATGGTAAGACTGAGATCAGGGGTTAGAAACTTAAGGACCTACAGGGGCCAGAGAGGTCATATGAATGAATGCCACAGGCTCAGTGGGAGACATCTGAGAGGGGTGGGAACCGGGGTGCCCCCGGGGAACACACACCCTGCCTCAAGGGGGCAGTGCCACTCAACCCCAGCCAATCACTGCCATGTGGGAATATGGCCCTGGTGTTGCCACACGGGCTGATCATTAAGAAAATCCAGCTGTCTGAATTTTTATGTGAAACTTTTCCAATTTAAAAAATTATTGTTAACCAATTAAAATTTTTAGAAAACACCTTCTTTGGGTGACTCAGACGACTGGATTTGGCCTGTTAGTACACTGGCTTGTGTTTGCTGATTTAGACCTTTAAGATTCTGATGGTGGTGGTGGTAGAGAAGCAGTATGTTAGTGATAAAAGGACACACGAGTGAGTATCATATGGACTCAACATTGTGCCTAATACTTTCCATGCATTCTCTTGTAGAATCCTCACAACTGCCTTAGGTATTATTCCGCTATCGCATAGATGAGGAGGCAGGCCCAGCAAATTAGAGTCACTAGCCCAGCCAGGGAGAGCTGGATGCAGGCTGCATCCAAGGCAGAGAGTGCAGGCCAAGCAAAGGCTCATTGCCAGGAAGCTGTGCACAGTGTATTTCAGTCTGGTGGGAGAGCAATGTGGGAGGCACAGGAAGGGTAAGTAAAGATGTGGGCTGGGATGGGAGGCCGAGGTTGGTGGAGGCCGAGGTTGGTGGATCACCTGAGGTCAGGAGTTTGAGACCAGCCTGGCCAACATGACGAAACCCCGTCTCTGCTAAAAATACAAAAAAAAAAAAAAAAAGAAAGAAAAGAAAGAAAAAAAAAATAGCCGGGCATGGTGGCAGGCACCTGTAATCCCAGCTACTTGGGAGGCTGAAGCAGGAGAATTCCTTGAACCCGGGAGATGGAGGTTGCAGTGAGCCAAGATCGTGCCATTGCACTCCAGCCTGGGTGACAAGAGTGAAACTCTGTCTCAAACAAACAAACAAACAAACAAACAACAAAACAAAGATGTGGGCTGGGAGACTTTATGCTGAAGACCAGCATGTGCCCATAGAAGGTGCCAGAGGTGTGCTTAGAACTTGCAGAATCAGACTTCCTGGGTCTGAGTCCCAGCTGCACTTCTCCCCAGCTCGGTGGCCTTGGGCCAAGTGATGGCTCATCTCTGATTCTCAGTTTTCACATCTGTGGAATGGGTAGAGTAATGGTTCCTACCTCATTGGGTTGTTTTAAGGGTAGAAATGGGTTCATTTCAGCAAGTTAAAGAATAAAGGAGATGTCACCCCTTCTTTTGCAGCTTGCCAGTGTTGTTTGCTAGTGATCACCTGGATGTGTGCTCAGTGTGGTACCAGTGTGCTAAGTGCAGTGAAGGAAAAGGATGGGGAAGGAGAATAACGGAGGATTCTACTTCAGATTAGGGAGTGATGCGTAAGTCGTTAAGACCCAAAGAATAAATAGGAAATAGCTAGGTGGGGAAAGGTTTATTAAAAATATTCCAGGCAGAAGGCACGGGATGTGCAAAGGGCAAGAGGCATGCAGGGTTGGTGCACAGAGAAAGTGTTCAGCCTCCTTCTCGGTGTCTGACTTGGAACCACATTCCAGTCTCTGAGGTGTTAGAGCAGAACTATGTGGTGCAGCAGCAGGGAGTGGGCAGTGCCTGCTGGGCTGGGTGGTACCACTGTATGTTGCATCCCGTCATGAGGCCTTGTCTCCTTGCCGCAAGTCTTCCATGAAGTGTTACTGGTGTCTGTGGACTCCAGCTTTCTGGTCAGGTTGGAAGAGGTAGGGAGGAGAACCTCTCAGTCACAAGAAATAGTGTCACCCTGGAGCGGATTGGCTGGCCTGCTGGGCTGCCCAAGCCTTCTGGCCTTGAGCATAGAGCTGGGGTCCTGAGGAGGGGAGAGGCAGAGCATAAAAGGACCCTGTTAGCAGGATGGGGCTGTCTTCCCTCAGGCCACAGCCTCCCTAATGGGCTCAGGCCGGAGGATGTTTTTCTAACTTCAGAAGGCTGCGTGGGCTGGTGGGCCCCTCACTCAGAGGCCTCGGCTTGCGGTGGCTCCAGTGAGTGGGTTTGGGGGTGCTGGTGTGTGGTGCCATGCCCATTCCATGCCTGGTTTCCAGAGGGAGCCTTGTTCCAGGACAGTTTTTGACCCTGACTTTGTTGTTTTACCCTTCTTTCCCCCTTCAAAGGCAAAAAGATGATTGAAGAGAACTACTATAATCCAGGAACAAAGTTGCCTTTTCAGCGGGCACTGGGGACTTTCTCTGCTTCCTCCCTGCCCTGGAAAGTCCAAAGGCACCCACTGCCTCAGCTGGTCCTGGGCACGTGCCTGCTTTCTCAGTGGCTGCAGGCTCAGTGTGCCCGCGAGCTGCCCACTGTGTGCATAGCCCCGTGCTGAGTCTGGGAGCTGCAGCCCGAGGAGGAGGTGGTAACAGCGTAGCTGCTGCTTGCTGCGTGTCTGCTGTGTGCCAGGCTCTGGGCCAAGCACTGTTCATAGTGCTGGATTCTCAGAGCACTGTTATGAGGCCGCTGTTATTATTATGCCCATCTTACCCATAGGGAAACTGAGGCTTTAAAGAAGTCAACCATATTGCCCAAGGTCACTTAACTTGGAAGTGGAATCTTGCTTCAGCAAGATTCAAATTCAGATCACTCAGTGTGATTTTAGAGCCATCTTAAATCAGTTTAGGCGAGTTTTTTTTTTTTTTTCAACTGTATGTCTCAGCCCCATTCATGGTTCATGACATCAATTTAGTGACCAAAATGAAATAGAGTAAAAATATGAGAAAACATTATATATAGTAAGAGTAAATATTGTTTTGTGTAATTTTTTGTTCTAGTTAAAAAAAATGTATACACACACTTTACACACACCTATACCCAAACCCATCTATCTATCTATCTATCTATCTATCTATCTATCTATCTACAGCAGAGGCATATTGTAAAATATAATTCTTACTATAGGTCATAATCAGAGTATTAGAAAAACGCTGGTGTGGGTCACTGGTGCAGGCCCTGAGCCTGAATGCCTGGTTTTGAGCCCTGGCTCTACTTCTCACTAGCAGTGTGACCTAGGGCAACTTTCCTGACCTCTCTGTGCTTTCTGAGCTGTTTGGTTTGTTGACTTTTGGGCCTGGGTCAGTGCTCCCAGGGATGCTGTGGGTGCTTGCTGCTGGCTCACTCCCTTTGCTTAGGGAATGAAGAGGATGAGCAGTCCCATGGAGGGGGGGCCCATGGCTTCTCCCCTGAGAAGCCAACAGCAGCAGCTTCATCCCAGGAGAAACACAGACATGGCTCAGTCATCAGGGGTTGGACACAATGCTGCGCTGGGAACCCTGAGCCTGGGGGTGCCTCCAGCTTAGCTATGAGGTATCTATTATGACCTCTCCTGCCTTCTGCTTCCTCCTCTCAAAAATGCATTAAAGGAAAGGAGAAGGCTTTGTTTCTACTGCTGTAAAAAAAAAAAAAAAGTCCAAAGATTAGTGACTTGATCACTTTGTGACTTGCTTAAGAGTATGCACTTTGGACCAAGCCTGGGAGGGTCAACTTGTCTGTGGCTCCATGTAGCACAGTTAGGGTGGCTCTAACAGCAAGGGTCTGACTGCAGCAGCTCCAAATAAGTGACATGTCTGGGGCTTCAGTTCTCTTCTAGTTGGCCTCACCTCATGAGTAGCTTGGGCTTCCTCACAGTATGGCAGTCTCAGGGTAATCAGATTTACATGGTGGCTGTCTTTCCCAAGAGTATAGAAGCAAAAACGGCCAGGACTCTTTAAGGTTTAGGCCTGGAATTAGCAACAACACATTCTCTTCATTAAAGCAAGTCACAGGTCCAGCCTAGATTTAGGGGAAGGAACTACACAGGGGCATAAATACTGGGAAGTGGGATTCACTGGGGGCCATCCACACAGTCTACCGGAGAGTAGGTGGTCTCTTGCAGAGAGAGTGGAGTTATAGAAAAGGACTGAGACGTGTCCCTTGGGTTTAGGATCCTGGCGGTCACAGTTGGGTCTGGCAGGAACTGTCTTGGTGAAGTGACAGCAGAGGTGAGACTTGGGTGGCTCACGAAGGGACTAAGAAATATGTGCAGGGGAGCAGAAGCACATACTTACAAGAACATTCATGGCTGCATTTGGAAGAATGAAAAGTTTTTGACAACTCAAACATCCATCACTAGGGTACAAGGTAACAGTGGTGTGGACTTCTCATTGAGCTCTCTGCAACTGGTCAAAGCCCAGCGAGTAAGGGCCTCTCTTGCTGACAGGAAAGAGACCCTGAGACGCTGCTGAATGAGCAAAGCAACTGCAAAACATTCATAGGCCATGGTCCTGTTTCTTACAGTGTGAAAAAGTCTATTCAGGCCTGTGTCACTGTGTATCTGCAGGTGCATAGAGAAAGATCTGGAAGGGTACACTGTCAAGGACTATTTCCCTGAGGAATGGAGAATTTTGCTTTTCATTTTGTACATTTTTAGGTTGTTTGATTTTACAAAAAATGAGCATGTGCTACTTTTTGTATTTTTCAAAAAGGTGATGTATTTTAAAAGTGAATGACAGATGAGGAAACAGCATGTGTAGGCAACTGTATGGAGAAGCTTTATCAGAAGGAGTGGAGAGAGAAGACAGCAGCCAGAGGGTGTGGAGTTGGGGAGACTCGATGCGGCCGAGGACCACCTACATCTGAATCTCTTGGGTGCTATTCAAAATGTAGACTCCTTGGGGTTTCCTGAGCCTGAGTCAGAACCTTTCTGTACTAGGCAACAGCTGGGCCGACTGGACCCTGAAGGAAAGGAGAGAGGAGGGTGCAGGAGTTGGAGAGGGATGAGGGGGGAGGAGGGCACTCCCCATTTGTAGTGTAGCGGGACCTAATGAGCGACCCTACAGAGAAGCCAGTGCAGGCCCTCACTCATGACAAGCTCTCGCTCCATGGTTCTCTCTCCTCTTCCCACATCCCCATAACTGTGGCTGCTTAAACTTGCAAGCGGATTTAGAGCTACCCTGGCAGTCACTGACACCTGCCTCTCTTGAAAGGGCTGCTAGGTCCCACCACCACCCCCCCCCCCCGCCGTAGAATGGGTAGAAGAAGGGGCTGTAGAAGTGACCTCTAGACTGTGCTGACCAGTAGAACTTTCTGATGATGGAAATGTTCTGTGTCTGCATTGTCCCCTCTGGGAACCTGTGGCTTAGAATGTGACCACTGGGACTCAGAGACTGCCTAAATTTTAAGATATATTTTATTTGAATGAATTTAAATGTGAACTTAAATAGCCCCATGAGGCTAGTGGCTACCTCATTGGACAGCACAGCCCTGGACGCATGGAGAAGATCCTGTGTGTCAGGCTAAACTCCATCCTCAGTGGGCACAGTCCTGGACCCATGGAGAAGACCCTGTGTGTCAGGCTAAACTCCATCCTCAATGGGCACAGCCCTAGATGCATGGAGAAGACCCTGTGTGTCAGGCTAAACTCCATCCTCAGTGGGCACAGCCCTGGACCCATGGAGAAGACCCTGTGTGTCAGGCTAAACTCCATCCTCAGTGGGCGCAGCCCTGGACCCATGGAGAAGACCTTGTGTGTCAGGCTAAACTCCATCCTCAATGGGCACAGCCCTGGACCCATGGAGAAGACCCTGTGTGTCAGGCTAAACTCCATCCTCAGTGGGCACAGCCCTGGATGCATGGAGAAGACCCTGTGTGTCAGGCTAAACTCCATCCTCAGTGGGCAAGCCCTGGATGCATGGAGAAGACCCTGTGTGTCAGGCTAAACTCCATCCTCAGTGGGCACAGCCCTGGATGCATGGAGAAGACCCTGTGTGTCAGGCTAAGCTCCATCCTCAGTGGGCACAGCCCTGGATGCATGGAGAAGACCCTGTGTGTCAGGCTAAACTCCATCCTCAGTGGGCACAGCCCTGGATTCATGGAGAAGACCCTGTGTGTCAGGCTAAACTCCATCCTCAGTGGGCACAGCCCTGGATGCATGGAGAAGACCCTGTGTGTCAGGCTAAACTCCATCCTCAGTGGGCACAGCCCTGGATGCATGGAGAAGACCCTGTGTGTCAGGCTAAACTCCATCCTCAGTGGGCAGGGAGGCGTCAAAGGAGTGCAAAGGAGTGATTCACAGCAGGTGGTCATGGAAAGAAAGCTCTCCCCCACAGGAAGTACTGGTTAACCGTCTTTGGGGCCTGTCCAGAGCCCCCTTCCTTGTAACATAGCTGTGTTCAGGCTTGGTTAGCCCTGGCTGGCCGCAGCCATGGCCATGGTGGGGAATGATCATGGTCTTCCTTCTAGATGGTTGGATCAGAGCACCTTCTTGTGATGTCACAAATCGGGGCCTTTCTAGCCTTCTTAACCTTGGAGGTTCTGCTCAGCAGCTGCTACTGGCGTCTCGTCCTCTTGGCTCTGGGTCTGGGGCACTGGAAGGTAAACTCCCTGCTGAGTTGGAGGCAGCAGCATTGAGTGGGTGGCTGTTTTCCAGCCAGGATTTACCCAGGGCTTTATGGCTTGCAAAGCCTTCCTCACAGGGCTTTGTCAGGCATTTAATATTCACAAAAATGTGGCCAGGATCAAAATTATTATTATGGGGAAACTGAGGCCAGACTGTAAAGTCCACAGGTCAGGTTCTTTGTGGCTCACTCTTGTATCCCTGGGCCTTTTGCACTGATTGGCACATGGCAGATCCTCAAGAACATTTTCCAGGTGGATGAGGTTCAGAGGGGCCATGCAGCTTGGCCAGAGGGCACACAGCCAGAGAGGCAGGGATTCTGTTCTGTTCTGTCCAAGTCCCCACCTCTTTTATGGAGCCAGGCTGTTCTGTGTCTTTGAAGAGAGCCTCTGCCCTTCAGAAAGGGTCCTCACCTTTTTCCTTTCTGTAAATTAAGTCGTACGCATGGTTAAAAAAAAAAGAAAAGAAAATCCAAAATAGTACTGAAGGTATGCAGTACACAGGAAGCCTCCGCCCACCTCCACCTCCCAGCTTCCCCCTTTGGAGGTATCTGCTGTAGTGGGCTCCTCAAGATACTTCTAGCCATGCTCTGTTTGTGCATGCTTATCCCTGCACAGACAGCAGAAGCTGTCTTGGCCAACAAGACCAGGAAGCATTGGTATTTGCAGGTTAATTGAAAAATTCATTTAAGGTGGAGAACCATAAAAAAGTGATATAGAGGCTGGGTGTGGTGGCTCATGCCTGTAATCCCAGCACTTTGGGAGGCCAAGGTGGGCGGATCACAAGGTCAGGAGATCGAGACTATCCTGGCTAACATGGTGAAACCCCGTGTTTCCTTCACTAAAAATACAAAAAATTACCCAGGTGTGGGCCTGTAGTCCCAGCTACTCAGGAGGCCGAGGCAGGAGAATGGTGTGAACACGGGAGGCAGAGCTTGCAGTGAGCTGAGATTGCACCACTGCACTCCAGTCTGGGCAACAGAGTGAGACTCCGTCTCAAAAAAAAAAAAAAGGTGATATAGAAGCCAGGTGCAGTGGCTCATGCTTGTAATCACAGCACTTTGGGAGGCCAGAGTGGGAGGATTGCTTGAGCCCAGGAGTTTGAGACCAGCCTGGGCAATGTAGCAGGACCCCATCTCTTAAAATAACAACAGTAACAACAAAAAACTAGCCAGGTTTGTGATGTGTGCCTGTAGTCCCAGCTACTTAGGAGGCTGAGGCGGGAGGATGGTTTGGGGCCAGGAGTTCGAGGCTGCAGTGAGCCATGTTTGCACCACTGCACTTCAGCCTGAGCGACAGAGCGAGACCATGTCTCTCAGCAACTACAATGAAAAGTGATACAGACCTTAACTTAAGATTTTCTTTTAACTTAAGATTCATGTATACATCTGTCTCCGCACCTTGCTTTCTTAATACATAACTTTTTAAACTTATCTTGGAAATCATTTCATATCAGAATGTATAATCTTATTGTTCTTCATGGCTATCAAGCCTTCTGTTATAAGGATAGACCATCATTGCATTGATTCCTTACTACTGGGCATTTAGATCATTTGTGGGCTTCTGCCTGTGGTCGACTTTAGAGCAACAGTGTGCATTTCTGCTTCCACCCCTTGCCCTGTGCCCCCGACACACACTGCACATCCTGATATGATCACCAGGTGTGGCTCTGCTATTTTTCTGGCAAAGCTGGAGTTTTTCCTTCTGGCTGGTGTCTACAAAATCGAGGAGGAAAGCAGCTTCAGGGGGAGCTTGTGGTTAAGTAGGTGTGAACTTTCTCTGTGGATCCGTTGGGACCTTTTGGATTTCAAGCCCTTGTCAACTGTTTCATACAGTCAAGTTCTTGGCTTGTGTAACCAGGGAGTGGACTTCAGTTACAGCTGGATCCACCAGCCCAAACTATGTCCCAGGACAGCAATCTGTGTCTTCATCTCTGCTTTCTTTTAGATTGGCTTCATCCTTAGGCACACCCTTCCCAGGTAATGGCAACTTGGCTCCCAGCAGTCCAGACTCCCAGCTTCAGTTGTTAGAGAAGAAAGTTCCAGCAAAAACCCAGGCGGAGCTCCCATTGTTTTGACTTGGGTCACATCCCGGAACCCATCCCTGTGCCTCTGACAGTCCTGGGTCACATGCCTGTCCTGGAGTGGAGGCTGGGATCACCCCCGTCCCCGCATCCCTTGAACCTCCCTAATGAGAAACTGACTTGAGAGGAGAAGGCTGTAGAAAGCACACTGTATGGGTGGAGCCAACAGCTGTGGATGGCCTGGTCCCTGGAATCAGAATCACTGAACAAGGCTCTGGTCAGCAGCTGGCAAGGCTGGGTAAGGACAGGGCAGCTAGGTAGCTGACCATTGACCCACCCATTGCCATTGGATCTTGGAAGAACCTAGGTGGTTTGCCACCTCCTCCATGCAGCCCACCTGGGTTACAGCCTTCCTTTCAAGCTTCTGACCTCTCTATGATGATCATAGGTTGATGATTTTTAACCCTCAAGGAGTGAGTAACAAGACACTTTTGGGAATCCACCAAATCTCTTGTGTCTCTCTCCTTAGATAAATGCTCTTACATCCGTCATTCCAATTTCAGGGCACCTATGGCCCCAGGTTAGGAACTCCTGTTTTAGTTTTTATGGCCCCCCCCCTTTTTTTTTAAGACTTAATTGCATTACTTCACTCCTTTTTCCCTATGTGATCTCCCAATTTGAGGGGTGCATAGAGCTTAGGACCAGGCTTCAGACTTGGGTTTATACTGAACCGTGTTGACGCTGGGCCTTAGTTTTCTTACCTATAAAAAGAGGAACAGAATGCCCACCGTTTGGAGTTGTTTCAAAGATTAAATGATGAAGTAATGCATATGGCCACTGAAGTGTTAGCATGCAGTGAGCACCCAGCAGATGTACTCAGTAGCCCTTTAAGGCCTCTGGATCTGCTGCTGTGTTCTGAAAGATTCCCAGTAAACCGGTCTCCATTTCTTTGGGGCCGAAAATAGCACCTGGAAGGGGCGTGATTGCCGTTTGTCAGAAGAAGATGTTGAGAGGGGACATCACATTTGATTGCTCAGGAGTTCCCCTGAGATGATTGCTCCCCATTTATAGATGGGAAAACCCAGCCCTAGGGAGGTTTCAGGGGCTTCTCTAGGTGTCTTGGAGTTAGTTTGGTTTAGCTGTGAGTGCCTTTTACACTCTGATCTCGGGACACCCCTCACTTATTTTATAAGCTGTACCTCCTCCTTGGCCAAGGACAGGCCACAGGTGACAGCTCCCTTGTGTGTTATGGCCCTTTGGCAGAGTCCCCGATCTCAACTGAGTCCTTTCTGGCCCCAGATCCCAGCCATGGCTCCGCTACCTGCCTGGCTGGACACCAGGTCTGGGGTGGTGGGTATTGTTCTGGTAGAAATGTGAACTGGTGCTTTGCTTTGAGTATATTAAGACACAAAGTCCCTGTGGTTAACAGCAAATTAATCACAGTGTTAAGGAGGGCCTGTCTCGGGTAGACATGACTTCATGAGCTTGTCATAAAACTGGCCTCTGCCATATTTCACTCCCCAAGATTTTTGACTTTCAGAAAAGGAACCGCAGATAGAGTTACCAAGTTTTACAGAAATATTTTTACTGGGCAGAAGATTGCTTTATGGCGAGAGCCAGTTATTTCAGGAGACAAGCAAAGAGCCCTTTATTCTCACGTTCTGTGGGAGGAAAATATGATGCCAGAAAGCCCGCTTCTTGGATGGGCCCTTTGAGGGGGTGGGCTGCATTTTTTTGGAGTTGGGAGTGGGTGACATGAATTGGCTTGCGAAGGCCTGGGGGGCCCCTGAGCACCCGCCTACCTTTTCTTAACCATCTCTGGGGATTTGGGGCTTATTTTGCAAGCACACGGAAGCCTAAGGGTGTTGAACAGGGAAGAGACGTGGTTAGCACTGGGCTTGAAACCAGGACCGCATATCAGAGAGGGGAAGAAACTGAGAGTGGTAGGCCAGCCTATGGGGGGCCCCAGCTGGAGACACAGGAAGTCCAGGTTAGAGCTGGTGCTGCCATTTCCCAGCCATGTGATTCTGTCATTTCTTGTTGTAAACTGGGGATAACAGCAGGACCTGCCTCATGGGCTTTCAGGAGAATTAAGTGAGAGCATCTGTGTCAAGCGCTTCCTCATTTATTCAGTCCATAATGTCTATGGTGATCGTTGGCAGCGAGAGAGGGGGGTCTTCCTTCATCCACATTCCTGAATCTACTCATCCCACAGCTTCCTTTGCTTGTGCCTTTGAGTGCAGTGGGCCGGCGCACTGGGAGGTTTGAAATCTGGGCCTCCTTAGCAGGTTGGAGATTTATGGGCCTCATTCTTTGAGCTCCAGTCAGCACCTCTGTACATGGAAGGGACTGTTCTTTCTTGGAAATTAGGGGGAAACAGATTGGCTTGAAATTCTGCCCCCCCAGAGGATGGGACTGACCTTTGTGTGTTAGGACTGGGTGCTTCTCTCCCCCAATGTGGAAGAAGGATGCATGCTAGAAGTTTTGTCTGTGTCTGGAGCAGCCGTGTGCCTGATAAGGAGATGGCTCCCTTGCTCCCGTCTTGCTTCTGACCATAATCCCTTTAAGTTGGGCAGTTGGAGAAGGTTGATTTGTCTCCTTCTCTTCCCCACCTTCCCTTCATTATTTAGAATGTGAGGGAGAGTTTATCTGGTTCTCTGGGAGATCTATCATCTCAGCTTTGGAACAGCATCCAGGTTTACAGAATGGAATCTGGTGCCCAGCGCCTTCTGATAAATATTTTGGGAAGTCAGATTCCGCTGACATTATAGTCTATGGGTTGGGCAGTGGATGCTTTCCCATGTCTGGGTGATTGAACTTGGACTATCCTCATACCATGCGCTGTGCACCAGCTTCATGCTACAGCGTTTTAGCGCCCAGAATTCTGGCCCCTTTTCCTGCTTCCAAGGTTCTGCTTGTGCAGTTTCGCCCATGAGAAATGCACTTATTGCTTCTGTGTTCCCTGCAAATACATACACCCCTGCTTTATCCTTGGCTCTCTGCTTCCTTCTTCCCTTTCATGCTGCCTCCAAGTTCACTCACGCCCTCCCTGAAGCCCTCTCTGAAGCTGCCCTCCTTGTTCTTAAAAGCTTCCACATGGCTTTGCTAACATCTTTGTTCTGCCCTGGGTTGGCCAAGTCAAATAAGTAGACCCTGGGCAAAATCCATGGTCTGTCAAGCCTCAATTTCCTTACCAATAAAATGGGATGGTAATAATAGAACCCATATCCCAGGATGAGTATGAAGATTAAGAGAATGGGTGAGAAGCCCCAGAGCCTGGTGTGCAGTAGGGTTGGTAATTATTTCACTCCTCTCCTCCCACTTAGATTGTAGGCTGCTTGAGGGTAGAGGCCAGTTCTTACTCCTTGTTGTATCTTGTGAGCTTTTTAGCATGGTGTCTTGTCTGTAGGAGGTCCAAGAACTTATTAAGTGGAACCCTCTGGTTAGGAGTGATGGGGTTCCTTGGATGGAGGAAGTCCCGCATAGGTGGATTTTCAGGAGTTTTGGGGAAGATGCAGAACATTGCTTTAGCAGAGTGGTTGGAGCCGGGCGGGCACTGCCTACCATGGCAGCCTCTGTCGTGATGCAGCCACTGAACGTTTGAAATAGGGCGGGTCTGGATTGGGAGTGCTCAGGGGATTTCAAAATCTTAACGTAGAAAAGGAAAAGTATGTCAACTTTTTTTTATTAATAATTTAAAAAAATCACATGTAACGATAGTATTTTGAAATGTCGGTATTTTGGATATATTGGCTTAAATAACATTGTTAAAATTAATGTCACCTGTTTCTTTGTTTTTTAATGTGGCTACTAGAACATTTAAAATTACATGTGTGGCTTGTATTCTGTTCCTGTCACACAGCACTGGCCTTGACTCCATGGGGATGATGTTGACCCCAAGGAGGCAGAAATTGGTTCTTGGGGGGCAAAGGAGTCTTAGTCTTTTTAAGTATAAAACACAGATATACATCCAGTATATAAACAGATCCACAGAATACCTGTGATATTAAAATGTTATGGTCTACACAGGCTCTGTATGAAGAGGGAAGATAATGGGAACTGAGATACACTGTACTGGCCCCAGAGATAGCCAGGACCGATTCAGATGCTGGCCCTGCCACTTACTAGCTGTGTGACCTTTGGGCGAGTGCCTTAACCTCTCTGTGTCTCTGTTTCTTCATCTGTAAAATGGCAGTGAAAATGGTGCTTAGCTCGTGAAGCTGTCATGTAGATCAGATGAGAATGCCTGTGAAACACTTAGCTCCGTAGCTAGCCACAGAAAGCAGGTGATACGTAGGACAGTTATTATTCACGTGCTATGTGACAAGCTTGGCCAGCCTTTGGAGGCAGAACGGGGTAGGACTTCCACTCCCAGGATCTATGGAGTGACCATGTCTATTAGCCTTGGTTTTTCCATCTGGGAAATGTGTTGCCAGGAGTGCGGTAACATCTGTACAGCACCTTGTGCTGAGGGTGGAATGTGGCTGGCAGGTATTGGAGTGATGTAGCCCCCACCCCAGCCATAGCAGCCCTGTGCCAGGCACAGGGAGGCTTCTGCACTGAGGGCTGGCTGGTGGTATCCTTCACTGGGCTCATGGCGGACCCTCCTGGGTGTGCACCTGTCCCGCTGTCAGGGCCAGGCTGTGCTGGACATCTCCTCCCTGGGGCTGCCTTTGAAGGGAGAGCTGAGAGGAAAGTGGAGGGGAAGGAGGGGCTGCCCATGGCCTGCTCAACACAGACAGTTGGATTAAAGGTCCCTTTCAAGGCCTTGGAAATTGTCAGTGACATGGGCTCTGGCCTAGGGGGCTGCAGGTGGCAGCCCTCCTATAACAAACCCAAATTCTGTCTTTGGAGATCACTGTTTGAGAGACACAGAGGCCAGGGCTCTGCCTCCTGTGGGGAGATGTGATCCGGAGAGGGGAAGGTCAGCAATGCAGCCAGGATGAGGACGAGCAGCTGGCCGCACAGCCTGGTGGAACCAGGGTTTGTGCACATGGAGGCTTTGGGGGTTGGTAGGGACCTTGGGAGTTTCAAGTGCTCCGAAGACCTGGGTGCCCTCCACTCACTGCCGCTCACACACCCAAACAGCCTGTCGGAAGCAGCCTTCCCCACCAACTCTTGAGACCCATCTGCGCTCCCAGCCTCCCAGTCCCAGTGACGGGCTCTCCATTCATCTGTTGCTCAGAGAGGCATCCTGGGGGGTCATTCCTAACTCCTCCCCTTCCTTCCCTGCAGAGCTGCCAGATGGACACCTTTCGTCAATCTATGACTCTGTGAATCTCAGATTTGCCCACTGCTCACCATGGTCCCCATCCTCTTCTAAGCCATCATCCTGTTGCTCCTGGAGGACTCCAACAGCCTCTGAATTTCTTCTCCCTGCCTCAGCCAGGCTGACTTTGCAGAACCCAATGAGATCCACTCCCTCTCCTACTTGAATCTCTACTGCGGCTTCCCACAGTCCTTAGAGGAACATCTAAATTCCTTCCCATGGTCCATAAGGCTGAGCACAACCTGCCCCTTTCCTGCTTCTCATCCCCGGCCGCCCTTCACCTCACTCCGTCCCAGCCGCCCTGCTCCCTTCTGGAACACACCCATCACATGCCCAACTCGGGGCCTTTGCACGCTCTATTCCTGCAGCTGGAGATGCTTCCCAGTACTCTCCCTTGTTCTCCCCAGCTCACCCTCCAGGATGGAGCTCTCACATGTGCCTTGGAGCAGCTTTCACTGTGGTTCCTTCTCCTAACATCCTGTTCCTTCTGCCTCCTTGGAATGCTCACCACCATTGGTCATTTGTGACTTATTCATGTGGCAGTTGAGTTACTGCTCACCTCCCACAGGAACAGCAAGGAGTTGTGGATATTGTTATTCACCTGTGGTGGCAGGGGGCAGGGTATTGTCACCCCTCTGGTGGCAGGGGGCAGGATATTGTCATTAACTCCTGGGGCTCCACAGCCTTGCACAGGGCCTGACACATATAGGCATCTGTTAATCCTTGGAGAATGAAAGTGCTTTGCTGTGTGCTTTGGACAAGTTCTTTCAATCTCTGAGCTTCAGCTATCCTGTCTGTAAACTAGAGGGTGGGGGTAGTTGCTTCCATCTTGGATTTTTTTGGGGAATGAACCCCGTGTGTTACGTGGGCCTGGCTCGATGGCTGGGGGTAGTGGAGTTGTCTGCTCCGCCCTGTCTTTTGTGCTCTAACTCAGGGGAGGCGGCAGATTGGTGAGAAGGGGTTCAGGGGATCTGCTGTGGGACTCTGGGAATCAGAGAAATCCTCTCTGCACCAGTTTGCCCATCTCTAAAAATGAGTGCTGACCACCCCTATGGTTCGTCTTCTTACCCAGCTTGGGTGCAGCACGGTGTCCGGGCTTGAGCTTGTCCCTGAGTCCGACAGAGACAGATCCAAAGCCAGTTTCTTTCAAGCCCAGGAGATGTGGAGGTTAGAAAGAGTGCTGACCAAAGTCAGTCTCTGGAGCCAACAGGATCATGAGGTCGGAAGGGGTGCTGACCTGCCCCGTGCAGAAGAGGGTGGGAGAGTGGGCTCTGGAATCAGATGAGTTTGAGTTCTGGGCCTGCTGCCTAGCAGTTGTGCAAATGTAGGCAACTTTCCTAATGTTTCTGAGGCCTCAGTCTCCCCATCTGTAAAGCGAAACTAGTAGTTGAATCTTCCTCCTGGAGTTGGTGTGTGAATCAGTAAAACTGTGTGGCCTGGAGGTGCTCAGTAAGGCTGCTCTTATGACTAATTATCATTCCCTCCAAGAAGAAAGTCCTTTCTGGAAGTCTTTTCCCCGCCATGGGAAGGTCTTTGTTATTTCTTTCTTTGCTGGAACCCGTACCTCTACCTTCAGCACCACACAATCTCAATCCCTGTGGTGCCCCCCTGCACCCTGTCTGGTCTCCAGGTGGCTGAATGACTCCAGCTGGAGGGTTGCTATGGAGACCTCCTGATGCTGAAGTTGCCCTGTGGGCAGGTGGACATTCCCTGTTCCTTCTCCCCCCATCAGGTTAAAGCGAGGCCCTTTGGAGCTTCTGGGCTCTTCTTCATCCCCTTGACCTGCCCTGCAGTGTGAAGCCGGGTGCTGCGGGGAAAGAGCCAGCAAGTGCTTTCTGGGGTCAGATCAGAGTTCTGCTGGTCTCTGCCCCTCAGGACCTCCCCTTCTGGGTTCTGCATCTTGGCTCAGAGCTGGGAGAGGGTCCCACCCTGACAGCCCTTTAGAATCTGAGACCCTTTGCAGATGTACCGCTTCCTGAGGGCTAGGAGGAGGGTCGCACCCTCTCTGAGCTTAGCCACTTGGATCTTCTGAATTTATCTGGCAGCTGCTCCTAAAAGTGTCTCTGTGTATTAGAATAGCTTGGGGAAAATTGAATAACCTGGGTTCAGCTCCTGGTGATTCTGATTCAGTTAGGTGTCTGAGAACTCTCACGGAAACGGGTTGGGCTGGCCTCAGCCACAGGGGCTGAGAGGGGAGCAGGGGCGGGGGTGAGGGTGCTGAGCTGGCACAAACAACAGCTGTTGACTATATATGTCTGGGGTGCAGCCCAGCAGTCTCTTTTTAACACACATGTATATGACATATATGTATGTATATATAATGCATGTGTGTCTATATATACATAGAAATTTTAAAATTTTATGTCTTTTCAGTACTTTTTGAAATAGTCTCACTCCCGTTTTACAGATGGTAAAACTGAGGCTCCAAGTGGCAGAATGTCTTCTTCCTAGTCACATGGGTATTGGGTGATAGAACTTGATGCTGGATCCAAATGCAGGACTGCCTATGTTCATTCTACCTCACCACTACCTCTTCTGGGACTCAATTTTCTCTCCTGTCAAATGGGTATACCTCCCTTGTCTTGCCCAACCTCCTAGGTACACAGGCCTTGGACAGTGGGGGCTAGGGATTGGAAATGTGGGTGTGAGTCAGAACTGGGGGCTGAGGTGTCCTGGGAGGGCCTGTTTAGTTTGGTTGACATTTCAAAGGATGCTGGGCCTCACTGGTGTCCTGGCTGAGTCGACATAGCCGTCTTCCCCCAGGGACTAAATTTAGGATTCCTTGGGACTTGGCTGGGCCTCATCTTGTTTTTGGAAACTCTCCATTTTGCTCCTCCTGCTGCTGGTGGCCGAGGCCCAGGCACGGCCGAATGGCAGTGCAGCGTGGTCTCGCCTTGGATTGATCTTGTTGGAGTTCATTAGCAGCTGGCCTCGCAGGCCTGGCCTCCAGCGGGCAGGAGGAGCTGTGCCTGGGGCGTGCCAGGAGCCAGGGGGTCCCCTCCCCACCTCCTTGCCTCGTTGTCGTCCCAGGCAGAGGCCCTCTGAGGGAGGCGCTTGGGTTTTCTTTGGCACTTGGTGAGCAAATGGCTCCCTCTCCCTTTTCTTCTGAGCCCTGTAAAAATAAAAAGTTAAAAGACCCTAAAGTTTGAACAGTAAAACCAAATACATGAAACCAAGCTGTTTCTATGTGGGGGCCATGGTCTGTGAACACCCAAGTTTGAAACTTCCTCTCCTTGGAATTTATGGAAGCCTTGGAAACTTTTTCCTTTTCCCTTTAAACATCAGAATTGGCTTAGGGCATTCTTTAAAAGCATAACCCTGGTGCTTCTCACAGCTTGATTTAATACAGCTTGAATACAATAGTAACTTCTGAACCCAGCTGTCTTCTGAGAGAGCTGGAAAGTTGTTTCATGACACCAGTAAGTAGGTGTTTTTTTTTTTTTTCCTTTAGCCAAGAAGTATATTCTAAGATTTATTAGATTCTCTACTGCCCTCCCCCTAGTAACCCAGATTTTCGCTGGAAGGAAAGGAAACTTGCTCAGATCAAGTTCTTTAACTAGGGGCTGAGAGATAGGGAGGCCAGTCTTCTGGGGTAACGTTGGCACTAAAAGATTCACCAGTGCCCAGAGGCTGGCTGGTTTTATAGGCGGGTGGTTCACAAGTGTTTGCTTCATAGGCCAGAGCCGGCTTAGGGCCTGGTTTTCAGAACATCAGCGCGAGGGTAATTGTATTTTCGGGGAGAAAGAACAAATGGGGTTGTCTGTGTTCCTGGGAGAAGGGATTTGAAGAGCCCCTTTGACAGGTGATCTTGTGGCAATATTCCCCCCAGAAATAACGTGGGCCTCCCTTTCCAGGGCTCCTTCCCCGGGCTGTGGGGACGGACTTGCTCTTGAACTCAGGAGCTCGAACACTGAGAAGTAGGTTATGTGCTTTTTCATTTTCCATCTGGACTTAGCAGAGGGCTTGGTGGAGGCTCTGGCCAGTGACCTTTACACATGCTTTTTGGCTTTAGCAGCATAAAAATATTTAATTAATTGCCAAACTTTAAAAATGGAGACATATCACATAAAAATCCAGATAGAAGAAAATGGAAAATGGGAAAACACCAGGCCTAAATTCTGGTGTGGCCACCATTTGTTGCATCCTTTGGAGCAGGGGTTCTCCATGGTAGCACAGGACATTTGGCGATATCTGGGTACATCCCTCATTGTCATGGCTGGGTTGGGGGTGCTGCTGGCCTCTAGCAGGTGGAGGTCAGGGATACTGCCAACCATCCTGCAGTGCACAGGATGTGCCCCTGCAACAAAGAGTGACCTTGGCCCCAAATGTAAACAGTGCCAAGGTGGAGAAACCCTGCCGTAGGGGAGCATCTGGGC
The DNA here is from genome assembly GCF_000001405.40 of Homo sapiens. Taxonomy (NCBI): domain Eukaryota; kingdom Metazoa; phylum Chordata; class Mammalia; order Primates; family Hominidae; genus Homo; species Homo sapiens. The sequence goes on from NC_000016.10 coordinate 50,576,042, forward strand.
TGCAGAGCCCACCAAGCCTCCTACCTGGGCTCAAGAATATTCTAGAAGATTCTGAGTTCCCAGAATTGATTGCTAGCTTCTTGGCTTATTCCTGCCTTTTGTTGGGACTATATGCTAGTTTGCCCTTACTCTCCTGAGGGTCCCACCCAGGCCCTGAACAGGCCCTGGTCAGATGGAGGCTTGATGGTGGGCAGATGTGGGTATTGCCTTCGCAAGCCTCAGAGCAGAGCTGGGAGGAGCAGCTATACTCACCCCCATGTCCAATTACATGAAGACATTCAGTCACTCCCTCTCCTCTCCTCCTCCAGATAGCAAAGAAGATGTAACCCCTAGTGATGGTAATTCCTGGTTTAAATATTGATAATGAATGACTCATAAGATTATCCATCCATAGCCAGATTGCTATGATCAAATGGTGATTGTTCAGAAGTGGAAGCAGTGCCTTTTGTTATGTTTCTGATTATCCTTGGTGGAGAGAGCTGGGTTAGAGGACAGGATTTGGGGTGGAAGCCTCCTGAGTATCCTGAAAATGCACCAGAATTTGGCCTGAGAGCTGCTGCAGGAAACTTGGGGAGATTGTGGGTATGCCTGTGGCTTTTACGGTGGTGATGATTTCATGGGTGTACCCTTATCCCCAAATTCATTGAGTTGTATGTATTAAATAAGTATAGCTTTTTACAAGTCAATCATATCTCAATAAAGTGCTTTTTTTTTTTTTTTAAAGAATGACTTATAAAAACTCATTTTGGGAAAAGAAGAAAGTTATTTACCAAGTATACTCTGTCCACCCACCCAGTGACCCACTGGGAAGGTATTCCTACCATCCCCGTCAACAGGTGAGGGCATGAAGTCAAGCAGCATGTGACTCCCTGCAGTCAGTGATGAGAGGCCCCTGCTGGGCCCTGTGAGACTGCACTGATGGATGGCCTGAGTCCCTGCCTTCAGGAGGTGCCCATTGTGTTGCGGAGGCCACCATACCTGGCTGGCCCTATACAAGGCAGAAAGTGATTTGTGGGAAATGATACAAATATTTTACACCATTCAGAGCAGGTTGGGTTGGTGGAAGGAATAGGGTCTTAAGTTAAAACCAAGCTCTGCCTCTACCAGTTTCATGACCTTGGCCAAGTCACTACACCTCCTGACCTTGTGGCCCTCACTTGTTGATGGAGATAGTAGGAATACCTTCCCAGCGGAGGGTTGTTGGGTGGGTGGGTAGAGTATATTTGGTAAATAACCTTCTTTTTTCCCTAAATGAGTTTTCATAAGTCATTCTTTATTTTAAAAAATCACTTTATTGAGATATGATTGACTTGTACAAAGCTATGCTTAATTAATATATACAACTTGATGGGTTTGGGAATAAGCATACACTTATGAAACCATCACTACCATCAAGGCCATAGACATGTCTATAATCTGCCCAAGTTTCCTCCTGCCCTCTTTATTATTATTATTTGTGTGAAAGAGATAGAGAAAGAATACTTAAGATCTGCCCTCTTAGAAAATTTTAAATATATAATGGAGTACTGTTAGCTATAGGCACGATGCTGTGCAGTAGATCTCCAGAACCTATTTATCTTGCATAACTGAAACTTTGTACCCCTTGGCCATCACCCCTTTCCATTTCCTCCTTTCCCTAGCCTCTGGCAACCACCGTTCCACTCTGCTTCTTTGAGTTTGCCCATTTTAGATTCCACATATAAATGAGATCACGCAGTATTTGTCTTTGTAAGCCATTCTTAATCAAGGTAGGCATAGCTAAGCACCCAGGGGTCTTAAAGTTGACCTTTATGTAGAGGCATTCAGGTGGGAGGCATTGTATGTAGGAGGTGGTGACTGATCTGATTTAGCAGATAGATTTTTTCCTGTATTGCTTTTGCCTTGAGCTTCTTACCCCAGTGAGGACTTATTTTCTTGACCCATGTATTCTTCTTTCTTTCCACTTGTGTTTTAGCTGGGGCAACTCTGGTTGTTGTAGTAAAGACACCTTGACATTGAAGTTTAGAATTTTATTTATCACTCATGGACCAGTCCAATACAGGTACCTTGGTTGGAAAATGAGTGACTTAGTGGTCCAGGCTCCTTCCATGTTGTGGCTTGTTCATCTGTGAGAGCCTCTGAGTTCTCTGCTTCTACTTGGTGAAAGGGGAATAAGAGAGTAGAAAAACTCTTCCCACTGCTTAAGATCCCTGACTGTGAATCATTCTGTACCACTTCTGCTCATGTTCGATTAGTGAGAACTAATCACATGGCCCCACCCTGATGAAAGAGGTGCTGGGAAATGTAGTCCCATCTGGGCAGCTACCTTCTGCTGACAACTCTACACTGTGGAAGAGGAAGTAGGAATATTTGGGGGCAGGTAGCCATCTCTGCCATAGTACCAGCTTGAGTCGTTGTTCCCTTTGCAGGTGCCCTTGGTACCTGAGCCTCCTTTTCTGCTGGCTTCTGCTTCTTCAGCTGGCCATGTCCAGCTCCATGTTCCAGAAGATTCTGCCTCTTTTACTGTGCGGAGTGATGTTCCCCTGGGGATCTACTAGTGCTCTGCTGAGAGACTCACACCCAGGTTCTGATCAGATACCCACACTGTGTACATTTCTCATATTGCAGTGTCTGTCAGTCAGCTTCTGAGAAATCTGTGAGAGCAGCATTCCATCTCCTATGATTCTGCAGGTGATCAGGAGGCCTTCTGCAGCCTGTAGTTCTCCTGGGCAGCTTAGTAGCTGGCTGGCCTGGATGCAAGACCACTGGCTATGTCTCGGTCACTGCCTTATCTCATCAGGGGCTGCTTTTGTCTCTGGGAATGCAAATGTCACTATGATCACCTGGAGAAGTCACTTGACATCCATGAGCCTCATCTTTAAAAACAAAGAAAGAAATATTTAAATAAAGCCTCAGCCACATATCACATGGGCTGTTATGAGGGTCTAATAAGGCTGTCATTGTGCATGTGTTCCTGCTACACATGCACTCTCTCAGTCCCACAGGCTGCCCACTATACACGCACTCTAACCTGCTACACATGCATTCTCTCAGTCCCACGGGCTACCCGCTACCACTCTAACCCGCCACACATGCACTGTCTTACTCCTGCGGGCTACCCGCAACACACGCACTCTAACCAGCCACACATGCACTGTCTTACTCCTGCAGGCTACCCGCTACACACGCACTCTAACCCGCCACGCATGCACTGTCTTACTCCTGCGGGCTACCCGCTACACACGCACTCTAACCCGCCACGCATGCCCTGTCTTACTCCTGCGGGCTACCCGCTACACACGCACTCTAACCCACCACGCATGCACTGTCTTACTCCTGCGGGCTACCCGCTACACACGCACTCTAACCAGCCACACATGCACTGTCTTAGTCCTGCGGGCTACCCGCTACACACGCACTCTAACCCGCCACGCATGCACTGTCTTAGTCCTGCGGGCTACCCGCTACACACGCACTCTAACCCGCCACGCATGCACTGTCTTACTCCTGCGGGGTACCCACTACACACGCACTCTAACCCGCCACGCATGCACTGTCTTAGTCCTGCGGGCTACCCGCTACACACGCACTCTAACCCGCCACGCATGCACTGTCTTACTCCTGCGGGGTACCCGCTACACACGCACTCTAACCCGCCACGCATGCACTGTCTTACTCCTGCGGGCTACCCGCTACACACGCACTCTAACCCGCCACGCATGCACTGTCTTACTCCTGCGGGCTACCCGCTACACACGCACTCTAACCCGCCACACATGCACTGTCTTACTCCTGTGGGCTGCCTGCTACACATGCACTCTAACCTGCCATGCATGCACTCTCTTAGTCTCCTGGGCTACCTGCTACACACGCACTCTAACTCGCCACACATGCACTGTTTTGGTCCCACGGACTACCTGCTACACATGCACTCTCTTGGTCCCATGGGTACCTGCTGCACACGCACCCTAACCTGCTACACACATGCACTCTCTCAGTCCCACAGGCTACCAGCTACACACGCACTGTCTTGGTCCCACCGGCTAGTCGCTACACATGCACTCTAACCCACTAAGCATGCACCCCAACCCGCTACACATGCACTCTCTCAGTCCCGTGGACTATGTCTTCCTTTGCTGGCCTCTCCAGGTGGGCTTTCTGTTTTTAGTTTTGATTTGAGAATGAATTCTATTTCTGAAAAGGACCTTAGGGAGTGTTGTCATGACACCATGATGGATCCCCTTGATGGACTGGCCATTCTGGCCTCACACTGTGTGCTCACCCCTTCCCACACATGCCAGGGCCTGCCCAAGGAGAGGCGAGGGCCCAGTGCTTAGAGCGGTGCCTTAGCAAAGGCAAAGTCTGCGTCTTTGGGAGGCCCTCAATGCAACTGGCATAATAGCAGGTACACGCAGGGAATGCAGTACACACGCTCAGTGAATGCAAGAGAAAGCACTCAAGAGAATAAGGGTACTCAAACCCTTGTCAAAGGGTTCCCTGGCCAGAGAAGCTTGGGAAACGGGTGGCAGCACCAGTCGAATGAGCGTTACTCTGTCATTTTTGGCAGAAATTGCAACCTGGTGAGCTGACTCTAGCTCCCAGGAATGTTTTGTTTGACCCTTTCAATTTTTTAAACAATTTGAGCCAACATTTAAAAATGAGGAATTTCACTCAGAACTCCAGATTTCTGACTTCTTTTTAAAAATTGGAAAAGCTAATATCATTGGCATCAACCTCTTAGCCTGGCAATATTCAAGTGGAGCTGAATGTGGCTGTGCTCTTGGACAGGGCCTGTGTCCCCCAGAGCCCCTGCAGTGCCCACCAACCCTGTTTCTCATTTTTCTCTCTGTTTTTTTCATCATTGCCTTTGCACATTGGTTTTCTATAGAACTATATTGCTTTTAAATAAATGTTTCTATTTCTCTCATAGGAAACAATTGCTATCAAAGATGGAAGAGAAAAGATGAACCAAAATGGTTGTTTTCTGAAAAATTAGAGCATATTTCTTCATGGAGATGAAGAGTGTTTCCATATGCCTTTTATGCAAATATTAAACCTGCCCCCATTTAACTTATTTAAATAACTTAGCTCCTTAGCTCCTATGGGATTGGGGCTTGCGGTATCTGCCCTGTACTGATGTATTGCTTACCAGGGACAATATTTCCTAAATATATTATCCCACTGGAGATTCTGGGGAAAAAAAGATTCTTTGCAAAATTAGTGTTGTGAAACAATTGCTGCAACTACCCATTAAATAAGTTCCTTAACTGCAGGAATTCTCAGAGCCTTCACTGTCTTAATGTGCATTGTGAATCTGGAATATGGAGTTTTCGTATTACTCAGGATTCCTTCAGTTTAGGGACCAGTTTCCCAAGCTTCTCTGGCCAGGGAGTCCTTTGGCAAACAGTGCTGCAGGGTTTTGAGTGCTCTCATTCTCTCGGGTGCTTTCTCTTGCATTCACTCAGCATGTCTATTGCATTCCTGCCTGTACCTGCTATTATGTCAGAGGCATCGAGGGCTTCCCAAAGATGCAGACTTTCCCTTTGCTAAGGCTTTGCCTTCTGCCAGCTCCTATTGCTTTGTGGGACCCCTGCCACTTACTCAGAGGCACCTCGGATGGAGAGAACTGGCTAAACAGCAAGTGTCTGCTATCTGTGGTGGATTTGAGGCCCTGAGTACTTTTGGGGCTTCCACAGAGCTGGTGATTTATTTTTCTGATCCAGGATGATGAGGTGCTGTCTTGTAGCAGCTCTCAGTGGCTGTTAGCTTACAGAGGAGTGGGACCTGGGGAGGGCAGAATTGTGTGTGTAGGCATGCGTGCCCTTTATTGCTGTTAGCCTTGATTTGGAAAGGGCAGGGTGGTTCAGGAGGCAGAGAGCATGTTGCTGATTGCTCAGAGCAAAGGATTTTGTGTCCAGGATCTGAGTGTTGCAAGGATTGGTTGTTTGGGGCTGCTGGGGTGGAAGGGATTGCCTTGTTGATCTCTGGAAGCTGTGTGTAGTTCTTGCCCAGTAATGCGTTTGTCTCTTTGCCCAGCCATCGTAAGGCAGCTCATGGACCAGATGCCAGCCTTGATCTGCTGAGCTCTCTGGGATGTTTCTGAGAAGGCCAGAGTGCATTGCCCGCCCAAGGATGTCTCACCTAATTAGTCCATTAGAGTCAGTGGGCCTCAGATCATGAATCTGGAGCTGTTTGCTAATTATGCCTTGAACGTGGTTTTAGTTAGATGATTAAGGACTCTCGCAGGGCTGTCCTCCCTACAGCAGTCCCTCAGGTCTGTGCCTAGAGCCCCAGCCAAAATGAGATTCAAAATGCCCTGAGAGAGAGCTGCCCCCTCCCACATATCCTAAAGTGGACCCTCCCAGGGGAGTCTGGATCTTGCAGGTGCCCATTTTTAGACTGAGGTATTTGCAAAGAATGTGGTTGCCTCATACCTTCCAGACATCCCTGTGTATGTGCAGGGAGAGGAACATTGCCATTCAGTGGTCATCCCACACATTCATTCATTCTGGAATGGCACCTTGGGGCACTCTCGTGACACAGCAGGGATTCTGGGGTTCCAAGGCTGCTACCTTTGTCTTGATGTTCATCCACGAATTATCTGTGGTTCTGCTGGGAATACACCATTTGTTTACTCAATGCATATGCTGCAGACCCATCCCAGGCCTGCTGCCCAGTGTGCATTGGGGTAAAAATGCATTATTGTGGCCAGGCGCAGTGGCGCACGCCTGTAATCCTAGCACTTTGGGAGGCCGAGGTGGGTGGATCACGAGGTCAGGAGTTCGAGACTAGCCTGGCCAACATGGTGAAACCCTGACTCTACTAAAAATACAAAACTTAGCCAGATGTGGTGGTGGGCACCTATAATCCCAGCTACTTGGGAGGCTGAGGCAGGAGAATTGCTTGAACCCTGGAGGCAGAGGTTGCAGTGAGCCGAGATTGCGCCCCTGCACTCCAGCCTGGCGACAGCGCGAGACTCCATCCCGGGAAAAAAAAATGCATTATTGCTCCATTTCAGGATGTGTGCTGCTACCGACTTGGGTGTTAGGCAGAGGGGGCCGCGTGTAGGAGGTGAGAGGTTTGGTGGCTTAAAGTGGCTGCAACTTGTTGCCCTCCCACTGAGAGGTAGAGTTTACTCCCCACTTGGAATCTAGGTGGCCCCTGTAACTGCTTTAACCAACAGAGGCAGTGGGAGGGATGTGTAAGAAAGCCTGGCAGCTTTTGCTTTTGTGCTTTTGAGAGCCCCAAGCTGCCCTATGAGAGGTCCAGCTACCTTGCTGGAGAAACTACTTGGAGAGGTCACGTGGAGAGTGAGGCTCTGAGACCGAACAGGACAAGAGAGAGGCCCAGTTCTCCCAATGTCCCAATTAGTGTCCCAGCTGAGCCCAGCCTTCCAGCCACCCCTACCAAGGCGTCAGACATGAGCCATTTGGGGTATTCCAGACCAGACAAACTCCTGATGACAGCAGCCCCAGCCTTCCTCCCCCTGCAACCACACAAGACTCAGGAGCTACCAGCACAACTGCCCAGCTGAGGCCAGTCTGCCCAAAGCATCAGGAAAGATAGTAAAATGATGGTTTTAAGTCACTAAGTTCAGGAGCGGTTTTTTTTACACAATGATGGATAGCTGACACAGAGGTGTAGCTTCATGTCAGGCTGGCATGGAAGAAAGATGCCGTGTCCCCTGGCACATGGTAGAGCATTGCCTTTTAAGTATATAAAAGAGGAGAACAGATCAATAAAGGGTTCCATTTAAAGGACATGACACAGGTGTGATGGAGCGAGTAGAGTTGTGACTCCTGATGTGGCTTGATCCCTTCATGGGTATTGTCAAGAATTCTAAAATTTGAATCCTGATCTAAACACAGTAACTTTTTGACAATCCCTCATTTAAAGCAAACCCTTTGATTTAAATGTCTTTCTCACTCATTCTCTTAATTCTCAGGCAGTTATTTTCTTGTGTCAAAAGAGAACAGGCAGTGCAGTTGGCATATCAGTTAGCTGTTGCCATGTTGCAAACCACCCTAAGACTTAGTTATTCCTCCCACATCTGCGAGTAGGTGGGAGCTGTATGGACCTGGGCTGGGTTGATCTGGGCTGGGCTTGCTCATGCTTCAAGACAGTTGGCCACAGCTTCCTGGTCTAGATCAGAATTGGCTGGGACCAGTGGCCTCTCCTTGTTGTGTATGTCCTATCCCTCCAGCAGGCCAGGCGTTTCTTATTGCAGGGACAGGGTCTGAGAGAGGAAGTGGACTCCCCAGTGCCTTATCAAGTTTCTGTATCACATTCACTACCGTCCCGTCTGCTAGAGCAAGTCACGTGGCTAAGCCCAGTCTCAGTGTGGGAGGGCTCCCCCAAAAGGGTATGGAATCAGTTAGGCATGAACAAATTAGTACATGAATGTAATCAGCCTGCCCCAGTTTGGTTGAAGGGTCTTTTCCCAGCCCATAGGTCCTAGAATTGGGCAAGGTCCTACCTTTGCTGCTTTCCAAATGTGTAACTTTGGGGCATTATTTAACCTGTGCCTCAGTTTTCTCATCTGTAAAATGGGTATGATAATAGAAGGGATGTTGCAAGGGTTTGAAAAGGGGATAAATGTAAAGCATGTGGCACAGTGTCTGGCACAGAGTAGCCGTTGGTAAATGTTAGCAATTATTAAAATACCAGCCAGCTTATAAGCAACCCAAGGCCATAGGCACATGGAGAATTGAGAGCTACTGGGGCTGTTTGGTTTCTTTCCCTTGACCTCCATGGATAAACAAGGGTCTCTTTCATTTAGGATGTCACCTGCTGAGCCCTTTATGAGTGTGGACAGCAGCTTCTTGACACCCCTACACTTACCCTATAGCACCTGTGTATCTGAGGGCTCTGGGCTGTCGTCTGTAGATCGTAATGAGGCCCAGGCGCCCAGACTGAGGTCCGAGATGTGGGCCTGGCTGCACGGACCCCCGATTGAAGGCACCTGCTGCCGAGCCCAGGCATGGCATTTTCCCTTGCTGTCCTCAGGAGTCCGAGTGCTGCCAGATTTGGGGTATGCTGCTTTGGAGAACAGAGAGGATTCTTTTTTGTTAATTTTTCTGTAAAACTTGTTCTTTCATGGGATTTCCTTCCAGTCCCTGGAGAAGGTCACAAAGGAGGTGGATGGGGAAACCTGTCATTAGATTCCGATTTTGAACATGTAGTACCTGCCACTGTCCAGGTGCAGAGGAACCAAGGGGGATAGCTAAAGTCCCTCATGGGTGCTTGTACTGATTACGTGGCTGGGGCAGGAGCTGGGGATGCTGGCACTTCCCAATTCCTGGGCTCAGGGGCTGGTAGGGCCTTGGTGGGAGCAGAGGAGAAGGCGCCCGGCAGCTGGGCTCTGTCAGCCGCATGGAGACGTGAACCCTGCCGGCCAAGGAATTCGGGGCCTGAGTCTGAGAGGCTGCTTTGGACGTGCATCCTGGGCCTTGGAAGAATCTGAGTGCCCTGGGCAGCAGGCCCGATGGGGGACGTGGGGCCCGGATGCCGGGAACTGAAAGCTGGCCTGACTTCTGAGGCCGTGGAGCTGGCTCTCCAGAGGCCTTGCTGCCTCCAAGATCCAGCCGCCAAGCGTTTACCCAGGCAGGGCCTTCCCCACGCCCCAAGTCATTCCCGCCCCAGCCCTCAGAGTCTTGCATTCCTCCTCTCTGTACCTCCTCCTCCTGGGCTGGACACTGTGCTCTGTGACACTGTGGTCTTGTTTCCATTGGGAGTTTGGTAATAGTAATAACTGATAGCAGTGGGAAGGACCGTGATAACAGCTAGCATTGAACAAGTGACCCCTGGGTGTCACAGACGTGCTGATCACTGTGTGTTTGTCATTTCATCGAGTCTGTGCCCTGTTTAACGGACATACTCAGTAAAGCACCCTCTTCACAAGGGTTCTGTTCCTGTCCACTGTTGGTGTTCCTTGGATGTGGTGCTTACAGCATGCTAGGCATTGCTCTAAGGTTTCACGAGGCAGGGATTCTTCTCATCTTCATGTTCCAGACAAGAATATAAGGCTCAGGGAGGTCTTAGATTCACCCTCCACCCAGGGTGGAGCTGAAAGTTTGACCCCGGTGGTCAGACTCTGACCCTCAGCCCTGCTGCCTCCATGCCAGGTCCATTTCCCTGGCCTTTGACATTTTAGAAGGCAAATTCCCAACAAAGTTTTTTCATTTTCACCTCGTTCTTCTGTGAACAGAGCAAAACTTGCAGTCACTTGTAGATACCAGCACGTGGGATCTGGTTAGTCAAGGTGGTGGCCCACTGGTGAGTGGATGGGGGACTTCTTCAAAGAGTTTCCCTGTTTGAGAAAGCGTGGATCACTGAGTCACAGAGGCGTCTCCTTGTTTGGGCGGGGGGTGGGTGGCTGTCTCCCTACCTCCCCTCCCATCTCCAGCCAGGGGTCATTTAGCTCTGCTTATTACCTGAGGACCACCGTGAGCCACGTGTCTGCAGTCTAGGTTGAGGGAGGTGCTGGGGCTGAAGGGTTAATAATAGGCCCCATCTTCTGTTCCGACTTTTGAGACCACAGAGGTTTCCTAGTATGTCATAGGCCATAGCAACCCACAGGCAGCTTTTGGTGGGGAATGGGAGCACACCCACCTTCTGGTTCCCAGTAGATATAGAAGATGCCTTCCTGGCCTTGCAATTAGAGAGAAAAGTTCAACCCATCAAGACTGACTCCTTTGTGAAATGGGAATCCTCTTCTGTGCATCCTGTACAGAAGGCCTCCCAGCATCTGCTTGGATACCTCCTGTGACAGGAAGCTCACTCCCTTGATTGTCCTTTGTTGGACAACTCTAGCTCCTGGAATGATAGAGAATTTGGGCCTTATGTGTCATTAGTCCTGCTCTGCCTTCAAGAAATATGGAGAATTGTCCTTCTTCCTCTGGTGAGGGAGTCATTCTCTCCCTGTCTGAAGGCAGGAAGCTGGCTTCTTCCATCCCATCTCTCAGGTCGTCGTGAGTTCTCACTGTTCCTTGAGGTCCTACCCCTTCACCATTATGCCATCAGCTCCACGACTCGAAAGCTGTGTGGATATAAAGTACTCACATGTATTAAAATAGGGCTTGGTACGTGCTAGGTATATCAATATTAGCTGTAATCATGCAGTCATCTTTCTGGTCATCCCTATACCAGGGTCTCTCAAACTTGAATGTGTATATGAATTGTGTGGGGATGATGCAAAAATGCAGATTCTGATTTTGTAGGGTAGATGGGGCCTGAGACTCTGCATTTCTGACCACTTCCTAGACTATGTCAAGACTGCTAGCCCTTAGTCCACACTTTGAATCGCAAGGCTGGTGTAGCTATGTCTTTCTTTATATATGAGATTTTGTTTGCAGGTGGCACCTAACCTAGTAGAAAATAGTAGAATCGTCACCTCCCAAAATATAGGTGTAATACTTCTATTAACATAGCCCAACATTGTATTACTTTGGGGGGAAAAGCATTATCTAGGCTTTCCACGTAACTTTTGTTCTCTGGCTTCTATGTCTGACATGGAAAAATTGCTCTGCAGTTTGCATATATCTTGATGGATCTGAAAGAAGGTGTGGGTCACTAAGGAGAGATGCTTTACCTCTGGACTTCCCTCTGCTTCTACAGCTGGGATGTATCATGGACCTAAGTCCAGAGTTGAATCAGTAAATGGAATCCCAAAGAGTTCCCTAGAGCAGGGATCCCCAAACCCTGGGCCAAGGGTGGGTACAGGTCTGTGGCCTATTAGGAACTGGGCAGCACTACAGGAGGTGAGCGTCTGAGCTCTGCCTCCTGTCAAAATCAGCAGTGGTATTAGATTCTCACAGAAGTGCAAACCCTATCGTGAACTGTGCATACAAGGGATCCAGGTTGTGTGCTCCTTATGGAAATCTATCAAATGCCTCATGATCTGAGGTGGAACAGTTTCATCCCGAAACCGTCTGCCGACCCCTCTCCCTTTGCCCCCATCCATGGAAAAATTGTCTTCCATAAAACCGGTCCCTGGTGCCAAAAAGGTTGGGGATCACTGCCCTAGTGCAGATGTCCTCAGGGCAGGTGTGGCTGATTTGGGTGGACAGCAAATGAAACGGGAATGGCTGGTGGCCTGGTACTGATGGGATTCCTTAATGTCCAGGCCACATTCATACATGGAAAGGAAAACTTACACCCTTCAGTATTTTGTTTATTGCTCAGTTCATTCAACTTACATATCTAATAGAGGAACCAGTATTTCTTAAAGATTTAAATGCTGATTTCAAGTTAACTTAAATAACTGGGACTGAGACTGCAAGTTTAGAATGACAGGTCACATACCCTAACAGCAGGTAACGGTAGTTATCAGCTTGTCTGCCCTTGCAAATAAGCCCATGCCAAAGCTATGCTGTTGAGGCTATAGCTTTAATCCATTGTTTTGCCATTGTTTCTGCATCTGACCCCACTGGGCTGAGATCTGTTCTTGGCTGAAATGAAGCAGCAGCTCAGCAGGGTGGCTAGAGCTCAGCCTCATGCCCAGGTAGGCTGGGTTGAAATCCCAGTGCTGCCACTTGTTAGCTACTTGTTCAAGTTTCTTTTCTTTTCTTTTCTTCTGCTTTTTTTTTTTTTTTTTTTTTTTTGACAGAGTCTTGCTCTGTTGCCCAGGTTGGAGAGCAGTGGTGTGATCTCGGTTCACTGCAACCTCCACCTCCTGGGTTCAAGAGAGTTCTTCCACCTCAGCTTCCCGATTAGCTGGGATTACCAGCGCCCGCCATCATGCCCGGCTAATTTTTGTATTTTTGGTAGAGATGGGGTTTCACCATGTTGGCCAGGCTGGTCTCAAACTCCTGACGTCAAGGGATCCACCTGCCTCAGCCTCCCAAAGTGCTGGGATTACAGGCGTGAGCCACCATGCCTGGCCTCATATTTCTTAACTACTGTCTGCCTCAGTTTCCTTGTTTGTAGAATGGGGAAGTAGCAACGTCTGCCTCATGGTTGTTGTGACGATTAAATGAGTTATAAACATGGGGCGCTTGGGAGGGCATCTGGCACATGGTCAGTGCGGCACACCATTTGGTCTTCCTATTTTGCTGTGACCTCACTGTGCCTAAAGGAAACCTAATGTCCTCTCCGACCCCAGCACTCAGATCTTCCTCGTTGCGCGGTGACTCTTGGTGAGCCTTGGGCCTGGCTGCTTCTCCCAAGATGGTTTAAACTCAAGCCCCTGTTCTTTAGACTAAGTTCCCCTTTTTAATACTATTTCTCATAGAACATTTCAGACAGACACGAAAGTAGAGAGAATACGGAAATGAGTTTCCTCGCGCCAGTCCCTCAGACGCAAGCACCAGTCGAGTTTCTTGACTTCCTTTTTAAGCATTAAACTTCACTGGTGGTGAAAAAGAGCTTTTTAAGCCCACGCCTTCCTCATGGGTTTTGTTTGGTTTTGCTTTTCTATAGCCCAGCATGCCCTGAGGTGCTGCACGGTGGAAGCTCTGGGCAGCTGGCACTTGCAGCCCACTCTAGTCAGCCTGGTCGGGGGCACCATTAAGACAGGGCTGTGCCTTGCTAGTTCCAACCTGTAATTAGTGGAGCCGCCCCGAGGGTTCATCCCTCCAGAGGTGGTGGCCCAAGTCTGGGTAGTTCACGCTCCCCTATAAAGGCAGCGGGCAAATGGATCATGTTGGAGGCCTTTGCTGAATGCTTTCTTTTCTTTTCTCTTCTCTTCTCTTCTCTTCTCTTCTCTTCTCTTCTCTTCTCTTCTCTTCTCTTCTCTTCTCTTCTCTCCTCTCCTCTCCTCTCCTCTCCTCTCCTCTCCTCTCCTCTCCTCTCCTCTCCTCTCCTCTCCTCTCTTTTCTCTTCTCTTTTTTTTCCTTTTCTCTTTTTGAGACAGGGTCTTGCTCTGTTGTTCAGGCTGGAGTGCAATGGCACCATCCCAGCTGACGGCAGCCTCCCATTCCTGAGCTCAAGCAATCCTCCTGCCTCAGCCTCCTGAGTAGCTGGGACTACAGTTGCATGCCACCATGCCAGGCTAATTTTTAAATTTTTTGTAGACAGGTCTTGCTATGATTCCCAGGCTGGTCTTGAACCCCTGGGCTCAAGTGATCCTCCTGCCTTGGCCTCCCAAAGTGCTGGGATTACAGGAATGAGCCACTGTGCCTGGCCCTGAACACTCTTTTGACCTTGATACTATAGGTGACCTCTCCTGCCAATCCAGCTTTCCCATTTTTGGAGGAGGCCCAACCTTTTCCAGAACTCTTGGGCTTAACCTCATCTCCCCATACTGATACTTTTGTGTTTGTTCAAATAATATTAGAACACATCAGATCCTCATGTAAGTCTGGCCTATGCCTGATGGAGGAAGAAAAAAATCCCCACATGTGTTCACACCCTCCTATATGTTAAAACCAACGAATGCTAAAGATGTTTAGAAACAGTCATCCTTCTTTTTCTTGAGATGGTCATCCTTCTTTTACATTACAAGTGTGTCTTTATGTACTTTATATTCACCTTCATTTTTATTTATTTAACAAGCATTTATATGGTGCTTCTAAGGAACTAGGTATTGTTTTCCAAGCGCTTTACAAATGTGAGCTAATTTAATGCTCCCAGCAACTCCACAAGGCAGATATTATTATTTGCCCATCATACAGAGGAGGAAACTAAGGTACAAAGAAGTTTATTAGTTTGCCCAGCATCACACAACCTGTAGGTGACAGAGCCAGGACCCAAGCCTCAGGCCATGTGGGGGCATGGTCTGGGCCCCACACCACCTGGCAATGCCGTTTGCTCCTTTACTGCCATTATGAGTTTGTGGCCATTAGCATTAAGCCTTTTTTTTGTTGTTGTTGTTGTTGAGATGGAGTCTCACTTTGTTGCCCAGGCTGGAGTGCAGTGGCACAATCTCGGCTCACTGCAACCTCCACCTCCAAGGTTCAAGTGATTCTTCTGCCTCAGCTTCCTGAGTAGCTGGTAGCTGGGATTACAGGTGCCTGCCACCATGCCCAGCTATTTTTTTTTTTCAGTAGAGACGGAGTTTAACCTTGTTGGCCAGGCTGGTCTCGAACTCCTGACCTCAAGTCATCTGCCTGCCTCAGCCTCCCAAAGTGCTGGTATTACAGGTGTGAGTCACTGTGCCCGGCCAGAATGAAGCCTCTTTTTAAATTAACCTGATAATTCTTTTTTGAGGTACTGACTGTTAGGCTGAGGCTGATGGGGTCCTTCCTGGTGTTCCATGCAGGTAGATATTTGCCGTTTGTTCCTCAGCCTGTGAGCTGCGCTTCTCTCTCCATCTGTAGCCACTGTGGCTCCCCTGTGGGCAGGGTGTCTGGCGCTGGGAGGGTTGGGTGCTGGGTTGATGCAGAGTTGAGGGAAGCATTCACATCCACACTTTTCTTTCCTTCTCCTCAAAATACTTTTGCCTCCTGAGACAGACGGTACTGAGGACGGATCATTGGCTTTGCAAGTGGGCAGTGGCCCTTCTGGGTGGCCTGAAGACAGCAGAGGAGGAACGGAGCCTGGGGCCTGGCTGAATTGGCCCTCTCCTGAGCCTGTGGAGTCATGCTCTATTGTAGCAGTAAAGTCTTTGGAGATACCCTCTTGCCATGCTTCCTCTTTTTGTACAGATGAGGAAACTGAGGCAGACCACCCAGCTCCCAGGCTAGCATTTTTCCCTACCATAACCATTTGTTTCCCAGTGAGCTGGACTGAGAAGCTACAGCAAGACTTCAGAGGGTTTTGAGTTGATTGAAGCACGGAGCCAGTGAAGGCTGTGGAGCCAGGAAGGGGCCCTGTGAAAATAAAATGAGCGTGCGCCACCTGGGCTGGGGTGCGAGCCAGGGAGCTGGTGTGGCAATGCGTTCTCCAGGTAATTGACCTCAGGCTATATGCCTGGCTGAACCAAGAAATAGGTGGGGTGGCTGCCCGGGGATAGGCAGGAAAGCTGTGTGGGCGGGGGCCAAGCAACCCAAGGGGACCCTGTCTGCTTGTGTGTGGAACAACCTGGGCTGTGTGTGGGATGTGATGGCCTTGGTCTCAGATTGGAGAAGCCCATTGCACCTGCCCCATTTGCATTCTGGGCAGTGACTTGGCTGCCGCTGAGGACAGAGCTGGCTAAGGCCACAGGGAGACGCCAGGCCTGTGTTTTGAGCAGGGGCCAGGGCTGGATGCTGGAATAGGCAGCCGGCTCAGGTCCAGTCCACATTGGCCTTGGATCAATGAAAGCTGTCCCAAGGCCAGCGCGTTGCTGCTGCCGCCGCCTGGGGGCTGCTGGACTGGGCGGGGCCTTCTAAGGCCACTGTCCCCAAGTCACTGGCTCTGAGAACATTGCCAGCATGTCCTGGGCCCACTGGGGGTGGGTCCTAGCCCTGCCCCATGCCCTCCCCACTCCATGATTCATAGTTTCACTTGTCCCTGCCTGGCATCGCAGCCAGGATGGTTTTATCGATGCACAGAGAAAATACAGAGCCTGCAGAGAGGAGGAAGAGAGGGTTAGCGGTGTCCTTTTTTGTCTGCTATTTTATGTGTCGTTTTCCAGGCACCATGCCAGCTCTGTAAGGGCCTTCAGTAATGAGGGAGAAATGTACGGACCCTGTCCTCAACGAGTTTAGCCGGCTGGGGAGCCTGCAAGCCACAAGTAGTTGTCTCACAGAGCGCCAAAGGCTGCAAGGAGGATGCAGAGTGGGGCCCGCACAGAGCCCGGGGCTCCAGGGATGGCTTCTCTGAGACTGGAAGAATGAATTAGGAGGCAGCGAGAAGCAGCGAGTAGGGGAGCATCCTGCACAGAGGGTGGTGATGGGGAGGGGGAGGGGGCGGAATTGAAGGCATGGGCTGTGGGGGAGGGCTAGTGCAGAAGCGGGTGGAGACAGGCAGGGTCAGTTGTAGGGACGGCATCCCTGGTCCCTTTACCCAGGGCAGTTCCAGTCTCTCCCAACCTGGGTATGAACAGCACTCCCTTTGTCTCTCTAAAGTGTCCTGGTTAAGGCACTAGCATTATATGGGCAGTCCAGGTATAAGTACCTATGTTTATCTCACAAATAGGGAAACCAAGGCTCATGGAGAGTTTGTTGTGCAAGGACTTGGAACGAGGATGGAACCGAGTGGGGCCGGGAACTGTGCCTGCTTGACTGGAGAGCTCAGGCTCTCCCATCGCCCCACACCATCCTCCTTAGTGAAATTAAACATGTTCTCTGAGCATAGACTCTGCCCAGCCTCATGCCCAGGTGGCAAGGGTGAGGAGGAGCGAGTGAGCAGGACTCACTCACTGGCTTATGAGGAGAATAAGCTCACCCTGGCTTAAGCCAAAAGGGGAGATTTTGTGGTCCACGTCATTGAAAAATGTAGGGGAGGTACTAGCTTCAGGCACCATTTGATCCAGGGGCTCAAATGATGTCAGGACCCCTTTTGCATCCCCTCGTGGCTCTGTTTTCCTGGGTATTAGCTTTTTTCATAGCTAGAATTTCTCTGTGAGGTGGTAAAGTGCTCTCAGTAGGGTCAGGCTCTCAGCTCACATCTCACCAAAGTCAACAGAGAGAAAGAAGATGTCCTGGGGTTGCCTCTCCTTGGCATAGCTTGGGTTGTGTGCCCGGCCCTGACCAGTCCCCATGGCTGGCGTGGTGCGAAGCTCTTACTGGGCAGGCCTGGGTCATGTGCCCTCCCTGGTGGTTACGGGGAGAAATCAGCCTGCCCACACCATGTGGGTGAGAGGAATGGAGGGGCAGGGTTTCCAGATAAAATATAGGACACACAGTTAAATTTGAATTTCAGATAAATAGCACTTCATTTTTTTGTGTTTTAAGTCTATCCCAAATACTACATGGGACATACTTATGCTACACAGTGATCTGTTATCTGATATTCAAACTTAACTGAATGTCCTATGTTTTTATTTGTGAGGTCTAGAAAGCCGCCAGGGAAAATCAAAGTGTTCCCAGAAGAAGGAGGAAGGGGGCGCTGGAGACCAGGGGCTTCTGAATTTCAGATGCCCACTGCAGGAGCCAGATGAGGGACAAAGAGCTTCCTACAGCCTCGGCTTCCTCCCAAACTTACAGTCTGTGAAGCCAGCCTGAAACGCGCTGGCTGAATGAGAGAGGTTCCTGGGGCACAAGGTGCTTAGAACAAGCTTCTTGCACTTGAATTAGGCTCTGAAAGATGGGGAGGGGGTTTCCTGAAGTGGGGCTGGCATGGGGTGGGGTGGGGTGGGAAGAAAATGTCCATTTCCATTTTTCTGCCTCTCAGGCCTGAGCCCTGGCATCAGGGTCCCTGGCCTCTCACGTAGCTGGATTGGCCACAGTGTGACCATTGCCTTTCTGGGCTGGACTGATGTTCCACCTGCTTTGTCTGAGACCAACCAGCTTGCAATTCATTGGCCTGCCTACTCCCTGTGAATTCACCAAGTGGGTCAGGATTCCTCCAACTACCCGCGTAGTTCAGGGGAGAGCCCTGTGAGGTCAGGGACTGCAGAAACAGAGCCTGAGGTGAGGGTCACGTGCTAGTGATTCACTCAGGACACTGTCCCAGGGCAGGGCAGGCCAGTGAGGCAGTGGAGGAAGCAGGACAGACAAGAGGAAGAAGCCAAGCACAGGTGCCATTTCAGGCAAAGTCTTGGCTTCAGTCTGACCCTCTGGGGGAGCTCTGGGGTATAAATTATGCTTCTGAGTTTGTCGTGACAGGAGGTATGGGCTTTCATTCTCCTGCACCAGGCTCAGGGCCACCTGGGGTGGGGACACGGCAGTTCTCTGAGTCTGCAGACATAGCCCTAGGGCAGGCCTCTGAAGAGGGCCCCCAGGTGTGAGCTGCTGGTGGGGAGCACATAGGGAAGGGAGGGGGGCACACAGACCCGGGGGGATCTGCACGTGCACACGGTGCCCTGGGGAGGTGGACTGCTATCAAAGGGTCTAAAGAAGTAAGGAGACCCCTGATCTGTGAGCACCTCGTGGGAGGCCTGCTACAGGTGGTCTGGAAAGGCTTGAGAAGTCCACGCAGCATTCCCCAAACGTCCTGGGCCCCCATGCCTGGACCCACTACGTTTTCCTTTGAAATGTTTGGTTGCCTGAGACAGTGCTTGTGGAGAAACCGTCCAAAGGTGGGCTTGTTGGTCTGGGTGCTCCAGCCCTTGGCAGTCAGGGTGTGTGGGGGCTCTTGTCCTGTGCCTCTGCTCCCCGAGGGAACTCATCGCTCGCTGGTTCTTTGCTACCAGCTGTGGGTCCTCTATATTCGGATCCTGGCTCTGCTCCTCTTTGGCTTTGTGACCCTGGGTAAGTCCTGTCCCTTTTTGAGCCCTTAGTTTCCCCATCTGGACTCTCAGAGGTTCCTAAACTAAAATTCACAAAAGGACTTGTAGTGGGGAGGTTCATGAACCCCCTGAAATTCAATGTGCAATTTTCTTTGCATGGCATTTTTCTAGGGGGACATTCTCAGAGGGGCTGGGTCCTTCTTGCAGGTCAGAACCTCTGAACAAAGGCTCTGGCCTGGCCTGATGCTGGTGGTCCTGGTGGAAATGTGGGGCTCAGACAGCAGAGGCCTCTCTTCCAGATCCAGGAACACCCAGGGGCATGTCCTGAGAGCCCTGGCCTTCCTCTCGGGAGTGCTCCGTTTCTCCCAGCCTTACCACTCTCTTGCCTCCCCTATGACTCTAAGTCTCCCCATCTGTAAAAACAGCAATAGCTCACACGTGGACCTCCTGGGGTTGTTGGGTGAGGTACAAGTGTGATGGGTGAGGTACAGGTGTGATGGGTGGAGTCACTGCCATGAAGACCTTCTTATCCCCAGGCCCAAGAGTGGCCTCAAACCTTCCATGCTGACCATACGGACTCTCCCAGACCTCACTGGCTTCCCAGGTGACCACCCTGTGGTGACACGGGCCCCTGATGTGGGCTGTTGACTGGACCTGCAGGGGCAGGCAGTGGCCTTCTAGATCCCCATACTTTTTGCTTTGAGATCTTTGGTTGCCTGAGAATGGCAACAGCAAAATTTGGTGTGTGCTGGTTGGGATGGGCAGGAGAGAGTGCCACCCTGCTCCCCCTGAGCCCCCGATGACAGCCTGGCTTGCATGCTCAGCTGGTCTCATGCCATTTCTGGAATCAAAGCGCTGTCTGCATTACACAGCCCCTGGCTTCCTATGCATGTACAGTGAGAGCAGTGAGAAGCAGGCATGGGTGTGGCTGTGGCCTCTTTGTGGCCTGGGTGCACTGTGTGGCTGTGGAAGGGAGCAATGGGGTCTGGGTGGACCAAAGTCTGGAGTCTCCACCTTCCCTCCCAGCTGGAATCAGGAGGCCACCCATTTCACCAGAATGCTGTAGGTCTTGCCACTGCTAGGGCCAAGACCCTTTTAGCAGACTTCTGAGTGTGAGTCTTTCTAGAACCAACTTGGGTGCCCATTTTTGTATGTTTTAGCATTTTTTTTTTCCTTCAAAACACTTTGCTGTAATTTCTGATTGTAGAAGTAATCATGTGTGTTCATGGAAGACCATTGGGTGACCTGGAATCCAGCACCGGGCACCATTTCTGGGAGCATTTTGGTGCCCGTCTCTGCAGACGTGTGCCTCCTACTACAGCGCGTGGAAACACGTGCAGATAATGTTAGGAAATGTAATCACATTTTCTCTGCTGTTTGGCAACTACTTTTTTCTTTCAAGAAAATGCAGGGCGTGTTTTTCTGAGTCAGTAAATACAGAGCTGCATTTGGTGGTTCAACACACGCTGGTCGAGTGCCTCCGCCGTCAGGCGTTGATACATAATGTGTCAGATGGTGGGAATGCCCCAGAGATAAATAAGGGATTGTGGGAGAGGGGGCTGCAGTTTTAAATAAAGAGATTTGGGAAGACCTCACCTAGGTGACAAGGTGATAATGAACCCAAACCTGAAGGAGGGGCAGGAGGGAGGGGTTATCCAGAGGAAGAGTCTTCCGGGTAGAGGGAACAGCGTGTGTGAAGACCCTGAATGGGGAATGAGCTGAACCTGTTGGAGAAACAGCAAGGACGCCTGTGTGGCTGTGGGCGAGCGGGTGAATGGGGAGGAACAGAAGGGGTGAGGGAGGTGATAGGGCAGACAAATTGGGTGGGGCTTTGATGGGCTTTGGTGGGACTTTGGGGAATTGGGTAGGGGTTGGGGTGGCGACGAGGGCAGAGAATAGAAAATGGTTGTCATTATTCAAGAGGACTGTGGCCTGGAATGCGTGGCAGAAGTGGAGGAGGTGGCAATGATTGGTTTCAGGGTGTGTTTTGAGGGAGAGCCAACAGGATGTGCGGAAGCCTCTGGGGTGTCTGGCCAGAGTGAAGGAAGCAGGGAGCTGCCCTGTGTACACAGGGAAGGCACTGGGGAGGACAGGTTTGGGGGCCGCCAGGCGTCCGGTTTGGACACATGAAGTTTGAGGTGCCTGTTGAGCAACTTGGTGACATCAAACAGGAGGGAGAGCCACATCATTTGTTTTAATGGAAAAACCGCTTTGGAAAAAGTTATTATTATTTTTTTCAGTATAAAAGGGTTGAATGTTCTTGGTTTAAAAAGAGAGAATATAAATATAAAATTCAAATCACCCAGAAAATCAGACAGCTGAAGGAGACAGCGCCCCAGTTCCCATTTCTGAAGTGGAGCGTGGCCTTCCAGAAACATTCTGGAAAACGCACCTTTTTGTTTATCAACAGCACAGGAGCGGACTAGGCTGCTCCTCAGCAGCTTCCTATCTGACAGCACTGTGGACCCTGGGCCCTCATTCCCAAATGGCCCCTCTCACCTTCTCGGCTTTTCCACACCCACCTTTGGTGTGATCATCGTGCACTGCTGCGTGGCAGGCGGGTGGGATTGGTGCCCTCATTTTATAGATGTGGCCACTGAGGCTTTCGATCACAGCCCTGGCAGCATGCGAACTGCTGAGTTTCAGAATGAACCGAGTCCTCTGGAAGCCGCCAGTGTGACCCTCTTGATTATGTCCTCATCTGGTGGTTGGGGATGGTGGGAAGTCGAAATCCACAGTGGCTCCGGAGGAGGCAAAAGACTTCACTGGCAGTAGAGGGAGGAGGGCGCTCCGGGTGAAGGGGACAGGATGGTCCAGGGCTGGGAGGCTCCAAGTGGGCGGTCTGGCCTGTGAGAGGGATGGTGACAAGTTTCTTAGAGCTATTTTGGGGACAAGGGGACAGAAGGGGCCAGGAGATGAGAGTGGGAGGCCCAGGGCTGATGGGATCAGAGTGGGTAGGAGCATGGCTTCTGCAAGATGGTTTCTCCAGGGCACTGCAGGGCCGCATGGGTGGACTCTGTGTGTGTGTGTGTGTGTGTGTGTGTGTGTGTGCGCGCACACCTGTGCTCATGGACACTCTTGTCCTGTCCGTAAAATGAGGCCTCAGGGTATAGGAATCAAGAGGCTCTTACTTCATCTGTTTCGTTTAGGTTCAGAAAAGCAAGAAGCTCAAGCCCTTCATTCCTGAGGCTGAGCAAGAAATTCCAGGCTTCTTGGGTCCCCAAGCCCCTTCCCTGGGCAGGAGCACACATCCTTTCCCCACAGTGAGGTGGCCTATGGCTATGGGGCACCCTTCCTTGGGGCCAGATGACAGTGCTGCCTGTCATAAGCAGCCTGGCTCAGGGCCACCCTGTCGGCAGGTCACACGTGCTAGACCCTGGCAGCAGACCGGGGGCCTGTCCCAGGGCCAGGAACTGCTGGCAGATGCCGCCCCAGCTGCTTGGTGATCAGAGGCACGCCACAGGCCCTCGGGCCTCTCCTCTTATCAGCACTCGGCTGTGTGGCGTGGCGGGCCAGTGGCTGGGCTAGTCAGCAGTGTGGCAGGTGGTGGCATGGTGGGGCCAGTGGTGTGGTGGGCAGTGGTGTGGCAGGATCAGTGGTGCGATGTGCAGTGGCATGGTAGAGTCAGTGGTGCAATGTTCAGTGGTGTGGCGGGCAGTGGTGGGGCAGGATCAGTGGTGTGGTGGGGTCAGTGGTGTGGTGGGCAGTGGTGGGGCAGGATCAGTGGTGTGGTGGGGTCAGTGGTGTGGTGGGCAGTGGCTTAGAGAGGTCAGTGGTGGGTGGGAAGGCCGTGTGTGTGTGGTCAGCAGTGGGTGGGAGGGCAGAGACTCCGACAAGCGCTGAGTGCACTCTCTCTGCTCTCTGCAGCCGGCCAGAAGTGGGGTCGCCTGAGGCCTTCTGGGGTGATGAGGCAGTGCTGGGCTGGGCTTTGATCCGCTGTGGCATCCCTGACAAAAACCAGGGCAGAAGAGAGCATGTGAGGGAAGAGAATGAAAGACCAGGGCCCGGAGGGAGAAGGAGGTGACAGCTGTGACTTGGGACACGCTATTTGAGCCAGGCCACTCACCAAGCACTGTACACATACTCTCCATTCCTCTCACAACTGCCCTGCCAGGTGGGGGCTGTCATTTCCACTTTCAGCTGGGGAAACTGAGGCATAGTCAGGTAGACTCATTTGTACAAAGTCACACAGTATAAAAGCAGAAGAACCAAGGCTCAAACCCAGACCTGACTGACAACTCGAGTGAGTCACTTAACCTCTCTAAGCCTCAGTTTCCTCATGGCCAAAGTGGGGGTCATCGCAGAGCCCAGCTTCTAGGGCTGCTGGGAGCACTTGGTCGGTGATGCCCCTAACGTGCTTCATGGAACACTTGGCAGATGTCGCACACTGACTAAGACTGGTTATCATCATCACTGAGTCCTTTATATTCATGACCTCAGTTACCCCCAGGCCCCAACATGCCCATCAGATCCCAGTTTCCACTGTAGAAATGCCTTTGAACACTGTCTAGTCGGAAAATTGTGGTCAGACAAACAGCAAAGTCTCCCCACCCCGTGCCCTGCCTGGCTCTGGGCAATTGGCCCTACATTGGTTCATCTCTTAAGGGCTCTGAAATGCCAGCAGTTTGAGATCAGGGAGCATTCTGGGTGATGTCAAGATTTACTCTTTTCTGTTGTTGGTGTTGGTGTTTTGGGTTTTTTTTCCCCCATTAGTCATTTTTTCTCCATGCTCAGAAATCACACTGAAGCCATGAGTCTTCAAGGAGGGTGGCCAGGTGGGAAGGTTGGTGGCATCTCCTGGTGCCCACCTTGTCTGGTGTCTCTCCCCCACCCACCGTCTTCCTACTTATTGGAACCAGCCTGACCACTGTGGGGGCCAGGGGGTAGGTTCTTTAAATCCTGTCTTTCCGAAAGCATGGTTCAATGGTTGATGTCCTATTGAGGGGTTGGAGGGGCAAGTGGTGGGTGTCTTATATTTTAATGATTCTGAATTTGTTCAATATGAATTGTCCTTAAAAAAACAAAACAAAACAAACAAACAAACAAACAACAAAAAACACCTAACCTGGACAACATAGCGAGACTGTGTCTCTACAAAAAGTTTTAAAAAATTAGCTGGGTACGGTGGCCTGTGTCGGTGGGAGTCGCAGATACTCAGGAGAGTCACTTGAGCCCAGGAGTTGGAGGCTGCAGTGAGCTGTGATCATGCGACTGCACTCCATCCTGGGGGACAGAGTGAGACCCCCATCTAAGAACCAAACCAAACCAAACCAAGGCCCCCAACACCTGTGATTTTATTGATCTTATTGCTTTATGGCAAGACTAGGTTAAAAAGAGAGAGAGAGCCAATTTAAAGAGAAGCATTTAAGTACTCATGGTAGCCCAGAGACATGGCTCTGGAGGAAGGCGCGACCATGGCATGTGGATGCCTGCGACTTGCTGGTGTGACAGCCCAGGAAGTGGCCTTTGCTGGCCCTTTGGTGACTGAGGCTGGCTGAGGTTCAGGATTGGGCAACCCGTCTCTAGGGATTATGAGTACCCTGTCGGGTCTCAGGCCTGAGGGCTGGAGGAAGGGAGTATGGTGGTTTCAGAGTCAGGCCCAGGGTCTGAAGTCCTTCCTGCCAGCCCTGCCGTCCCACTCCTTGCTGGCTGTCCACCTTCCCTGTGCAAACTCTCAAGCCCAGGAAGCAGGCTCAGGCTGGGGTCCCCAGGATGTGGGGAGCTGAAGGCCGGGGATCTACAGTTAGGAGCATGTCGATTGCATCTTGGGCAGATAAAAATAGTCCAGGAGAAATCTGAGGAATTTTAATTGCTGCTCAATGTCTTTGGCGTCTTGAAGGCCTGGTCCTTGCAGGCCAAATACAAAAGGCCTGGTCTGTGTGTGCAGCCCCAGGAGCCTGTCTTCCCTCTCGCCTCAGCCTCCGCAGCTCTGAGTGGAGTCTGCGGGTGAAGCTCCTGCAGGGGCCCGCGATACAGCAGGGCAGCAGGAGCTCGCTCCACTGGCTCCCAAGCTTGCCTGGGAATCCTGGATTTAGCTTTGAGGAGGCTGTGGATTGCTTCTGGGAGCTGTGGGAGTCAGAGCTTTTAGTTGCAAGTAACGGAAACCCAACCTGAATTGCTGGAAGCAGCAAAGGCCGTTTAGTGGCTTCTGTGACCGTCCCATCGGTAGGAAGGGCGGGTTAGGGTGGGCCTGCCCCAGGGTTCACCGAACAGACACTTTTTCGAGTGCCTGCGTGGTACCAGGCGCTGTTTGAGGGCAAAACAGACCCAGAGTCCTGCCCACAGGCAGCCTCCTTCTGGAGAAGGCTGGGCCTGAGGCTGGTCCCAGTACTGGCCTCTGTCTCTGTGTGAGCTGCCTCCTTGAGTGAGCTGTCTCTGAGAAGCTGCCGATGAGATGAGATGCAGCCTTGGCACCAGAGAAGAGCTCGTCCCCGTCAGCTCCCGAGGGAGGGGTCCCAGGAGAGGGTTCCAATTGGCTTGGCTGCATCCAGGGGACAGGCCTGGTGGGCAGAGCCAGGAGCCACCACCAGGTGACCTGTGGCTGTGGTGGGCTCAGGGGTCTTCAGGGGAGTGGCTGAGGACTCTGCCCTATATTTTGGCTCCTTTGGAAAGAGATGCCATTTATCTTTGGAAGCAGCATGTTGAGGC
This sequence comes from Homo sapiens, assembly GCF_000001405.40. NCBI lineage: Eukaryota > Metazoa > Chordata > Mammalia > Primates > Hominidae > Homo > Homo sapiens. Next base: position 50,601,861 of record NC_000016.10, read on the forward strand.
CTGGGTTCTGATGACCCAGGCAAGGAGGGGCGGGTCTGTTTTCCTCTCCTGGGGAGGAGGATGCCCCCAGCCTCTCCCATCCCTGGGTCCAGGCCTCCAGGAGCCCTCTCAAAAGGCTGCCTGCCATGCCCTCTTTCCATCTCTCTGCCCTTTGATGAGGATTATTTTTGTATCACTGGCCTGCATGTTGTATAGTGTTGGGATGGGCTGGGTAATTTCCTAGCACTTTCAGCCTGCCGAGCTTGTAGGCAGAGTGGGCTCTGGAGGCCCAGGAAAGCCCTGGGGGCCTGGGAATGAGAGGGAGGCTGTGTGGGCAGAGATAACAGGTCCGCAGGGGAGAGGTATATGTGAGAGACATAGAACTTGAGGCCCAGAAAATGGACAGCCCCGGTCTTCCTCTTGTTTCCTGGGTATAGCCCTAGAGAAGAGATCTGCCCATTGATGGGATGCGGGCTGGAACCCCAGAAGGTCTGTGCTCCAGGGAACTGTGAGCATCATCTTGTCTGGCCTCCCTATTCTAGAGACGAGGGGGCCGAGGCCTGGAGGGGGCTACCTGACTCTGTTGCTTTCCATGAAACCTTGGACTTGTTACTTAATCTCCCAGCTTTTGTTTTCTTTTGTAAAGTGGGTTATTATCTGCAGTTTTACTAAATTGGGTTTTAATTACCCAAGTAATATACTCATCAGTTAAACATGAGAACACTTCTGATAAGGCTGGGGTTTATGACCCCCCCCACACCCTCTGCCTCTGTCTGCCCTCCCCTCTCTGGAAGTCACCGTGGCTGTCGTCTTCCGCATGTTCACCCACACGGGGACAATCTCATGGCATACATGGGTTTGGTGCTCTCCTCTGTGTACAGGTAGCAGCACAGTCTGCGTGTCTTCCTGTGAGGGCTCCTTTGCCTGTCCTGTGGTCTGGCCCTCTGCCCGGGAGATCTGCAGGTCTGTCTTGTTCTGTTGGCGTCCCTCTCGTGTGGCACTCCTCTGCAGAGATCCAGCCCACATGCCTTTGAGGGCATCCAGGGTGTTCCTGACTGCAGGTTAACAGGAAGTGCATTGCCCTAAACATCACTGGATTCGAATGTGCCTCCTGGACACACATGTGAGCATCGTCCCAGGGTGGACATTGAGGCACTGGCTCGCCAGGCATTAGGATGGAATGTGAGAATGTTCCCGAGCCTGTGTTGGGAAGAGGAGAGAAACTGATGTTAGTGCTTCCAGCTTCGCATCAGACACCATCCTAGGCATGTTGTCTATGTTTTCTCATTGACTGCTCTTTGACATCAAAATCCTCATTTTACAGAAGGGGAAAATGGAGGCCGGAGAAATTAAGTAATGTGTCTGCTGCCACTCGGCTGCTGAGGGTGGGACTGGGCCCGGAGCCTGGGCGTCCCGACTGCCAGGTCGATCTGGACGCTGAGGAGTGGAGCATCCCTGTCCTGCCTCCCGAGAGGGGACAAGAGGAAGGCAAGAGCTTGCTCTCAGCAAGGCCTTGAGAGCGCCTGGCCAGGCTGCAGCCTCAGTGTGCTGGGAAGAGAGAACTCGCCAGGAATTTCCTGGGGCAGCTCCAGGGTAGGCTGCTCGGATCTAAGGGTTACAGGGTGGCCTAGGCCCTGCCCCCCTCCTCTTTCCCCGGCACATCCCAACCCTGTACATTCTTGGAATCTGTAAGTTGTGCCGTGTTCTGTGGGCACCGGGAGTTTGCTTTGAAACCCGTGGCACCAACATCTGTTAGCTCTTAGAGAACAGAAAGATTGACAAAGCACTGCTGGGGCAGGCAGTGGGGGAAGATGTTACATTCAGAAGTAGGAAGTCTCAAAGACAGAGGAAAAACCCCAACCAAACTCCAGCTCGCTCCCCAAGGCTGCTTTGATGTGGTTTTCCCATCCCCGGAGGCCTTATAAGGTATCGTGCCTGGATTCTGGGCTCTGGACTGGTGCTGGCTGCACACCCTGTGCCCGGAGGAGCTGGCCTCTCTTCCTGGGGCCCAGTGTAGAGCAGGGGAGGGGCTCCCAGGGCCAGCTGATGGGGCACCACTGGGACTTAGGAAGGTAGCACATCTGGGCATGTGGCCTGAGGGGCCACCAATCCAGGCCATTAGACAGGAGCAGCCCAGCCCCAGGTCAGGTGGAGCAGAGGCCCTGGAGACCCAGGAAGGTCTTTGATCAGAACTTGCAGCAGAGGCTAAGGCCCACTGTCCTGGAGGCCAGAGGGGAGGGGCCTGGGATCACAGAGTGACAACTAAGTAGACAAAATAAGTGGAGGAGGGTCACCACTGCAGCCAAGCCCCACATGTGGGTTTCCCAGGTGCAGTGGTGAAGGGTATGGACTCAGGCTCTGGCACTTACTAGCTGTGTGACCTTGGGCAAGTCACTTAACCTCTCTGTGCCTCACTCATCTCATCTGTAAAACAGGGTAATCATGGCAGTCCTTTGGAATACCTGAAAGGATTGACACAAGGGTGAAATGCAGTCCTCTGAAAACAAGTGTTCTGGGCAGGATGGGGCATGTTTCCAGGTGTCTGTGAGGGCACCTGGGGTCTGGCGAGTCTCTCGGCTTGTCCCAGCAGTGTTCTGGTCACCATACAATAACAATAGCAGGAGTAATAAACAGTAACTACTGACCTAATGAACCCCACTCATGCTTTCAGCTGCCCTGCTAAGCGCTTCACATGCAATGACTTCCTCACTCCTCACAGCCCCACCCCCTCCAGATATCCTTATTGCTGTCGCCCCTGTTTACGAATGGGGAGACTGAGGTGCACTAGAGATAAAGTTCCTTCCCCAAGGTGGTGCAGCATGTGTGAAGCAGAGCTGGGATTTGAACCAAGGTCTGACCCCTCCAGTTCCATGCCCTCTGCACAGGGGCTTCCAGTGGCGCCGTCGAAGTTCTGAATATGTCTCCTGGCAACACCTGCCTTCCCGAAGGATGGTGCCAAGGGCCTGGCCCTGGCCCTGACATGTGGGGCTGCCAGCCAGGGCTCAGCTTGAGGGCAGGGCCAAGTCCCCAAGTTGTGGGGAGGAGCAGGGGAGCTTTGAGTCCTGCTAGGCAGATGGGAACCCTTGACCACTTACCCACTAGAGCTGCCAGCTGGGCTATTTTTCTTGCACTCCTTTAGGTGTGATCCTTGGTCCCTGGTAGGTGCCAGGACTCCTGACCACCTCTGCTCCCATGCCCACAGGAGCCCTGGTTGCATGAGTAGGAGCCCGGGCTGAGGCATCTGAAGGAGCTGGCTCAAGTCCCCGCTCCGCCCCTTGCTGGCAGGTGATCCAAAGGGGGTCTCACAGCCTCTTGGAGCCTCCTAGCCACTTAGATGCAGGGCTGTGGGGAGGCCATTCTCCAGAGTCTCCCGTGAAGATCCCATTGGTCAGCACCTCGTACACTGTGAGCACTTGGTAGATGACGGGTGACTGTCATTAGAACTGTTTCTGGTCTCATACAGTACTTCAGGGTTGAGGCCACTTTCTTTGTAGAAAATAACAGTAATGATTATACCTCTCGCTTTACAATTTGCAAATCATTTTAATAAGCATCTATTTCTTGAAAGATGGAAAGACCAGGGCTGTTGTGATGATTCAGGGGGCTAATAAATACACGCTTACACAGTTGGCCCTCCTTATCCATGGGCTATGTATTTGTTGATTCAGCCAACCATAGATAGAAAATATTTGGAAACAAAAAAGCATCCGTACTGAACACATACAGACTTTTCTTGTCCTTATTCCCTAAGCAATACAGTTTAACAACCATCTCCATAGCATTTACACTGTGTTAGGTATTGTAAGTAATCTAGAGGTGATTTAAAGTATAGGGCAGGATGTTTGTAGTTTATATGCAAATACTACACCATTTATATAAGGGACTTGAGCATCTACAGATTTTGATAGCCTCAGGGAGTTTTGGAACCAGTCGCCCACAGGTACTGAGGAATGACTATAAAGTGCCTAGCATCGTGCCTGACACATGGAAAATGCACAGTAAGTGTCAGCTGTTTGATTATTATTATGGTTGATGACTGTGCCCATTTTACAAATAAGTAGGCTGAGGTCCAAAGGCGAGGCAGGCGGTACAGCCAGCATGTGATTCTGTGTTTGGCTCAACATCCCGCGTGGCTTCTGGCCTAGAGACTCAAAGCTCTAGGAACATGCACGCTGCACGCCACAGACCCTGGGCCGTGTGGCTCAGTGGGGGAGATGAATTTTTTTTTTTTTTTTTGAGACAGAGTCTCACACTGTCACCTGGGCTGGAGTGCAGTGGCGCAATCTCAGCTCACCACAGCCTCCACCTCCCAGTTTCAAGCGATTCTTCTGCCTCAGCCCCCCAAGTAGTTGGGATTACAGTCACCTGCCACTACGCCTGGCTAATTTTTTGTATTTTTAGCAGAGATGGGGTTTCATTATGTTGGCCAGGTTGCCTGACCTCGTGATCCACCTGCCTCGGCCTCCCGAAGTGCTAGGATTACAGGCGTGAGCCACTGCGCCTGGCTGGGGAGATGAATTTTTGCAAAGTTGAGCATTGGCACAGTACAGTGCGTCCATGAACCATGGCTCCGGGGAGCTTTCCAGTGTTCTCCAGAGCAGGGTACTGTTGAGTGGTGAGAGGCCTATGCCAGAACTTGCCAGAACTCTGCTTTCTGAGTGTGTCAGAGAGCTTGGTTCTCCGAGCAGGGAGTGCTGAAGCTGTCATTAGGTGGTGACTGGGGTGCCTTGAGCACATGCGGTCATTGTCATAGGGTCCCACACGGCTGCCTTGTTGGTGGCGATGTCTGGAGTCTTTAAACTCTTCCAAGTGTGCCAGTAAAAAGACACGAGTACTCAGACGTCTCATTGATGCTGTCACCCGGCTGCAGTGCAGTCAGGGTGGCAGGCGCAGAGCCCCGCTCTGCAGAAGACCTCAGCATGAAGAGGTGCGCAGATTCTCTTGAAGACTGTTGCCTGTTCCCTCGGGGAAGCTCTGCCTACCAGCCTTTCAGGGGGCGGTGGCACCCGTCTCTCTTCTGCATGAAAGATGGGCTTCAATTGGCTGCTGGGGCGTCCCAGCCATCTAATGATGCCACCTGTGTGCATCCCTTTCCTGTCATCGTCTCCCAGCTCCCCTGTCAACTCGGGCTCTGTTAACACAAACAGCCAGTTTACAAGCCCAGGATATGTTCGATGATTATAATAATTGGTGGAGGAGGAGAGGAAGCCATCCTGACTCGAGGAATAAAGTAGCCTGGTTTTGAAGTAAATGGGACACCGGAGTCTGAATGGCCACATTTTAACAGCTTTTAAGAAAGAGTGTGTAATGCCCTAGAAAGATTTGAAAGAAGAAAGAGAACAGCCACAAAATGTTAGCTGTTTGTCTTTAAAACAAAAAACAAAAAAAAGCAAGAGGCTTACCTCCAGCTGTGTCCAGTTGATGAGATCAGCAATACAAAGCCGTGTTTTTTCTTTTGTTCATCAAGAAGAGGACTGGTTTTTTTTTAAGCATCATCTGAGGTGTAGAATTTTTTTTCCCCTAAGGAGAGGGTTGGGTTTTGTTTTTGTTTTTGTTTTTTTTCTCTTTTATTTTCACAAAGAGAAGTTGGTGACAGCTGCTGAGTTTGGGCTTTTTTATTGCTTGTCATTTTGTGTTTTGAGAACCGCTACCATAGCATCATCATCCCCCAAACCCTTGTCTGTCCTCCCATAACAGGAGTATTTCCTAAAGTGGGTTTCTTGGGACACGCGTATCATGTGATACTTTTGAAAAACGAAGCTCCATGGTCTAAATAAGTTTGGAGAATGCAAAATATGCCAGCACTTGGAGATTCAGTGTTTAGAACCATAGGAAAAGTCCTGATAAGTCCTGCTGTAAGAGATCTTGTTTAACTTTGTTTAAAAGAATCTTCTTTGATCATAGAACTCTTCTGGCAGAATACCAATAAATACAGAAGACAGTTTGACAAGGTATGGTCTAGCTTCTTCCATATTTGGAGTTATCCTGCTAGGGTGGGTCAGACAGATGGGGCCTTTGTTGACATCCTAGAAATTTCCCAGCCTGTGGACCAGCAACACTCCCCTCGCTAACTTGACATCTCCTGGTCAGGTTGGTTGGGATGAGATCCCAGATATCCTTAACTCACTGGTGGGGAACAGGCAGGGTGTGTGCAAGGAATCAGGCTGGTTTCCGGAAGGCATGTGTGTTGGTGAAATGTGGGAGGCATGATGGAAGACCCAGTGGAGCCATAGCCTGTGGTGGCCTGAATGTTGTGCTGATGCGTGTGGGTTTATGTTAAGGGCAGGAGGGACCCACCTTGGCACTTAACTTTTCAGGTGCAATAGGATCTGCCTCAGTTGACCTGAATTCCAATCAGAAGAATCAGCCCAGGGTCCTCATGGCACTGCTTTTAACGTCCCAGCACTGGGCTCCCCCAACCCCTGCTCAATGCCTCTGCTCTGTCTTCTTGTAGGAGCTCGTGGGCGACGTGTTGAGAGACACGCTCAGCGAGGAAGAGGAGGACGACTTTCGGCTGGAAGGTATTCGGAGTCCATTGCTCTCTTCCCAGCAGCAGCGAGTGGGGGAAGCGGGTGTTCAGCTGGCCGTGTGCCCTGTGTACTCCAGAAAATCTGCAGATGGAGGGCACAACAGGGACCTTGTGACTCTGGGTGGGGGTGGACTAGAGGGTGGGATGGAGGAGAGGAGTAAGAGACAGGTGTGGTACTTCATAGGTCCAAGCCCAGGTGGGGGTCCGGTCACCTAGGTCCATGTCCTGGCCCTGCACCGGATTAGCTGGGGGATCTCGGACAGGTTGTTGAAACTCTGCTGCTCCTCTGGGGATAATAAGAGTAGCTGCTCAGAGTGATGTGTGAAGTGTGATCAGGCAGTGTTGGGCATGGAGTAAGCATTACACACAGTGCCTATTCTGTTTCCTCCATCATGTCACTCTCTTGGTGCATGAGTGTGCACACACACACACAGCCAGCCTTTCACCTCTCTCCTCTGTTGTCCTTCTTCCTTTCTTAAGATGGGGTCTTGCTCTGTCACCCAGGCTGGAGTGCAGTAGGTAATTGTAGCTCACTGCAGCCTCGACCTGGGCTCAAGTGATCCTCTCACCTCAGCCTCTCAAGTAGCTAGGACTACAGTTGCATGCCACCATGCCAAGCTAATTTTTAAATTTTTCTGTAGAGATGGGGTCTTACTATGTTGTCCAGACTGGTCTTGAACTTCTGGCCTCGAGTGACCTTCCCACCTTGGCCTCCCAAAGTGCTGGGGTTACAGGCGTGAGCCACTGCACCTGGCCACTGCTTGCTTTCTTCATGGTGAAGTGCCGTGTTGTAGAGAGAATCAGGACGCTTAAGCGTAGAGGGTCTGCTGGCTGCTGGTGTGCTGGTTTGACTTTGGGCAGGCCACCCTACCTTTCTGAGCCTCAGCTTCCACATCTATAGAATGGGAACAAGGGCCTTTGCCCTGCTTGGCTCCCAGAGTTGGTGCCAGGAACGGATGACAGCGTGAAGCAGAGTGTTTCCTGAATGGGAGATTTTAAATTCAGAAACAGGGAAAGAAATCACCAAATGGGGGGCTGCCTTATAAGAGTAAGGAAGGACCTCTCTGCTGAGACCAGGGCAGACAGCTGGCTGGAGAGCTGGGGGGCCATGGTGCAAGGGTCTGCGGAGGGGGATCTAGCCCTGCAGGGGTCTGAAGGGCCACAAGAGGAGAGCAGACAGTTCTGGGAAGTTCTCAAGGGGAGCATCGGCCAGACCTGAGGACCGTGGCCACATCTGGCCTGAGAGCTGTTATAAATATAGAATCTCAGCTCCAGCCCAGGCCTGCTGAATCCGATCTGCATTTTAACAAGCTCCCCAGGTGGCTTGCATGAACACTGCACTCAGAGAAGCACTGTTTGAAGATACTCACTCCGTTGCCTAGAAGTTGGAGGCAGGCTGGAGAGCCAGGTATCTAGCAAACTTTACTCAAATGTAAGCAGGCCCCAGATCAAGGGGGAGGAGTCCCATGAACAGAAAGCTTTGTGTGTGCATACAGTCTGGTATCTTTTATGTGAAAAAAAGGCACCAGACCATCCTCAGGAGTTTCTTAGGGTACCACATATGCATATGACTGTGTGGATAGAGGCCTAGACAGATGATAACCATAGCTCTTTCCAAACATGGGAGGAGACTTAAGTCTGTGTTATCTGCATTTCATGGTTAAACTTTTATAAGAACATAGTTGGGCATGGTGGCTCAAACCTATAATCTCAGCACTTTGGGAAGCTGAGGCTGGAGGATCGCTTGAGCTCATGAGTTCAAGACCAGCCTGGGCAACATAGTGAGACCCTGTCTCTATTATCAATAATTCAAAAACTATATTTTTTAAAAAATCAAAAAACCACAATTATGTATTCCTTATGAAATTAAAAACTAATGTCAGTATTTAAAGGTGAAAACCGTAAATAAGGCAGTAGGAGTGGAGCTGCTCTGGTTTGAGTCGGGTGGGCATCTGGACCTGTCCGTGTGGCCCTTAAGACCCCATGAGGGACCCTGGGCCCAGTGACCATCTGTGGTCCTCTGGCACCCTTGGTCCTGTGGCCCGAGGCCTCCCACCCCAGGGTGGGGGATATGGTGTGGATGGTAGGCCACCGCGTGGCCAGGTCTGGTGAGAGCAGGTGCTACTGAGTTCTGGCCACAGAAAACCAGCTGCCTGCTCTGGACCTGGGACTGAGGGGTCCCTCTGTGCTACTGACTAAGGGAGAACAAGCCGAGTCCTGAATCTCTTCTTTGTCTTCCTGTTGGCCAAGTTCATTGCCTCTTGGCGGGCTGGAGAGCTGTTTAAGAGAGAAAAAAGGCCATCTGAGGCGTGAAGATAAAAAGAAGTCTTTTAGCCATCCCAGGAGAGGATGGCTTTAGCTCCCGCGTTGTTATGTAAAGCCGGCCCTAATCCAGCATCTTAACCGCCTTAACTGGCCAGCTGGGAGCGGGAGGGATGGGAGATTAAGGCTGGGCTTGGTGGGCCAGGGCTGCAGAGCTCCTTTTGAACTGGGGAAAGAACAAAGTAAACATCAAAAGTCTCAAGCTCTGAGAGCTGGCTGGGCGTGGCAGGGCTGGTGAGGTGAGGCTTTCGTGGGGAGAAGGGGAGAGGGACCCCTCCTCAGCTGACCCAGCTGAGGTCTGAGGACCAGGGAGGGGTGACCCCATGCTCACCTTCAGCGCACACCCAGCCTCCCTGCCCCCACAGCTGGGCAGGACTCCAGGTAGTCGCAGCCTGCGGCTTGGGCCCCACGGGGAGAATGGGTGGCCAGGCCACGTTCCCCTGCATGGCCTCCAGGAGTCACTGTGTCTGAGGGTGCTGCAGCCACTGCTTCATCCCCCTCTCCCATCTCCCTCTCTCCAGGTCCCCCCTGCCTCTCACCTGGTGAACGCTGCCCCCGCCCAGCTTCTTGGCTATCTCTGTGTCTCATCTCTGGGCCTTTGCTCGTTGTCTCTCCGCATCCTCAAGTGCCTGGTTTCTATTTCTCCACTCTCCGGCATCTTTAGGAAGGCTGCTCTGCAGCTTCCCTAAAGGAGATGCTCAGAGCCACTGAAGTCAGGCAGCCCCTCCTCCTCGGGACCAGGCCCAGGCCTCCCAGCTTCCAGGGCAGGCCTTGCTTTGGCCCTGCTGCCCTCTCCCCACTGGCCTGGCGTGCGCATGTGGCAGCCCGTGGGGTGGTCTCTGCTTCCTCAGCCCAAGGGTGGATGTGCCTGGAGTTGGTGGTTCTGCCCAGCAGGGAGCAGTGTTAAGACTGAGGCCTGGTGGGGGCTGAGCAGCACTCGGGGAGCTCGGGGCCTGTTCAGCTCTGCAATGGTCCCTAACTTTGCCTTCCTCATCTCTCCTCCCTTGATTCTGACTTCCTGTGAATTCGCAGCTCAGACCCCATTCCAGCCTGGCTTACCCACACTCACTGTGTGACCTTGGGTGAGTCACTTCCCTGTGGCTCAACTTCCTCACTGGGTTCCTTGTAGCACTTCTTTGCCAGGGTTATTGTGAAGACAATGAGGTGATGGATGTAGGTCGCAAGGGTGGCCCTGGTACAGAGTAAGTGCCCAGCACACTTGAGCTGCCATGATTCTTGTTTCCTGGGTTCAGTTTTCTTGAAGAGGTGTCAGCCCGTGTTTATAATCATTTACCTAGCCCAGATCAAAGAGGACCTCTTTGCAAAGCTTCTTTAATCCTGTTAGAATCTCCAAAGGCCTCCCCGTACTCCTGGTGCCTGGAGTAGGGTCTGGCATGCTGTATGTGCTCAATAAATAAACACTCACTGAAGAAGGAAAGTCAATACCCTGTAGTCACTGAAAGCAGGTGACCTCTCCCTCTGCCTCACTGAAAGCAGGTGACCCCTCCCTCCGGCCTCTCAGGCAGGACCTGTGTACCTGTGTTGGGGCCTGGGCCAGTCTGTCCAGGCTCCCAGGGGTCAGATGTTGGGCAAAGGAACTTGGGAGGCCTGTACTTCCTTTCATCTGTAGTTGGAAAACTGAAGCCCAGAGAGGGAAGTGACCTGTCCAGGGTCACACAGCAGACTGAGAACAGAATCTGGCCCCTCACTCCTCACCATTCAGTATGTGCTGGGCATTTGCTGCAGCTAGGGGCTCTGCTGGGCCCTGGGTTCACAGGCACGAGCAAGGTAGGCAGGCCCAGCAGTCACGACATTCACAGGAGGGAGGCAGGGATGAATACATAAATCTGCGAAGGAGCATGGAAGTTTCTAGTAGTGGTTCTCTGCTAAGACGTAAAACCCAGGGAGAGGTAGAGTGAGGAGGCTTTTCTGAGAAGGTGATGTTTCAGCTGAGATGCAGATGCCAGGAAGGAGCCAGCCATGGAAGAATGTAGGGGGAGAGCAGCTATGAGTGAGCAGAACCCCAGAGTGGAGGGAACTTGGTGTTTGGGGAAGAACAAAAAGGAGGCCGATGTGGCATCAGGAATGAGAGTGGGGTGGTCGGCAAGTGTGGGACCACGCCCTTAGGTTGCGTGGTTCTGCCCAGATGGTTGGGTGGGTGACTGCTGGATTCTGACCTCTGTTTTAAGAAGTTAATTCTGGCTTCTGGGAGGGACTGCCCATGGGCAGGGAGGAAGAGGGCAATGAAACCAGGAGGTGACTGCAGGGTCGCAGGCGAGAGGAGATGGTGCTGGCCTAGCCTGGGAGCTTGGGGCTGGGGAGAGGTCCATGGGGCTGGAGGTTGGAGCTGGTGAGAAGGGGGTTGAGGGAACGAGAGAGATCAGGGATGCATCTTAGACTTTTGGTTTCAGGAACTAAGGATTTGGCGGTGTCACTTCTGAGGTGGAGGTTTTGGCGGGTGACCATCAAGCCTCCCGTTTTTGGACCAGTTGGGTTCAAGATGCCCATTTAACATCCAAGGAGAGGTACCGAGGAGGCCGTGGGATACCTGGTGATTGGAGCTTGGGGTTCAAGGAGCAGTTGGGCAAGAAACAGAGAGAGAGAGCGAGTCAAGACTTCTCAGGAAGTAGCCACGGACATTGCCCGGGACTCTCGGGCAAGGCTCCTCAATACACAGGGCTGGCGGTGGCTTCCCAGGAAGGCTGGGAGGAAGAGGAGTTCATGGGAAGGCAGCAGGGACCCCCAGATGGAGGGGCAGGTGCCCATGCCCCGCCGGCTCCTCTCCCTCAGTTCAGAGCCTGTCCTGTCGGGGGGTGTCAGCGGCCCTGACTCTCCACTCCCCTACAGTCCCCCCAGAAGCTGAGTTGCAGCGGTGACAGAGAACAAGCGGACTTTGTTACCTTGGCAGTTTCTCTCAAGTCTGCTCCTCATAAAAGCTCAGCTGGAACAGTGGAAATTCTGACTTGTGTCAGATACCGGAGAGGCTTTAATAGTTTCAAGTAGCTCGGGGTTAGATTGTAAAAGCCGAATTTCATCACATGTTTTAACTTGGGTGGGGGCGGGCGGGGGAGAGTGGAAGGGACGTGATATTTTTAGCCCACAGAAGGCTTTTTCTCCCCTTTCCCCTTCTCTCCCGGGGCTTCCCCCTCCCTCCCTGAACAGATGTTTCGTCTCAATCCTGTTCAGATGTCAAAGCCGAGTGGCCACCAGCCTTATGCTCTGATGAGGAAAAAAAGGCCAGAATGTTATTTGTTGAGAAGGATTTCCTCCCCTACCCGCTTTTCCCCCTTTTTTGTTTCCCCTCAGTTACAATTGGTCCATAAGCAAAATCTAGTGGCAGTAAAATGCAGCTGGGAGGCAGGATGGTGGAGAAGAAGTCCCTGGTGGCATTTCTGGTCTCAGGAAGGGGCAGACACCCACAGGTGAAAAAGCTGGAAATCACCCTAGAGGGACTGCCCTGGGTGAGTGAATTACTGCTGTGGTGCTGGTGCTGGTGGTTTTTCCTAAAAAGCAGGATCTCAGAGAGACGGATTTGTTAAGTCAGGATTCTTTCGGTTCTTTTGGAAACTCACTTAAACTTTTGGCTCATGAAATTGAAAAATCCTAGGGTAGATCTTGCCTAAAAAGGCCTGTTTGGATTCTGGAGCTAAAACCATGTCATGGACACATGCACGCACACACACACACTCACACACACACGTATACTCACACATTCACACACATGTCTCGCTCGCTGCCCCTCTCTCTCCCTCTCCATCATCTCTCCCTCTGTCCCCTGGTGGCTTCTCCCCCACAGGGGGCAAGGGTGGCAGTTCCCAGCTCTGGGCACTCCCATCCTATGAGCACAGCCCTGTCAGGTGGAAGAAAGTTCCCAGGTCACAGGGGTTCTTGCACATGTTGGACTCACTTTATTGACCACTTTACTGGTCACTTGACCAGGGTAGATCTAGGTTTTATGGGACCTGAAGCTTTCTGGGGCCAAACCAAAATAAATATCTCACCAACTCAGTCTCTCCTTAGCTCATGTCCAGAAATGCCTGTATTTCCCCTAGTATCACCTCACACAGGCAAAGGATGTCAGAATGGTTAGATGACAATCTTAATAGATTGAGGATAAAATGCCTAATTTGGAAAATGTTACAAATACAAACACATATGACCACATAAACACCTTGCAAAGACCCATCCTGACTTGGAAAGGGCCCGTGTAGGTGAGAGGGCCCAGAAGCCTAGCTTCATTAGCTTCTTCATAAACTCTTCTTTCATACTGACCTAGGACCAGCCACGTGGCCTTCAGGATGAAACAAGCTGGGTCAGGTAGGGGTACTGAGTGCAGTGTGACCCTGGAGTGGGATCAGTCTCCATAAACTAGATAGACTGAGAGTGGGGGATGAGTAGCTCTGGGGAGGAAAGCCAGATGCTATCATCAGAAGGAGGAGAAGGATTGCTGGACAGGCAGGAACAGGTGTCAGCTATTGTGGTCTGAGAGAGTGGACAGGCCAGTGGTTGAGGAGTTGGGAAACTGGGATTTAGTTCTCTTTGTTCCACAACTTCTGGGTTCAAATCCTGGTTCTGCTACTTACCGTTGTTTCATTTTGATGATGCTGCTGATGATGCAGCACCTATAGTGTGATAGACACTGCACTATAGACATATATATCTCAGGGTATAGATATTGGGCTGATGGAAGATTCTGATGATTAAATGAGTGATATAATGATGGTGTAATAAGGCTCACTGAGCAGGGAAGCCTAACCTAGCCCTGAGGGTGTGACAGCATGCTGCTCAGAGGAAGGGAGGCTTAAACTGAAGACCTGAAGGATGAGTGGGAATTGCAGAGCTGGAAAGAGTGTTCTTGGCAGGGATAACAGCGTGAGAGCATGGCAGGCTCAGAAAAGGGAAAGCAGTTCCACAGAGAGACGGGACTGAGAGGTGGCAGCAGCCGGGTCGTGGAAGCCTTTGGACCCCTCCTTAGGGGAAAGGGGGCCACTGGAGGGGTTTAAGCAGGGAAACGGCATAATCAGTTTTGGTTTTTAAGCTCAGTTTCCTCTTTTGTACGATGCCAACAGTAGCACACCCTGCACAGTGTTAAGAGGACTTAATGGAATAATGTGTGGTACTACTAACTTCACCAGCCTCTCCATGCAGCCCACCACAGTATGTGGCTGTGTTTACAAACAGAGGTGGGATCGCTAGGACCCTCATTCCCTAAGGAGAGCCTGATACAGATACTGCAAGAAACCATTTGGCCTGGAATGCACATATGATATCTTTCTCTTTTTACTGGCAGCAGATTTACCCGCCTAATTATATTTGGCAGAGGCTAATATTAAAATTCATCTGCATTCCCTCGAACAGCTGCTGTCAGAAGGTTGTGGACTCAAACATCTTGGCAAGCAACCCTGAGACTAAAATATTTGCAGCAGATAATCTGTACGTGGACGATTGAGAAAGGACTGTGGATATGTCAGGGCGAGCATCCAGACTCTAGCAAGGAAGTTCTGGCTTGTGTTAAATCTTACATTGTATTCACTGAGAAGAACTTGCCAGGTAACTAGGCTAAGAGAGGGGTCTGCCATGCAATTGAATTGTTAGTAATTTCTGGTCTTTAGTGGGGCTGATTTAGTCATAACTGTGTTTCAAATTTGTCTCTTCTTTCCAAGTTTCATATGCACCAGGCCTTTCTGGATTGTGTTAAGATAAGCTGGCATTTACTGGTATCATCCCAGGTTTGGATTTTTATGTAAATTTCAACTCCCCACCTCCCCATGGCACTTCCCAGTCTCCATCAAGGCAGAAGGTATGGCATATTTGTTATGTAGCCAAGCTTCCTTATGCCTACCTGTAGAATGTGCTGTAGTTCAGCAGGCCTGGCGGAATCTCTGCCCTGTGCACGTATGGGAAGTGCTAGGCATTGGGCAACCCGGGAGCAGAAGCCTAGAAGGCGCCAGATCTCAAGAAACTTGCTTTCTGGCTGTGCAGATGTGGAGGCTCCTGTGAAGCAATCAGAAGGTCCCAGATAGGACTGTACAGAATAAAGTGCTAGACTGAATGGCGGGAGACAGCACCCCACTAGCTCCGGATGCATTCATGCAAATTAGAAAAAAGCTGCCCCTCCTCAAGACACCTTTCTGCCATCTGTCCAAAGGATGTCATAAGCAATACACATATCTAGGGTATTGGTCATATGAGTGGCACCACCTGGGGTTGTACAGTGCACAGCCTGCTTCTTGGATCCGGTCTCCTAGTGACCTCAAGTGACCCCAGACCAAGGGGAAGAGCCCCGAGGAGCTCACCCTGTTGTACTGTTGAGGAGGACAGGTCTGTTTTATTTCACAGGCCTTCTTCTCTTGCTGTTTGGGTGGCGCCAGCTGTCAGCAGCTTGGGCTGGGTGGGCTGTGCCATCCTGCTCCCTGGGTCACTGCCATTTGCCAGGGTAAACAGTCCCGAGTGACTGTGGCTCTCACAGCATGCGGTCCCCAAGGAGCCTCCCATTGGGCCCATGGGGAGGCGGGAGGGGTGTCTAGACCCACAGTCAAAGTTGTCACCATTCAGGTATTTCCTCACTCTTCTTCTTTCGCTCTCTCTTCCTCCCCACCCCTCCCTTTTTTAAACTGGGGGAGGGGAGAGGGAAGAGACTGTCTTTGATCTCAGCGGAGGAAAAAAGTCTGTTCAGGCTTTTGGCTAACACAACAAACAGTGTTTAAAATTTAACTTTGCTTAATTAATTAGTAATTCTGTTTAATGCTGTCTGATCTCCCTCCAAAAGGTATTTTGAAGCTTGAGAAGGGAACATCAAAGGGAGCCGGGTGAAGATGGTCAAGTAATGCCTTTAATCTGGCAGTTGCTGAGGGTGGAGAGCTGCCAGGCTGGGAGCTAATGGGGAGAGAACCGTCATTTGGTAAACACAGCAAGCTGACTCCTCGTGGCTGTGGTGTGAGGAGGGACAGGGAGCAGTTTCCAAAGAGAGGGAACTCCACAAACCATTACCAACCCCCCAGATTCATATGGGCTGACAATAGGCCTTAAGAAAGCAGAGTTGACATTTTCTTTCTTCCACAGCCACTGTATGGTTGGGCAGGTTGTGTACTGCACAAGGATTTCCAGCCAAGCAGGCAAGTAATAGGTGAAACTGTCTGTGCCCTGCTCATCAAGCACATATCCTGGTGGAAGTAGAGGGTGGCACACATCTAAAGCAGCAATCAATCCACAGACTTTTTCATGAAGGGCCGGATAGTATGTATTTTAGACTTTGTGGGCTCTGTTGCAACAGTTCAACTCTGCTGTCACAGAGTGAAAGAAGCCATGGACAATGCAGATGAGCATGGCTGTGTCCCAATAAAACTTTATTTACAAAAACAGGAGGTGGGCCAGGTTTGGCTCAGCAAGTGTAGTTTGCCACCTCCTGCTCTAAGTCACCCAAAAGTGCTTCTTAGGCAAGTGAAAGGCCTTTTTTCCCCACCCGGTCTCCTGCTTTCCTTTTTTCTTCCAAATGAGCAGTGTCTCCTATAGTTCCTCAGACTTTCAATTGAAGAGTGATCAGTATGATCAGCACCCCCTGAAATTAGGCCCCCAAAAGATAATTTCTCAAGCGGAAAAATGGCTGGGCTAAACAGGAATCAGAGGCAGAGAATGGACTCAGACTCTGGTGCCAAAGCTGATCTCAACTATCATCATTGCAATCCCCCTTGGTGTGGCCTGGGTGGCCTGCAGCGAGCACCAGTCCGCCTCTCCCGCCTCCAGTGGGCCTGCACTCACTGATGGGTGGAGGGTGGTTTCTTCTGCACAGGGCTGGCTGGGGGCTGTGGTGGCTTGACTTAGTTTAGTTTCAGAGGGCTCATATGTGGATGAGGCCTGGCGCCTGCCCCTGGCATTGGGGTCTGCATGGCCAGTTCTCTGCCACCTCTTCTAGCTACTGGTTAGGGGACAATAAGAGGGTGAACGACCTTCTTTGGTGGGGATAGAGAGTGCTGACTGTCCTTGTTCCTGACCCCCACAGCCCCAGGGCAGGATGGATCACAGGCCCCATGCTGGGAGGGGCCCCTGGCGGGTTCACTGACCGTCGGCTGACCTGTGGATGTCCGTGTGGCTTTCTGAGCTGGGATGGGATGAGGGAGCCACTGGTGAAGAGAGGACAATCCGGGCCACACTGGTCTTTGGGGAAGACATATGAGGGGTCGAGGGGGATGTTTTCCAGCCCCTTCAGGTGAGGAGAAAGGAAGGAAAGGGGAGGTCCTGAGGGAAGACAGGCTGTCCGTGCACGGTGGAGGAAGAGTGCTCCAGAGGAGGAGAGAGCAGGGACAGAGGTTCCTTTTCTTTGGATTTTATCAAGTGGAACATGAAAGGCAACATTGAACCTGAAGGTGGTTTTCTGATAACTTCCCTTTGAACTTGAAGTTTGGTTTCGACAAGCCTGGCCAGCTTGCATCTCCAGCCAGGACCTCTGCAGAGAGAGGCAGCAGCTTTGAAGATGGAGCTGGGCTTTGTTTTTCTTTCTTCTTTTTCTTTCTCTTCTTTCCCTCTGCTTGGGAGGGGTGAGTAGAGGATGCTGCAGGCCGTGATATTACTCTGGTTTCTCCGGTGGGGCAGTTTGGGGTCAAGCAGGATCGTTGGGATCTGGGCTGTCAGCTGGCACACATCCTTGGCAAAGCCAGCATTTGTTGAGCACTTACTGCGTGCCGGCCACTGTGCTCAGTAAGCACTTTCCTCATTGCCCTTTCCCAACAGCCCTGTGAAAGTGAGGCCATCATATTCCCATTTTACAGACAAGGGGACTGAGGTCCAGAGGAGTCAAGGGCCTTGTCCAAAGCTGCCCGCACAGGCTGTATGTATTTAATATAATGCTTTTGTGTCCATTTGCATTCGTGAAGCCTCAGTTTTGAGAAAACTTAGCTGCTAACTGAGCTGTTCCCAGGAGTCAGTGGGGTGGGGCCATCAGTCTCCTGACTGTTACTACTTATGGCCAGACCTAGTGCACTGGGGGTCTTAGCCCCTTATGATCAGAGTTTGTTGGATCCACATAAGAATCCTCTGGGGAAGGGGTTGGTAGCTTCCTCATTTTACGGTTGGGGAAACTGAGACATCTAGAGAAGGTATGTGATCCACCCAGGGTCACACAGTGCCAGAGAACAGAACCCACGTGGAGATGACCACTGCCCTGGCTGGCTGGCCTCCATGAGAGAGAGAGAGGCAGGCTGAGAGAAGCACCAAGTCTCCCGAATTGAGCCATGAAAGGCATGGAGGGGCAGCCTAGTGGACTGACTGTGAGCATTATTCAGGCTACCTGGGTTCAAATCCCAGTTCTGTCATTTACTAGCGAGGCACTTATCCTCTCCAAGCCTCAGTTTCCCCATCTGGAAAATGGAGGTAATCGTAATAACTGCCTCACAGGGCTTCATGAGGATGGACTTGGTAAACAGCAAGTGCTTAGTCATTGCTGCCTCATCTTTATGTACAGTGGCGCCAAGGCGCAAGGACACCAGGGGAAGTGCCTTAGTTAATTGCAGAGGAGAGAGCTCCCAGTTCGCAGGACCAGAGCAGAGCAGGAGAGCTGGGGCCCAGGCCCACTGGGGGCATCTCCACTGTGCCTGGCCCAGGGACTGCCCTTGGGTCCTTGCTTGCAAAGCTGGGGTGTGTGAGTGTGGTGGGAGTGTGGGATCGGAGAGACACAAATCCCCCATCTAGTTTCCTGGCCCAGCGGCCTCATTTCTCCAGGCTGCTGACTTCCCAAGAAAGTCCTGCCTTGCCTTCCTCTCTGACTGGGGAGTCTCAGCACCTCACATGACCCCCTGGCCACCCTTGGGTCAGGGTGGAGGGGCCAGGGTCCCTTCCCGGAGTAGGAGCCAGGCTGTTTCTTCACCTTTAAAACAGGACAACAAATTTACTACCCCAGGGCAACAGAAGGAATCAGATGAGAGGAGCTGTGAGTGTGGCCTGGAAAAGATGTCTCCGGCAAACCCCAGCCCCTCTATCTGACAGAGACAAAATGGCGGAAGGGACTAAAGGAGGCTTATGGGACATTCCAAGAATTGATGGCACTTTGTAGTCGGGATCCTAGGTCAAGGACAATGATGCTACCCGGAGCTGGCATCCTCAGGAAAATAGTGTCAGTAGGTCCTGGGATTTCACACTCACCCTCCCACATTTCCTGGCAGGCCACACACAGGACCGTGACCTTTGGCAGAGAGGGGAGGACCTGGGGTGAGCAGAGGCCAAATGCAAGGTTCAGGATGAGCGTGCTCCCTGAAGATGCCTTTTGTGTATGTGTGAGTGTGTGTGCATGTGTGAGTGTGCATATGTGTGCAAGCAGGTGTGATGCATGAGTGTACATATGTCTGCATGTGCGTGTGTATGTGTGTCCATGTGCGCTTGTGCATACATGTATGTGGACGGTGCATGTGTGCACTTCTTTGCCAACCCAGTTGAACTCTGTTTCTGGCACTCCTCCTGGCCATCCACCAAGGTGCCGTAGGCTGTGCTCAGGTGGGTGGCACCTTTGAGGAGGCCAAAATGTCAACACAGAAGGCAGTGAGACTGCAGAAAATGGCCATGGTCCCTAAGCTCCCTCGCTGGGCTCCAGAAGCACCCCTCCACTCTCATCCATCTGCCCTCTGGCCTGACACTGCTCTGGGTGGCTGTGTGCCTCCATAGGGCAGAAGTCATAGGCTGGTGGGGGCCTGAGGGGGCCCCCCACGGTGCAAGTGGGTGCACCATGTTGGGGGAAGGTCTTCCCAGGCAGTACCAGGTGCCAGAGTAGTGTGATGTTGACCCCAGCAAATGGGCAGGGCAGGAGCGGGCCCAGCCCCCTGGCGAGAATGTCCAGGCCAGGCATGGAGGACAAAGGTGCAGTGAGCATGGCTGCCCGGCGTCTGGACCCTGCTCCTAATGCTCCCTCGCCTGCCTCCCCGACAGTGGCCCTGCCTCCTGAGAAGACTGACGGGCTGGGCAGCGGAGATGAGAAGAAGATGGAGAGAGTGAGCGAACCCTGCCCAGGCTCCAAGAAGCAGCTGAAGTTTGAAGTAAGTTTCCTTTTGGTGCTGGGTCCTGAGGAGATGAGATGGGTTTTCTCAGCTTGGGGCTTTGGGAGGAGGGAAGCTGAGGCTCTTCCAGACAGGAAGGCCCCTCCCCTGCATGAACAGCACCCTCTGTGGGAGGTTCCTTCTGCCACATCTGGGGCCGTCCTGGCTCAGGGCAGACCCCAGGGACTCACCGCTGCCCACCCCCTCAGCCCAGCCCCAGCCCCTCCATGCGGGCTGTGCCCAGCAGCTTGGGAGAGGGCATGAGAGTAGACGAGGGAGGCAGGACTCTGGCCCTTCTGTTGCTGTCACCTCTCTGGGCCTCAGTTTCCTCGGTGAAACCTTCCCTTCCAACTCTTGAGGCTGTTCTGGGGGTGCCTGTGGGGGATCTCAGGTGGGATGGATGAACAGGAGGTACGGGCAGGACCCTGACGCTCTCTGGGCCTGAGTTTCCCCATGTGGGCACCACCAAGGATGTGCCTCCGTGTGGCTCTGTGCAGTGCTTAGAGGAGGGAGTAGCAGCTGTGGGCAGAGGTTGGTGAGGCTCTGAGCGTAGGGGTAGGAGTTGGGAGAGGGATGTACAAGGGAGTCTTTGGGAAAAGAAGGGCCTTTGGGGTGAGAAGGGGACAGTTGAGTGCCCCAGACCCAGTGGCTGCACAGTCTGTTCCCCACCGCCTGATAGTGTAGCACGCTCCTGTGCCCCCAGCACAGTGGCCAGTGCTGAGAGCCAGGCCCAGGCCTGCTGCATGGAGCTTCCCCACTGCTCTGCCCTCCTTGCTCCCTCCCTCCTTCCCTCTGTTTGCCTTCCTGAGACCACCAGGGCATAGCTCTAGAGTCAGCAGGCCTGGGTTCAAATCCTGGCTATACACTTAGTAGCTCTGAGACTTTGGGGCAAGTTCCCTAAAGTCTCAGTGGCCTCACGTGCCTCGCCTGTAAGGTGGGGATAATGGTGATGTCTGTCGCATTGGGCTGTTGTCAGCAGCATGAGTTCGTGCGCCTAAAGGTCTAAAGTGCTTAAGAGGGTGCCCCTCTTTCTCACCAATGCTGATTGGCACCGGCTAATTGCCAGGGTACCCAGCTTAGACTGGGTGTGGTTCCTGCCGTCAAGGAGTGCACAGTGTGACCAGGGGACAGTTGAGCGCCCCAAACCCAGTGGCTGCACAGTCAGTGATGAGATGAGATCTGGGAGCCTGGAGTGGGGTCAGGCCGAGGGGTGTGGGGTAACGGACACTTGGCATTTCCAGGCTCTGTGCGGTGCCTGGAGGAGGGAACAGCGGCTGTGGATAGAGACTGGGGAGGTGGGTGAGGCTCTGAGCATAGGGGTAGGAGTTGGGAGAGGGGTGCACAGGGGAGCCTTTGGGGTGAGAAGGGCCTATCAGGCAGAGGGAGCTGCAGGAGCAA